>NC_000006.12:32787272-33090303 GCF_000001405.40 Homo sapiens
CTTAACCATAAATCTTGCATAACCATTTAGAGGATGCTATCCTGAAAAAGATAATCAGTTTTACAGAGAAGTCTTGGTAGCTCTGAGGCTATTAATAACCCCAGTTACTACAGTAACAACCGGGAGGTGAAACAGATTAATCAGAGGTAAATAGGTTAAAATAAAGCTTATCGGAGTTCTGGGAAATCTCTATCTATCCCAGAGAAGAATAATGCATAATGAGTGATAAAATATTTGATTTTAAAAATTTAAATTACCCACAAATGATCTCCCATTCACAATTGCCACAAATAGAATAAAATACCTAGGAATATAGCTAACAAGGTAAGTGAAGAACCTCTTCAAGGAAAACTGCAAATCACTCTTCAAAGAAATCAGAGATGACACAAACAAAGTGAAAAACATTCCATACTCATGGATAGGAAGAATCAATATCATGAAAATGGCCATACTACCCAAAGCAATTTATAGATTTAATGCTATTCTTATTAAACTACCATTGACATTCTTCAAAGAATTTTTAAAAAACTATTTTAAAATTCACATGGAACCAAAAAAAGAGCTCGAAGAGCCAAGGCAATCCTAAGCAAAAAGAACAAAGCTGAAGGCATCACATTACCCAACTTCAAACTATACTACAGGGCTACAGTAACTAAAACAGCATGGTACTGGTACAAGAACAGACATATAGACCAATGGAACAGAATACAGAACCCAGAAATAAGACCACACACCTACTAGCATCTGATATTCAACAAATCTGACAAAAACAAGCAATGGGGAAAGGATTCCCTCTTTAATAAATGGTGCTGGGAGAACTGGCTAGCCATATGCAGAAGATTGAAACTGGACCTCTTCCTTACACCATATACAAAAATCAACTCAAGTTGGATTAAACACTTAAATGTAAAACCCAAAACTATAAAGACCCTAGAAGAAAACCTAGGCAATACCATTCAGGACATAGGCATGGGCAAAGATTTCATGATGAAGAGGCCAAAAACAATTGCAACAAAAGCAAAAATTGACAAATGGGATCTAATTAAAGTAAAGAGCTTCTACACAGCAAAAGAAACTACCAACACAGTAAAAAGACAACCCACAGAATGGGAGAAAATTTTTCAATCTATGCGTCTGACAAAGATCTACAATTCAGCATCTATAAGGAACTTAAATTTACAAGAAAAAACCCATTAAAAAATGGGCAAAGGACATGAACACATACTTCTCAAAAGAAAACATACATGTGGCCATGAAACATATGAAAAAAAGCTCAATATCACTGATCATTAGAGAAATGCAAACCAAAACCGTAATGAGATACCATCTCACACCAGTAAGAATGGTTATCATTAAAAAGTGAAAAAACAACAGATGCTGGAGAGGTTGTGTTGGTGGGAGTGTAAACTAGTTCAACCATTGTGGAAGACAGTGTGGCAATTCCTCAGAGACCTAGAGACAGAAATACTGTTTGACCCAGCAATCTCATTACTGGGTATATAACCAAAAGAATATAAATTACTCTATTATAAAAGACATATGCATGCATATGTTCATTGCAGCACTATTCACAATAGCAAAGACATGGAATCAACCCAAATGCCCATCAATGGTAGACTAAATAAAGAAAATGTGGTGCATTATGTAGCCATGAAAAGGAATAAGATCATGTTCTTTGCAGGGACATGGATAGAGCTGGAGGCCATCCTTAGCAAATTAACACAGGAACAGAAAACCAAATATCATATGTTCTCATTTATAGGTGGGAGCTGAATTATGAGTTTATAGTTCTCATTATAGGTGGGAGATGAATGATGAGAACTCTTGGACACATGGAGGGGAACAACACACACTGGGGCCTGTCGGAGGTAGGGGATGGGAGGAGGGAGAGCATCAGGAAGAATAGCTAACAGATGCTGGGCTTAATAACTAGGTGATGGGATGATCTGTGCAGCAAACCACCATGGCACACATTTACCTATGTAACAAACCTGCACATCCTGCACATGTACCCCTGAACTTAAAATAAATGTTGGAAAAAATATATTTAAATTACTATTATATTTATCAAAATTATTATATTTATTGGTATAACAGTAACAGTTATCCTTTTTAGACCTTAATATGTGCCAGACATATTGTACATTAAAATATATTATCACATGTGCTTTTCTTAACAGACTATGAGGTAATTATTATTATCTAAATTTTCAGATAAGGAAAACATCTTTCAGTTTGAGTACCTTGCCCAAGATCACAGCTCATAATTTGTTTTAATGATATACCTTAGATAATCAGTATTAAAATTTACATAATACTTCAGTCATTTACACTAATAAGAAAAGTATTTGAGCAAAATATTAAAAAAACAAAATTACATAATTTCAAATAACACAGCTTTTACTAACCCATTAAATTCATTACAAGGAACCAGTCTAAGGACTGTTGATTGAATCAAAAGAGTGATGGTGACATTCTCTTTCTAATTGTCTTGAAATTAATACAAAACACTAATTTATATCACATATTATTCATATGAATTTAGTTAACAACATATATTAATTGATTATGTATAAGTGCTTTCAAAATACTTATGATGTTTGAAAATTAGACACACATTCGTATTTTAATGCCCCAGTTACACCTCTCCCAATGTATTACTGAGTAATCTTTTTAATTTTTATTGCGCAAACAGAATCTCAGGTAAGTCTTTGAATTAATTAATGCTGGTGATTAGCAAATAAACACCCTTTATGTTTCATATGTCATGCACAATTAAGGACCTGAAATTAATTGAGGAGAATAGAGAACCTGCATTAACGAGACATTCCCTTGCTACCACTGTTGTAAGTATCCAGATAATTTGGGGGTTCATTATAGACATGGAAAAAGTATTTTGTATAAGGAGAATCTTCCCATGTCTGCCTTTGGTTTTGCTCTCTCCCCATTACCCTTAGTTTTATGATTTTCTCCTTTTTCAAATCTAAAGTGTTCACAGATCAATCTGAAGAATTCCATATGGATTCAACAGAAATTTACTAAATGCCTAAAATGTGCTAAAGATATAGACAAAATAACTGCCTCTGTTGTGTATGTATATTTTGGGGGAGGAAATACACTAAAATATTTTTTAATCAAATATTTTACCAGCCATTATGCATCAGTCACTCTCTAGGTGCCAGGAATGTTGCATGGAAGGAAAATGGGCATGGACTCTGCCTCATGGGGCTGAGACTGTAGTAGACATGACAAACAGTTGTCTTTTGTTTTCCTATCATGTTAAGATCTGGGAGAGCATTCCAGGCAAAAGAGAGTGCAAGGCTCTGGAGGACAGTGTGAGCTTCGTGAAAGAATAAGAAGGCCAGTGAGGCTGGAACAGAACGGGTTGGTTGGACAATTATAGGAGACAAGATTGGACAAGTACACATGTAAGACATGGTAAGGAGATTTGATTTTATCCTAATGGTAATCAGATCAAATATCTCTACCCTAACACTTCACTGTCACATTTCATAAAGATATATACAAATGTGAAATCTTCCAGTGAATTTTTTCTGCTTTTTTTTTTCTAAACAAACCTTCATATTCTCAAAACTAAGGAGATAGCACCCAAGAGCAGAACCTAAGGAGAAGCAAATAGAAAAAGAGAAATTAGGAAATAAGAAAGTTAGCAGTTTTCTTTGATAGCAAGTGGAGGAATTAAACATTCCTACACTGGGCTGGGTGTGGTGGCTCGCGCTTGTAATCCCAACACTCTGGGAGGCCAAGGTGAGAGAATCGCTTGAGCTCAGGAGTTCAAGACCAGTCTGGGCAACATAGTGAGAGCCCTATCTCTACAAAAACTTTAAAAAGAAATTAGCCGGGCCGGTGGAATGTGCCTGTCGTCCCAGCTACTAAGGAGGCTGAGGCGGGAGGACCATCTGAACCCAAGAGGTCAAGGATGTAGTGAGCTGTGTTTGTGTCACTGCACTCCAGCCTGGGTGACAGAGACCCTCTCAAAAAAAAAAATCCTACATTGGAAGAAAGGAGAAATAACTTCTATTTTTACATTACTAAAGGGGAAAACACGAAATACAAAGCTGTCACCTGGCTTCCGTCAACAGTGATCTGATGATGAACGGTGTCCCCTCAGAATATAAAGGTGTTCTTTGAACGTTCACAGGAGCGATACCTAACCCGGATCATAGAGGGTGTTTGTGTTCAGAGGACACTAAATTTGAGTCCCTGCATGCATCACACAAGTCTTCGCCCAAACTACCATTTGCAGGCTCACTTCTTAGCCCCACCCCTACTGAGAACGCAGAGCCATTTGCACGCTTCCTGTCCTTGGAAACGGAAGAAACTTCAATTACATGATGGCTTTATGCTACCTAGACCTCTTTCTTCAGTCTTTGGCATGTTCTAATCTCGGAGGCGACTTTACACAGATGGCAATAGCATTCGCAGCTTGGAGGTCTTTTACCAGTGGCTAAAACTTGATCCAACAGCCTCAGCCGGTTCCCCCTGACTCCAGCCCTCTAGATGCTTCTCAACATCACCTTCATCTCCTTTCCTTTATTCAGGACAGTCGTGCCAAGAAATGCCTAAGAGAAGGGTGACCCTGGAAATGTCTTGACTCTGGGAAGATCTTCTAACCACTCCACATGGTAATAAGCACAGTGTTGACAGGTGTGAGGACTGAAGTGGGAGATCAAAGAGGAAAAGCCACGAATGAGGGTGTGGGGGGCAGTCAAGAGAAGCTCCCAAGGGAGCATGATCTGTGTAAATGCAGATTCTCTGGGTATTGGAAGATCCTTGGGGACAAATGCCAAGAAGACACCAACTTCTTTTATCAGCATCTCTCAGAATCCATGCCCTGTGGGTAGTTATATGTGAATATCAGAATCGCCCTCCACTGCCAGGGAGACCCAAGGCTTAATCTTGTATCTAATTTGGAAACAAAAAAAAATGTATATGATGAAATTATTCTGTAGTTTTGCTTGTAGCAGCCTCAGTTATCTTAAATATTCCTCCAACACATTATTTTCTTTATTAACTGTTACTATGCCCATGGCATTCATCACTCTGACACTTTCATAATGGATTATGAGGCTTGTACTTGTACTGATTTATTTATGTATTTGTCTCTGTTTGTTTTTTAGAGATGCGGGGGGGTCTCACTGTGTTGCCTAGGCTGGTCTTGAACTCCTGACCTCTAGTTATCCTCCTGCCTGGGCCTTCCAAAGTGCTCAGATCATGGGCATGCACCCAGCCACATTTTTAACCTATATAAATAGAGATGGGGAGAAAAAACAAAAAACTCCAAAGCATTTTTCCTTCTGTCTTACACAGTTACTTCTGACATCAGGTATGTGGAGATTTTTCCCCCACACCAAGCAATTCTCCAGCAGACACCGGGTTCCTCTAAATCAATTCAATTCTGATACTATTTACCTAAAAATAGCATCAGATCCCACAGATTGAGGGATCAGTCATGCAAAACTGCCCCCTTCCCACTTCAGATGCCAGTTGCTATCACCTGTACTTCTGACCATCCAATTATAGATTGGAGGTTCCCACAAACCTTTCCTCAGGTTCAATTAATTTGCTAGAGCAGCCCAAAGAACTCAGGGAAACACTTACATACACTGGTTTATTACATAGGATAAGACAAAGGATACAGACGAACAGATTGATAAAGAAAAACAAAACACATAGGACAAAGTATGGGGGAAAGAGTGCGGAGCTTCCACACCTTCTTCAAGAGCCTATCCTCCAGGCATCTTTCCGTGTTCTGCTATCTGGAAACTCTCCAAACTCTGCCCTTTTGGGTTTTAATGGAGGCTTTGTTATGTCAGCATGGTGAGTTGATTAAACCATTGGCCATTGGCAGTCAACTCAACCTTCAGCCCCTCCCTTCTCCCCAGAGATTGTGAGTGGGCTGAAAATCCCAACCCTCTAATCCTGCCTTGGTCTTTCTGGTGACCAGCCCCAGCCACCAGTCACCTCATTAGCATGCAAAAGACACTCTTATCACTCTGGAGATTCCAAGAGTTTTAGGAGCTGAAGGGCAGGAACCAGGGTCAGAAACCAAATATATACTTCCTATTATATCACAATATCACACACACTAGCTTGGGTCAATCAGTTGCATTAATTATTTGTGTATGATGTGAAGTACTCTTTTTAGTCACAAATTTATCTCTTTCAAATTACCAGGTAGGAAGTCAAAGGGAAAATTCTTTATTTCACTTTTGGAAAACTAATGAATAAACTAAATTAGTAATTACATGCTATTTCCACTTCTGTAAAAATGATATAGACCCTATATGCCTGTTATGAATAATAGATGAGCTTTGCAATGAAGAGCTATGCATGTTACTTTTTATTAGAATGAGTATGGCTTCAATTTTTATGTGACTATCAAAAGAGAAATATGGTTCTTTTTTCTAATTTAGAGTTTATCTAATAATGGTCCATGAGCTCTTGTGACCTCTCTTTAAACTAAGGTACATCTCACTGTTTCAACTCATGCCTCTGTGTCCTGCTCAGTGATTCACCATCTCCCTATACAAGAGATCCCCGACCTAGCAAGCTCATCTACAAACAAATATTCTTATTCTTGGAACAGAGTTGCCAAAAGCAGAGGCACACAGAAAAAAAAGTCTGTGTTTGAGAGCTCAGGAGAGAGAGGAGCCAAAAGAAACATCTACCAGCAGCTAAATGATTTGGTTCCTGAAGGGATTCGCTTCCATGAATAAGAATACGAGTAGGTACTCTCATTGGTACTTCTTCCTTATCTGTAGGTACCTGAGATGACTGTGTCCTCTAAAGCTTCTGTGATGCTAGATGCACCCAACATCATTTTCTATAATTGAGGATCGTAGCTTTCCCCTGTGATCCTCTGGCTCTATTGTGGGAAGATAGTCAAAAAATCATCTTTTAAAGTAGGAAATAAACTTCTTTTTATAGAATCAGCTCCCCTTCCTCTGCGCTTGTGGTTTCCATTACTATAAAAGAGAGCACTGAAGTCCAAAGAAAGTACTGTGTATTTCCCTTTTGGGGCCCTGATGTTCTGCCCATGGCATTCATGCCCCCAAAATTGTTTCATGCCACCATGAAATTGCCTCCACGTGGTGCCCATCTTTTTCCCTTCACTCATATTCTCAACATTTCCAGAACCAGAGAGAGAGAGACAGAGAAACAGAGAAGTTCTGACCTCAACACCACCTTTTCCTACAGAATATGTGGCACCCGTATTTTGTCAGAGAAGACAAATGCGTTGTTCCTCAGATTGGTAGGATTCATGGGCATTTCATCCTCATAATATGAGGTTGTATGCAGACAGTGCCTCCTGGTATCAAGAAGCCATGTGAGTTACACCACAGAGGAGAGGAAGTTAGGGGTTTCAAATATTTCAAAGAATAAGGAAGCTAAGTCATACTCAGAAGTTAACAAGAACTTTGGGGAGAGAGGAAGTCAAAATACAGAAATGCATTCAAAAAAAAGTTTAGGATGTAGAGGAGGATGGGATCACCATGAGACAGCCGTCCAATGCCCATGATAGTTCCTGTTACAGTAAGCCACATCTTCAGATAGAGAGAGAAAAGGCCACATGTATACTTACCTTGTATGAATGAGCACTGTTGTTTGATGAATTCCATCTCTTCCCCTCTTTTCAGTCCCTTCATCCTCATTGTAATAACAAGACTGCTGGTGATGTGGCCATGCAGAGCTCTTGTCCCTCATGTTCTTTCCACCTCGATCTTTCACTTTTCTCTATTTCTGCTTCTCCTGGTCCTACCTGGGCTCTCCCCAAGGGCTGCTCCTCACCGGGCAGCTAGTTACACGGCCACCACCACCCTGCCATCTACACAGAGGCCCTCCATCTCTCTGTGACCATTTTGATGAGATCTCTTTTTTTCATGGCATCCATCTTGGCAGTAGCAAGTTCATAGCCCAGAGTAAGAGGATTACCTGTTGGGATGCACAAAGGAATTTAAACCCCATTGAAATTTGTGACCCAAATCATTGTTTATGCTTAACAGAAATAGCAGCAATAAGATCGATTGAGGAATTATCTCACGTACTAAAACAGAAGACCTATCATTTTGTGGGAGGTAGTAGCCATGAATCCAAATCAAGCCTAGTAGTAGTACATTCCCCAGCGTGCTCAGAATATGCATAGAGAGTTTAAATCAAGGCGTAAGAGTTTCCAACCCTTCTATCTGTATGGCCAAGCCCCATTCATGTTAGTGCTGGAAGCATTCTTCCTGTATCTCATTGGTTTCTCGGGTACTTTTTCTCAATGTCTCCATTTAAAAACGTTTATATAGAGTTCTGGTTTCTGCTTGGGGATGCAGAGAACTGGAAACAATGATGCTTCCTTGCAACATGAAAGAAATCACACAAATTGCAAGGTCGCAATTTTTTTCAACCCATCACAGAGCTGGGATTGAGCTTCCAACTAGCTTGAAATCTAGGAAAGTTGTTGCCTGAGTGCTTGCTTACCTAAGGCAGGTACAGCTGGGCACTGGTAAGAAGAATTTAGCTGGAATCATTTAAAAATTGACTGAGGTCAAATGTGGGCTGGAAAGAGTACAGAGCCCCAGGGGCTCACGAGTATAGGGCGGTTCACACCTTCTTGCAAGCTTCGTATCCGGGAATGCCAGTGGGTGTTCACAAATAAAAAATGGGAGAGTCCTGAGAAGGCATTCCGCATGCTTTTCAAGGAAAAGAATAAATAGAAGTTAAAGGCTTTATACATCGATGTGCATCAAATGAGTTAATTAACAGAATATAAGGGAAGCAAAGACTTTACTATCTCATGTTGAGAGCAGACTACATACTCAAACCCTATTTCGTCTGTTTTTTGTTTGTTTGTTTGTTTGTTTGTTTGTTTTGAGATGGAGTCTTGCTTTGTCGCCCAGGCTGCAGTGCAGTGGTGCGATCTCCTCTCACTGCAACCTCCGCCTCCCCATTAGCAGGGATTACAGTCGCACACCACCACACCCGGCTAATTTTTTTTTTGTATTTTTAGTAGAGAAGGAGTTTCACCATGTTGGCCAGGCTGGTCTCGAACTCCTGACCTCATGTGATCTGCCTGCCTCGGCTTCCCAAAGTGCTGGAATACACGTGTGGGCCACTGCGCCCAGCCTCCTCCGTTAATCTATTATCATTCTTCTCTAATATTCTCAAACTTACTTAATTCATTAACGTGATATATGTTGACATCTCATTAAATATGTCTCTATTTATGACATACTCAACAACATGTGTGTAGTGTTATAAAATTTTAATTTATTTTATAAATATTTAACACTAACTGAGTGCCAGGCATTCTTCTATGCACTTAAATAGCAGACAGGCATGGTGGCCGACACCTGTAACCCCAGCACTTTAGGAGGCCGAGGCAGGAAGATCACTTGAGCCCAGAAGTTCAAGACCCTGTGGTTTCAGAGGCTGAGGTGGGAAGACCACTGGAGCCCAGGAGGTCAAGACTGCAGCGAGCCATTATTGCACCACTGCACTCCAGCCTGTGGGACAGAGGGAGTGAGACCCTGTCTCAGATGAAAGAAAGACAGAGAGAGAGAGAGGCATAGAGATGCATATGCACACAACGATTACATCGTAGGGCTGTTTAAATTACTCATTCTGGCTGGGGGTCTGTGCTCTAAACCACTATTGGTACGCTATTTCTGTGTGGCTGGTCTGGAAAGCTTCACACCACCCCCCTCTCCCTTCCCTGAATTTCCATATTCCCCCCAACCCTCATTATCCCTTTCAGAGTCTCGCAGGTTGAGGTGATGTGAGAGAGGAAGCAGAAGCGAAGGTTACGCGAGGAAAGCCCCTCGTTAAACTTGGGATTTTCACGGGGACTCAGTCCAGAGGAAGTTGAGAAAACCAACTTAAATTACGGTCTCGATCGCCATCTGGCGGTGGAAGTCCACATTACATCCGCGGAGCAATGGCTGGGAACGTTGCATAATAGAGCGGGGCTCAAATTCCAAATTAAGTTTCTGAATTTTTTCCATCTGGAATTTTATTTGATGATTAGTCTAGCATCGTAATGGTGTCCTTCGTGTTGACGTGAAAACCCAGTCTTCCTTCAGTTCATTTCCCGTTTATTAGGGATGCAAAACTCCAGCCACAGGTGACCTACGACTCTGACTCCTTCCCCACCTACTTTACCCTCCCCTCCCCCAGTACATTCTGGGGCTAAACCCTAAGAGGTACCCATGCATCGCTGGGCCGATGATGAAAATGAAGAAGTCTTCTGATGAAGCGAGACCCCGGAAGTGCAGCTTCAGGCAAAATCCTGAGCGAATTCTTTGCTGCCAGGACAGTCCATAGGCTCTTACTCTTAGAAATTACGTAAGCATGAGCAGTCAACGCTGAAAAGCAGAGAATGTGGTTTTCTGGCGGACTCCAGAGGGAGACCAGGAAATCCTCTCACTTACAATCCATCAAGAGTAGTTCCTCCAAATTGAGTACAAAGTCTCTAAAGGCCAGCAGAGACAAGTAAGGACTTGTAGTGAGCTGCAGCTCACCACCCGGATCAGAACATAAAAGACAGGAGACCTCACGGCCTGGAGACCCACTAGAGCAAAATCTGCCATCCCAGGCAGGGAGGAGAATCAGGCGGAGGCCTGACATGGTGAGGCCTTGCTCCAAGTGGAGAAGGTGCATAAACTTAACAACTTTGTTATTGCCCTGAGGATGTGATGTGGCAAAGGGGACAAGGATTGGATAGATTGTCTTACTGATGGAAGTTGGTAACAAACAAGGCAAATCAAAAAAGAAGCCATGAGATCCAGGGAACTGCTGTACAGGGGACATGGCTGCATAATATTAGTATAGTAACTCATTATGCACTTGTGTGGCAGACAGTGGCTGAATTCTGGAGACGGAAAATATTAATAAGACACGGAGTCCTGCTTACCACCCAGGAGACATATTAGCAAACAAAGGGGCACAGCAGAAATGTGTGTAAAATTAGGACATTGAAGTCACAAACAATTAGGAAAATTTTCTAGTGGAAATGACATTCAAGCTGATCGAGGGTATATGGAGAATGGCTTCCAAGTCTAACAAAGCATGAGCGGCTTGGACACTTGGACAGGCTTCGAGGGAAGTGAAAGTCTTTCGGAATTGGTAAAATGGGTGGGTGACAGATGAAGCAGAGGGCTAGGGATGGATGCCTCACACACCAGGCTAAGGACTTGGGTCTTTGATCTGCAGTCAGTAGGACCAGTATGCAGACTGATAGTAAGGGAAGGGTCATGGGCAGCTTCACGTTTTAGAAAGACTACTCTGATGGGAAGAGTGGGTTAGAGGAGCATAAAATTGAAAGCAGAGAAAGCAGCGTGGGTAACTGTTAGAGTAACACAGACCAGACATGATGGGGCTCGAATTAAAGTAGGATCAGGGATCTAGAGAGAGGGTCAGAGACATGTGAGGGAGCAGATGCAACATGATGTGTCGTCATCCATTGTATATGGGAGAGAGGAGAAGGCGAGAGCAGAAGATGCTTGGGAGACCAAGTGGTTAGTAATTCCAGTCATCAAGAAAGGACAGTTTAAGAGAACATTCCATATTAGACATTTTGTATTTGTAGGGCCTGTGGGTCATCCAGATGAAACTTTACTCTGTGTGGTAGATGGAATAATGCCCCCAACTGCCACCCCTGAAAGATCTGAATCTATGAAACCTGTGAATCTGTTACCTTACATGGCAAAAGGGACTTTGCATTAGTGATTAGATTAAGGATCTTGAGATGGGGAGATTATTCTGGATTAGCCAAGTGGTCCTGATATAATTACATGGGTCCTTCTAAGTGAAAGAAAGAGGCAAGAGAATAGAAGGAGATGTGATATTAGAAGCAAAAATCAGAGGAAAGTGATTGCTGGAAGGGGGCTACAAGCCGAGGAATGCAGCTGGTCGCTGCAAGCTGGAAGAGGCAAAAAACAGATTATCCGCTAAAGCCTTCAGAAGGGGAACACAGACAAGCTAACACCTTGATTAGCCCTGTACAAGTGTTAAAAGAAAAACTTTGAACAAATGAAATTTATTTTGATTTATTTGAGCAAAGCACAATTCATGAATTGGGCAGCATCCAGGACCAGAAGAGGTACAGAGAGCTCCACTGAGCAATAGGGGCAGGCAATATTTATAGAGAGAAAAAGGAAGTGGTATACAGAAGCAGCTTGTTTACAGCTCAGTATTTGCCTTATTTGATCATGGTCTGATCAGTTGGCAACCTGTGATTGCCTGAAGCTTGGCTGCTGTGTTTGCCTGAGACTCAGCTATTTATTACAAGAATATGCTCTTAAGTTAGGGTACAATTTTCTTACACATTAAGTTAGATTTCAGTATACTACGTAGGAATTCAAAGTACAGAGGCCGCTTTAAGCCAAATTTAATTTAATTTAACAGGACCCATTTTAGGCTTATAATTTCCAGAACTGTCCAACAATAAATTTTTGTTGTTTTAAAACACTAAATTGTGGTAATTTGTTACAGCACCAATAGGAAACTAATATATCCTGTAATCACGAAGCAATATAGCTCAAACCTCAGGCTTGGGGACCATATGGATTTGAGTTCTTATCATAGCTCCATCGCTTCCTACCCATATGAACTTGCGTGTCTTAATTAACCTCCCTAAGCCTCCACTTTCTCATTTGTAAAATGGGACTATCTACTAGAATTTCTGTCTGGAAAGAGGAATGGGGAGGCAGTGTGGTCAGCTGTTTTGCATAACAAGCCCTGTAGAAATACAGATGCTCCTTGACTTCAGGTGGGTTTGTGTCCTGATAAACTGCAAGTTGAAAATGCATTCAATACCCCTAACCTATCAAACATCATAGTTTAGCCCAGCCTACCCTCAACATGCTCAGAACACTTACATTAGCGTGGCTGACTGGGAGCTGTGGCTCACTACTGCTGCTCAGCGTCAGGTGAGAGTGTTATACCACATATCACTAGCCCAGAGAAAGACTGACATTTCAAATTTGAAGTACATTTCTTCCAGAATGTGTACTGCTTTCACGCCATCACAGCTGAACAATCTTAAGTGGAACCATCATAAGTCAGGAACCATCTGTATTTGATGTTTTAAACCATGTCATGTATAACTTTTTTAAAAAAAAGATAAAATAATTTTAAATATTAAAATAGGAAAATTTTAAAAAGAAAAAAGACATTTTTTTCTTTTCTTTTTCTTTTCTTTTTTTTTTTTTTTAGGCAGAGTCTTGCTCTGTCACCCAGGCTGGAGTGCAGTGACATGATCTTGGCTCACTGCAGGCTCCACCTCCTGGGTTCACACCATTCTCCTGCCTCAGCCTCCCGTGTAGCTGGGACTACAGGCACCTACCACCATGCCCAGCTAATTTTTCATATTTTTTAGTAGAGACAGGGTTTCACTGTGTTAGCCAGGATGGTCTCGATCTCCTGACCTCGTGATCTGCTCACCTCAGCCTCCCAAAGTGCTGGGATTATAGGCGTGAGCCACATTTTTTATTTTCTAAAATGAAAATGTTGATATTTAATTTTTAATCCCCTTCAAAAAAGCAACTACTCTGTTTATGAGATTTATAGAGAATTCCATATAGTTAATACTAAATACATTCCTACATCAGAATTTGTTTAATACAAAATCAATTATTTAGGTTAAAATGTTAACACTCTTCCGCTAAATTACCACTGCAATTGTGTAACTTCAAAATGCTCAGGATATTGTCAACAGAGGAAATAGAAATTGATCTTCTAGCACAATAGTCAAACAAAATTGACTATACAAGATTTTGGATGCTTGTTACACTGTTGACTCAAAACAATTCTAAACAACTCAATGTACTTGATGGACAGAATGTACTAAGAAACCAACAAAAGCAATTCATTTCTTACTTAGCTACATAAGCTAAGTAAGAAAATCGCAAATGCTGACATCCAAGGAAGCTTTCCAAGCATAGAAATAAACTCTGATAGATTATTTCAGATCCAGGATATTTGGAAAATAAATCAGATTGCCTTTTTGGATAATTCCTAAAGAATCACACAATTATGACTTTTGAATCCTTTATTAATGGAGGTTACAGCAGCCTAAATAACTTGAAAAGTGGGGTTGGCTCTCAAATAACATGGAGGGTTTGTTTTAGAGGAAACATGTAACACGACAGGACTCCAGAAGCACGTGCTTTAAGGTATAAGGACATGTACCCCTGGTGACAGAGGATGTATAAATATTGTGAGTCCAAATATATAGGCCACTTGTTTAAGAAAAAAAGACATTAGGAGTATAAAAAGGAATCAAATGTAAGTGCAAACTCATAATAAATCTAAACTACATGAGGCATAAATCCTAAATAAGTGCTTAAGTAGCTGAAATAGTATCACTTTATGTTGGAAACCTGAAAGGGACTAAATATATGACATAGAGTCCATATTTAAAAACTTCATGTAGGCATTAAATAGAAAGGATACAGCTCATTTGACAACCAGTAGAACAGGCAGCTATTTAAAGAAGCGTAATCCAAGTTAATGATGTACATATATGAGGTATTAGAATACGTAATTCAATGGCCATTCATGATAAAATGCTCAGAAAATGCAAATAGAGAGGAACTGCCTCAATTTGATAAAGAGCATCTGCAAAAAATCTTACAGCTAACACAGCGGTGAAAGACTGAAATTTTTCCCCCAAAGATCGGGAACAAAGCAATGATGTCCACTCTCGCCATGCTTATTCAACATGGCGTTGGAAGTTCTAGATAATGTAATGGGCGAGAAAAAAAAAAGGCGTGCAGATTTCAAAGGAAGAAATAAAAATGGATCAAAGTCTAATATGTAAAACATAAAGTCACAAAACTCTCAGGAGAAAATCTTCAGGATCTAGGATTAAGCAAAAAGCTTTTAGACTTGACACCAAAGGCATAATCCATAACAGGAAAAATTAATAACGTGCAACTACTAGTGGTTTGTCCTCACCAATTTGTATTTGAGGTTTATGGGGATACTTTGACACTTAGTTTTGTTGAAAATGTTAAGATGCTGTATTAAATTATACTTTTTATTTTGATATAATTGTTGATTCACAGACACTTTTAAGAAATGTTACAGAGATATCTCATGTACATTTTACCCAGTTTCCCCCAAGGATAACATCTTGTAAACTACAGTAAATTATCACAGTCTGGATATTGACATTGATATAATTAAAATAAAGAACACTTTCATCACTATAATATCCCTCATTTTGCCCTTTTGTAGCCACAGCCACTTCCCTCCCATTTCCACTTCTTCATTAACACAGCAATTATTAATTTCCATCTCTATAGTTTTGGCATTCCAGGAGTGTTATGTAAGTGGAATCATTTAGTAGACAACATTTTGCAATTTTTTTTTTCACTCAGCATAATTCCCTGGTGATTCATCCAGGTCGTGGTGCCTGTATCCAGTTTGTTCGTTTTTATTGCTAAGTAGTATTTCCTAGTATGGATATACCACAGTTTGTTTCCAGTTTTTGTCTGAATAAAGCTGCTATGAGCATACATGTGCAGATTTTTCTCTGAACATAAGTCTTCATTTCTCTGGGATAAATGCTCAGGAGTGCAATTGCTGGGTTGTATGGTGGTTGCATGTTTTGCTTTTAAAGAAAATGCCAAACTATTTTCCAGTGTGGCTGTACTATATTACATTCCCAGCAGCCAAATGTGAGTGATCTATTTTCTCTGCATCCTCACCAGGATTTGGTATTGTGCCTACTTTTTATTTTTAGCCATCATGATAGGTATATAGTAATATCTTATTGTGGTTTTAATTTGTAATTCTCTAATGGCTAATGACATTGCACATGTTTTCATGTCCTTATTTTGTATCTATGTATCCTTTTTGGTTCCATATGCATTTTAAAATAGTTTTTACTAGTTCTGTGAAGCATCTCAATTGTAGTTTAATAGGAATAACATTGAATTATAAATTGCTTTGGGCAGTATGGCCATTTTGATGATATTGTTTCTTCCTATCCATGAGCATGCAATGTTTTTCCATTTGTTTGTGTCATTTCTGATTTCATTGAGCAGTGCTTTTTAGTTCTTCTTGTGGAGATCTTTCACCTCCCTGGTTAGCTGTATTCCTAGGTATTTTATTCTGTTTGTGGCAATTGTGAATAGGACTGCATTCCTGATTTTGCTCTAGGCTTGACTGTTGTTGGTGTATAGAAATATTAGTAATTTTTGCACATTGATTTTGTATCCTGAGACCTTGCTGAAGTTGTTTATCAACTTAAGAAGTTTTTGGGCTGAGACGATAGGGTTTTCTAGATATATGATCATGTCATCTGCAAACAGGAATACTTTGACTTCCTCTTTTCCTATTTGGCTGCTCTTTATTCTTTTCTCTTGCCTGATTGCCCTGGCAAGGACTTCCAGTACTATGTTGAATAGGAGTAATGAGAGGGGGCATTCTTGTCTTCTGCCAGTTTTCAAGGGGAATGCTTCCAGGTTTTGCCCATTCAGTATGATGTTGGCTGCGGGTTTGTCATAGATGGCTCTTACTATTTTGACGTATGTTCCTTCAATAACTAGTTTATCAAGAGTTTTTAACATGAAGGAGTGTTGAATTTTATCAGAAGACTTTTCTGCATCTATTGAGATAATCATGTGGGTTTTGTCTTTAGTTCTGTTTATGTGATGAATCACATTTACTGATTTTTATATGTTGAACAAACCTCATATCCCAGGGATAAAGCCTACTTGATCATGGTAGATTGGCTTTTGGATGTGCTGCTGGATTCGGTTTGCTGGTATTTTGTTGAGGATTTTTTGCATCAATGTTTATCAAGGATATTGGCCTGAAGCTTTCTTCTTTTGTTGTGTCTCTGCCAGGTTTTGGTATTTAGATGATGCTAGCTTCATAGAATGAGTTAGGTAGGAGTCTCTTCTCCTCAATTTTTTGAAATAGTTTCAGCAGGAATGGTACCATTTCTTCTTTGTACACCTGATAGAATTCAGCTGTGAATCCATTTGGTCCTGGGTTTTGTTTTGTTTTGTTTTGTTTTGTTTTGGTAGGCTATTTACTACTGACTCAATTTCAGAGCTCATTATTAGTCTGTTCATAGATTCAATTTCTTCCTAGTTCAGTCTTAGGGGGTGTATGTGCCCAGGAATTTATCCATTTCTTCTAGATTTTCTACTTTATGTCATAGAAGTATTCATAATATTCTCTGATGGTTGTCTGTATTTCTGTGGGGTCAGTGGTAATACCTCCTTTGTCATTCCTAATTGTGTTTATTTGAATCCTTCTCTCTTTTCTTCTTTATTAGTCTAGCTAGAAGTCCATCTATTTTATTAATTATTTCATAAAACCAGCTCCTGGATTCATTGATCTTTTGAATCATTTTTGTGTCTCAATCTCCTTCCATTCAGTTCTGGATTTTGGTTATTTCTTGTCTTCTGCTAGCCTTGAGATTGGTTGGCTGTGATACTCTAGTTCTTTTAGTTATTATGTTAGGTTGTTAAATTGAGATCTTTCTAAGTTTTTGATGTTGGCATTTAGTGCTATAAATTTCCTTCTTAACACTGCTTTAGTTGTGTCCCAGAGCTTCTAATGTGTTGTATCTTTGTTCTCACTCATGTCAAAGAGTTTCTTGATTTCTGCCTGAATTTCATTATTTTCCCAAAAGTCATTCAGGAGCAGGTTATTTAATTTCCATGTAATTGTACGGTTTTGAGTGAACTTTTTTGTCTTGGTTTCTAATTTGATTGTGCTGTGGTCCAAGAGATTTTTTCTTATGATCAGTTCTTTTGCATTTGCTGAGGAGTGTTTTACTTCTAATTATGTGATCGATTTTAGAGTATGTGCCATGTGACAATGAGAAAAATGTATATTCTGTCTTTTTGGGGTGGAAAGTTCTATAAGATGTCTATCAGGTTCATTTGATCCAGAGCTGAGTTCAGGTCCTGGGTATCTTTGTTAATTTTCTGTCTTGATGATCTGTCTAACATTGTCAATGTGGTGTCAAAGTCTCCCACTATCATTGTGTGGGAGTCTAAGTCTCTTTGAAGGTCGTTAAGAACTTGCTTTATGAATCTGGGTGCTCCTCTTTTGGAGGTATATATTTTTAGAATACTTAGATCTTTTGTCGAATTGAACCATTTACCATTATGTAATGCCCTTCTTCATCTTTTTTGATCTTTGTTGGTTTAAAGTCTGTTTTGTCTGAAACTAGTATTGCAACCCCTGCTTTTTTCTGTTTTCCATTTGCTTGGTAGATTTTTCTCCATCTGTTTATTTTGATCCTATGTGTGTCACTGCATGACACACATGAGTCTTTTGAAGACAGCATACTAATAGGCCTTGGTTCTTTATCCAGATTACCACTCTGTGCCTTTTAATTGGGGCACTAGCCCATTTACATTTAAGATTAGTATTGATATGTGTGGATTTCATCCTGTCATCATGATGTTAGCTGGTTATTTTGCAGACTTGTTTATGTGGTTGCTTTATAGTGTCACTGGTCTGTGTACTTCAGTGTGTTTTTGTAGTGGCTAGTAAGTCTTTCCTTTCCATATTTAGTGCTTCCTTCAGGAGCTCTTGTAAGACAAGTCTAGTGGTAATGAAATTCCCTCAGCATTTCCTTCTCTGAAAAGGTTCTTATTTCTCCTTCACTTTTGAAGATTAGTTTGGCCAGATATGAAATTCTGGGTTGAAATTATTTTCTTTAAGAATAATAAATGTTGGCCCCAGTCTCTTCTGGCTTGTAGAGATTCTTCTGACAGGTCCACTGTTAGTCTGATGGACTTTTCATTGTAGGTGACCTGGCCTTTCTCTCTAGCTGCCAACTGTTTTTCTTTCATTTCAACCTTGGAGAATCTGATAATTATGTGCCTTTGGAATGATCTTCTTGTGAAGTATCTTACTGGGGTTCTCTGCATTTCCTGTATTTTAATGTTGGCCTCTCCAGCTAGGTTGGGGAGATTCTCATGGATGATACCCTGAAATATGTTTTCCAAGTTGGTTTCATTCTCCCCATCTCTCTCAGGAACACCAATGAGTCATAGATTTGGTCTGTTTACATAATCTCATATTTTTCAGAAGTTTTGTTCCTTCCTTTTCATTCTTTTTTCTCTATTCTTGTCTGACTATCTTATTTCAGAAAGCCAGTCTTGAAGTGTGGAGATTCTTTTTTCCACTGGGTCAGTTCTGCTATTAATAGTTGTGATTGCATTATGAAATTCTTATAGTGTGTTTTTCAGCTCTATCAAATTGGTTATGTCCTTATCTATACTGGCTATTTTATCTATCAGCTCCTGCATTGTTTTATCATAATTTTTAGCTACCTTGGATTGGGTTTCAATGTACTTCTGTAGCTCAATGATCTTCATTTCTATCCTTATTCTGAATTACATATCTGTCATTTCAGCCATCTCAGCCCAGTTCAGAATCCTTGCTCGAGAGGTGATGTGGTCGTTTGGAGAACAGAAGACACTCTGGCTTTTTGAGTTGTCAAGGTTCTTGCCTGATTCTTTCTCATCTTTGTGGGCTTATTTTCCTTTAATCTTTGAGACTGCTGACCTTTGGACAGCAAAGATCATCCAACCTTTTTTATTTATCCTATTTATCCTATTTGATGACTTTGAGGGTTTGATTGTGGTATAAGGTGGATTCAGCCAACTGACTTCATTTCTGGACAATTTTATTTGGCCAGTATTCCACTCCCAACTCCTGGACTGCATGCTGTAATTCTTTGGGACTTGTACGGGGCCCTGACTTTGTTCTCTGTTTCCTCAGAATTAGGAATCCGCTGTGATGGGCGGGGGGTGGGGGAGGTGGCAGGAGTGGTGCAGTCCGAAGTGCTCCCAGACCACTGGTCACTACACTCCAATGAGTGGTGTCAGCCAAAGTGTTTCATAGTACAGTGACAGGAGGATCTGTCCTTGTTTGAGTGTACCAGCAGCAGTGGTAGTTGAAGCTGCAGCAGAGTACTAGCAGGTGCCGGGGTGCCCACCTCCCTGCAGGCATCCACCACAGTGGCAGAGGCAATGCAACTGCAGGAAAGGAAGGGGGTCCCCTGCTGGCAACTGTGTGTGTGGTCACACAGGAAGTGGTGTTGGCTTAGGGGCAAGGCATTGGCAGGTGCAGGTCTGCGTGCCTTTTCTGTGCAGGAGTGGTCACTCAGGGTGGGGGAGGATCAGCTGTTCTCTGCACAGTGTTAGCACAGGGTGGGATGATGGAGGGAGTGGGGCTGGCTGGCTCTGTGCCCACCAAGGCTCTGTCTGCAATGGCTGTCAGGAGGGAATTGGTGGGGGGTGAATTACACTCCTATATGCTGGTGAGGCAAGGAAAACAAAACCCACCCAGCAGACATGTACCAGCAAAATGATGTGGGGAGTTGCTGTGGGCCCAGAGGAAGCTGCAGTGTGGGGAGGGAGCATGCAGGCTGGTGCCTGGTCATAGGGGCCTCCTCGTTGGAGCTCTCCACTTACTGGTCAGTCATGGTCTGCCAGTGTAGAAGCTATGGTGCAGGCCCACAGAGCACCTGAGGCTGCTTTGCAAGCAGATGTGGCCAGGCCAGGGCCCCAGGAGAGGCCAGAAGACCAACGGTTGCTCAGGTAGAACCAGACTCATCTGATGGGCAAGACCACCCTACAGATTTCAGGACCAACAGTTTCCCTAGGGCTAATGTCTCCTATGGGAGTAAGTTGAGCCTAGGGAAATGGCCATCCCTGGCCATGCTCCACTGCAGATGCTCCTGCACTGAATCCTCTAGGCTCCACACCCGCTGGCTTGCCACCCCTACGGCTTCTCTAAGCAGCTCTTCCTGCCAACTCAAGTGTCCATGGTGGTCAATGGGTCTCCTCCTGCCATGGTTGCAGAGGTCATAGTGACAGTGGGTTGTTCCTTGCCAGTTCAACTCACCCATTTTCCTGGAGCCATTGGAGGACAGGAATGAGTCTGGATGTGCTGTAGCCCCATGTAGGGCTCCCAGCTTTCTCCCACTTCAGTCCAGCTTCTGTGTCTTCCCTCTGTCCACTCTAGGTGCCTTCTGTCTGAACATCTGTTAGGAGCACGCCAGTCATCTGGGTTCCTCATTGAGAACTGTTTCACCTGGCTGCATCTAGTCAGCGATCTTGCCCTCCCCCCAACCAAGATACATTCCAATAAAACTTGTGGATACTAAAGAAAAAGAAAATACCATCTGGATACTCAGCAAAAGTAGCAAT
The DNA here is from genome assembly GCF_000001405.40 of Homo sapiens. Lineage (NCBI taxonomy): Eukaryota > Metazoa > Chordata > Mammalia > Primates > Hominidae > Homo > Homo sapiens. The sequence goes on from NC_000006.12 coordinate 32,808,476, forward strand.
GACTTATTAATAATTAGATTATCATCAGACTTTTTGATAGCAGTTATGTGAAAATGTAGTAACTTTTTAAGATACTCAAGAGCGGAAAATGGAACCAAGATTTTTATAGCCACAAAACTGACTTTCGACTATGAAGTGCAAGAACTTCCTGGTGTGGACTGTATATGCCGTCCCAAAATTCATATGATGAAATCGTAACGCCCAAGGTGACAGTACCAGGAGGTGACGCCTTTGGAAGGTGATTAGGTCATGAGGGTGCAGCCCTTATGAATGGCATTAGGGCCCTTATAAGGGAGATTCCAGATAGCTCCCTTTCCTTCTGCCACATGAGGTCTTAGTGAGAAGATGCTGCCAGCAGGCCTTCACCAGAACCCTACCAGGCTGACACACTGATCTCAGACCTCCAGCCTCCAGAACTGTGAAAAATACATTTCTGCTGTTTTTAAGCCATCCAGTCTCTGGTAGTTGGTTATAGCAGCTCATACAAACTAAGACACTTTCCTAAGTCTTCCTGAGGCACCTAGGAGAAATAGTTTCAAACAATCATGATGACTACATCAGTAGCTTATAATTCTTTTGATATCAGGATCCCTTTTTATTCATAAAATTGTTGAGAACACCAAGAAGCTTTAGTTTACATGGGTTATGTAAAGTGACATTTATATTAATTTATTTGTTATTAAATAACAATAACAAACCCATTACATGTTAACATAAACAACACACTTTTATGGAAAATAGCTGTCTTCTCCAGCACAAAAAAATAGTGAAAAAAAAGGAATTATTTTACATTTGTAAAAATCTCTTTAATGTCTGGCTTAATAAAGCTAGCTTGGTTATATATTCTTCTACATTCAAGCTGTAACAATATGTTGTTTTGGCTAAAGCACAAGAGGAAAATCTGGCCTCACTCTTATACACAGTTGGGAAAAGAAGGAAAGTTTCCATAACCATTTCAGCTATCGTAACTGTTCTTCCTTGATAAGACACCAAAACTCAAGAAATGGCAGATTCTTAAAGGTTAGTTGCAGTGTGGAATCTGAAACCTTATATATTAACTTTTCATATTCTGTTGTGTTAAAATTCACTAGTCTATCTTTAAATGGATCTTTATGCATGACTTTGCAATATCATGCATTGATTATTTGTAAATTATTGATTCATGGGTTTACGCAGATTTTTAAAATGTTGACATATTTTATTAAACAATATTTTTTAAGCCATATTTGTTAATATCACCACCAATCTCATCAGAAACATCTTTAAGTAGTGAGAAGCTGTGGCACACGTAAGTTTTCCAAAATTTTAATTTTCTCTTGAAATTCCAATTTCCACTGTCAATATTATTTTCTTTGATGGGATAGGCTCATTTTGTTTATTTTTGAGAAAATTTCTACCAAATACCCAAGTCTGAATAATCACAGTGTGCCTTTCAGTCATTCTTTCAAGGAAAATGATGACCCACTAAAAAAAAAATGTTTAACTTCACTCACAACTCATGCAATTACATAATGGCTTTTCCACAGGACAACTGCCTTTCCATCAGTATGCACCAGAAATGCTGCCTATGTTCTTACACTGACTATTAAACAGATGTGTGCTTGAGGTTTAAAATTTAGTAAACTAATGATTTTATTGCTTCATCAAGGTCACTGGCTTTTGCTTTTTTTTTTTTTTTTTTTTTTACTGTAAGCTTATGGCAGTGAAGAACATGACCTACCTGTACAGCTTGGTGTCACCACCTTGATTTGTGCTCAGGCACTAACAGTTTCACGTGACCACCATAGATTTCTGTACCAATATGTAAATAATACAGTGAAAAAGGCAAATAACATCTTAGTATTAGTACAAAAATAGCTTGACTTCATAGGCCCCTTGAAGGGTCCCAGGGACCCCCAGGAATCCATGGACCACACCTTGAAAACCACCACATGACAGGGATATCAACATAAGGAATGATGGTGAGCATTAAACATATCTCTACTCACAGAACTAAGACTAACAAGGGAGCAAGTAGTCTATGCAATGGTACAGGATCAACTAATATAGACATAGTTCAACTAGAAAGCGGGGGAGAACATAGGTAAAAAGGGAGAACACAGGTAATAGGGAGAATGTAGGTAAAAAGAATTTCAACCGTTTTCAGTAGCCATTTTGGTGGTTGTGTATGAGTGTTATTATCCTTAGACTGCTGTCTATGTTAACTCAGGAAAAGCAAATAAGTATGGACATTCTAATTGTGTCTGTCCCTGTGTCCTTGAAAACCAGAGTTCTTGGTATAAAAGAAAGGAGATGCAGAAGTAATATAGAGAAGACTGATTTTTTTTTAAGATGGAGTATTGCTCTGTCACCAGGCCGCAGTGCAGTGGTACAATCTTGGCTCACTGTAACCTCCACCTCCCAAGTTCAAGCGCTTCTCTTGCCTCAGCCTCCCGAGTAGCTGGGACTACAGGCGCGTGCCACCACACCCAGCTAATTTTTGTATTTTTAGTAGAGACGGGGTTTCACCGTGTTGCCCAGGATGGTCTCAATCTCTTGACCTCGTGATTCGCCCGCCTCGGCCTCTCAAAGTGCTGGGATTACAGGCGTGAGCCACCGTGCCTGGATGACTGATTTTTTTAAATGTATACATGTATAAATGTTTTATTGCCATTGAACAGGCTGGACACAATGACCATTCCTATCTATTTAGGCTCCCCCACTGCCCCTCTCCCTGCTTTCTTTCCATGTCCTGACCGAAAAATCACAGAATGCCTCTGTGACCCAGCCAGCTGCAGGTTTTTCCCAGCAGGCTCGAACCCAAGCCAAGGCCTTGAACACTCCCAGGCACTGATAAACGTATCTAGGTTGTTTCTCTAAACACTGAAACTTTGTCCCAGCCCTGAGCCAGGTTCCTTAAACCTTCATATAAGCTCCATACCCTGACCCCCTCGCTGCAGACATACCTAGGCAGAACATCCCTTTTCTCTTGCTGTCTGCAAGGACTCCTGAAGCCCTCTGTAGGTAAATTCCCTAAACAAATGTTTTGGACTGATCACCCTGGCATTTAGTGCTTCTTTCTTTGAATCCTAACCCACACCATCTCAGAATGGTTTCAGGAACTTCCTTGTGGTAACTCCCTTGACGCCACTTTTGAGGTGACTCCAGCAGCGGGTTCAGTGGGACAAAACACCCTAACGCTGGATTATAGTCTTAAATGTCATTTCCCACTAAACTAAACCAGGGATTTCTGGAAAAATGGCTACCTCCAGGTCTGGCCAAGAAATGAACAAGATGAACCAGAAACATGTTGTCATCCCAGATAACAAAGAAATTATCAAAAGAAATTTGCGTCAAAAGAACTCAGTTTCATTTTTAGCCACTTGAAGAAGTTTTCACTCACCAAAAATGTAGGATATAAGCTTTAACAAGCATAAAAATTGCAATAGAGTAAAACCTATCAAACATTTAAATCCTTCTGTTTATAATTATTTAAAGAATGAAAAGTAAAACCTGATTGGCCATCTGTAGGTTTTATTAATAGTAGGAAACCAATTTGCTAACTTGAAAACTGGTAAATAAAAGGAGAGTCAAACACTGATCCTGCCTTTCCACTGTACCACTAAGTAGCCCACTAGTAAGTGGAGGGAAGTGTCTCTTCACTAGTAAATGAAGGGAACTGTCTCTTTGTAGCATTAATAAAGCATATAAATGAAGAAAAAATGACAGAATACCACCATTTAGCAATCCCCAATAAATTAACAGACCTAAGCAATTAGTATCAATGGTTGCTAACATCACAAAAAGAAACAGCTGGAAATTATGTCTCTCATGGTGAAAGGCCACAACACCACGTATAGATTTTCCAAAGGAAAAGATTGAACCAGAGTCTGATCCAGCCTCTGCATCCAGATGCCAATTTGCGGGAGGCACAGAAGGCAGAGGATGTGTTACACTGCACCATGTGTACGCAGCCAGCAAAATCCAGAGTGTGGGAAACTCTACAGGTCAAATGGATTGAGCTTTTCAACAGATTAATCATAAGGGGGAAAAAAAGGCTGATGGGGGAGAAACCAGTGAAGTATGAGAGACGTAAAAGACAACTAAGCTGTGGCGTCCAGGAACACATACCTGGGGGACTAGACTACAAAGACATGAAAGAGGTTACAATAAAATCAGGATATGGTCACTTTCGAGGGGAAGGAGAGGCTTTGATTGGCCTGACGTACAGAGACTTCCGCTGGAGCTGGCAAAGTCCTGTTCCTTGACTTGATTACAGGGGTTTTTCTTAAATAATTCACTAAAATGTACATTTTTTGTATCTCCATTTTATTTGACAATAAAAGGTTTTTAAAAACAGTGAAAAGGAAACAGTGACTACCTGAGCATTTGTCTTCTGAAGACTGTGGAGACTGCAGTTGGAAGACAGAAAGCTTTGGAGATCATGACTTATAGGAGTAGGGCTGGACCACAGAAAAGTAAATGATTTGGGGCTGGAAGGAGTAAGGTCTCAGGGGAGTTTCTGGACAATGCCCTTGGCAATGGGGATTAATGATGTACACGTAGAAGGGAGAAGGGCAGATGGGTGGGAGATGCATGATCTCAGAACACAGAGCTCCAGAATCAGTTCGGGCTCCTCCAAGGATCAGGGAAGAGAGTTATTCCCAGAACATTGACCTCATGAATGTCCTTTACCTCACCCAGGGCCCAGACTACTCATCACTACTTCAGGCTCCAGAGAGAGAAGCTTCAGTGAGGACCTTAGCATGACTGAGGGAGCAGAACAGCTCTTGAGACCTGGAGGCACAGTGATGAAGGTCTCAGGAGGCAGCCTCACCACCCCCCACAGCCGTTCCAGAGACTCAGGGGACAGTCCCATCCAGACAGCAGCAACCTTACTCCTCCCTACCCCCATGTCATCTCCCTCTGGCCAAAGAACCGGGAGAATGATCTGCCACTCAAAGACAAGGAAAAAGAGACATTACCTCATTACCAGACATCTGCGTCCTCACATATCCTGGAAAGAAATCGAGAAAAGAATGGATTGCCCCAATTAGGACCCAATATGATTATCCCGAGGGAAGAACAAATGGCTGGCAAGGTCAGCACTCTCTCTGCTTATCCCATTTCTAGCTTCAGAAAAAAATTATCCCGGTGATCCCTGAGAGGCACAATCAGCTTTCCTTGCCTCAGATCATTGACGTTAGGGAAGGTGGGAGTGGGGAAGGTCTGGGACAGGTGGCAGGGCACTCCTCACAGGCTCATTACCTTTCTGAGCCCTTAGCTGGATGACGATTCCCACCAGAAGGAAGATTAGCCCAAGTAGGAAGGCTGCAATGCCACTCAGCATCTTTCTCCAAGAATATTCAGACTGAGCTCCTATGGGAAACAGGTCTTTAAATTAGTAAAAATATCCCAATATTTAAAGCACTTTCTTGGAATCCCAGAATCTGTACTAGACACCAAATCCAATGCTAGCTAGAGAAAAATAAATAAATTTAGAAAAGGTTCTTCGAAACCAAAGTTGGCACCCATGGAGTTACCCCCCATCGGTTACAGATTCTCACAGCCCATAAGAATGCCTCCTAAATACTAAGACCAAAGAATTAGAGGACACCAGTTCATAGGGTTGGAAGCACATAATGAGGTGATTAGATCTCCTCATTTCTTGGAAGATATGAGGATAGATATCTGCCATGTTTTCTCCCACCCTAACCCAAGGACTCTGGTTTCTGTGACTGTCCCAGATCAAGGGAAAGAATAATTCATGTTGTGACCAAGATAAACGCAGAAGTGACACAGGCTCTGTATTGAGTCAGTATAGTCCTGAGTCAGGCCCAGAGAGTACTAGAAACTAATTCTCACTCCACTCCACAGAAACAGGGCTCAGCAGGCTGGAGTGATCGACAAGGCAGGTGTAGACATGTCCAAGTTCAGGAGTCATTTCTAGCATCACCACAGTCTGAAAGGTCCAGTCTCCATTCCTGATAGGGCCAGTGGACATGACCCCAGCTCTCTCCTCCTGCCCATTCAGGAACCACTTGATCTTGATATCCCCTGGATAGAAGCCTGTCACAGAGCAGTGCAGCAGATTATGCTGGTGCAGGAGTGGGGTCCTCTCTGGGTACACTGTCACCTCTGGTTGCACTAGGAAGGGAGGAAAAATGAGACACCGTGAAAGAAAACCACCAAGCTGGGACAGGAGATTCTTTAGGGACTATCACTATGTCTAATCTCTTTCCCAGATCACCCAAGTGAACACAAAGTATAGGCAAGTCTCAGCCCCCAAGATCAGTAACAGGGTATGTCAATGCCTGTCAGGAGGATTTAGACTTTCTGAGGTACTCCCACAATTACTGCTTCTCTTTGAGGGCACAATAGCCCTCGAAGTCCCTGAGAACCTTGGGGGTCTGAGACCAAGATCACAGTGGCTGACTTGTGAGGATAATATATCACAGCTGGGGCCAGAACATCTACACAGACAACCATTTATCCTAAAGCAGAAAATTGCTTGTAAGAAAGAAGAGCCATGGCCAGGTTCACATGGGGGACATTCCTGAGCCCCGCCAGACCTCAGCTTCCAGCTCACCTTTTCTCCCCACAGTGAAGGGTGCGCCCAGCCTGTAGTTGTGTCTACAGACCCCATCCACGGCCTGTCTGCTCCTCTCCAAGAGATCCAGCCGGCTGTTCCACTGCTCAGCATCTGGCTGCCCCAGCTTGGTCAATGCCACAAACATCCCCACATCACTGTCGAAACGTACATACTCCTCCAAGTTAAAGATGAATCTGACCACAAACTGCACCTTTTCTGTCCCGTTGGTGAAGTAACAGTCAGCCTTTGCCTGAATCACAAAATCTTCTGGAAAACCAAAACCAAAACCATGAACCAGCCCCCTCCTCTGGGAAAACCCATGCCTGGTAAATTACGTCAGACCACATGGATCTAAGAGGAGGCCTTTGACCTCAGTATGCTCAAAAAGCACAGTGTCAAGTGAGAAAAGAAACAGAATGGGATTCAACAGAGAATGACATTTATTAAATTTTAAAAACACATAAAGAGCAATAATGCTACATATTTCTAAAAGCCACTCTCATACTTAGAGACTTACCAGACACGTTTAGAATGGATTCTCTAGGGAGGGGAGAGAATGAGAACGGAGGCAAGAGAAGAGACGAGAGAGTCTTGCACTACTGCCAATAATTACAATGTGCTGTGAACTCATTGGGTAAAATTAAACCAATCCTATGCACTTAAGAACAACAACTACAATAAAAAGGAAATTCAAATGGAGTTAATAATGTAGGTAAGTCAGGAAGGACGTCCTGAAGACATTGCATCTAAGTCAAGACTTGAAAGATAATTGCTATTAATGTTGGGTTGTAATTTACTTTCCTTTCTAAGTTCAGAAGCCTCCTCCAACTCTGAACTGAGCCATAAGAATGACCTTCCTGGGTGAACCCCACTTATCCCTCACTCAGTAGCTAATTTCAGATGAAGTTCCAGCCTGTAATTTCTCAGCATGTATACTCTTCTCTATTTCCTCTAGTAGTCTAAACCAGGGGGGAAATCTGAATTTTTCATCATCATTTAACATCTGTGCTGATTTTTTTTTCAGTTGTATTGTTTAATGGACATTATAAACTCAGGGCGGTTTCTATTCTCTGAGAATAATGATCTCTCCTGGCCAGGTTTGTTCCTCTTTTGTATTTAATGAAACTAACATGCAAAGGGGATTCTGTTCTTAGCACATTACATCCTGTTTCTGCTCATTAATATGTGCTTTCATCTCACATTGCTTCATGGCTGCATATTCTGTCACCTGTGCTAGAAAAATAACAGTGACAAGTAACTTGTACCTGGTAGCCGGAGGACAAGGACAATGTATTCTATTCAACTTCTCTTACTTCTCAAAACTGTTTAGTACAATTCTGACAATATAATAGTGGCTTAATAAATGACAGAAGGAGCAACCTTTGTTTCCAGTTTCATTTGTCCACATATACCCCAACTGAGATTTGTTTCCGTGTCCTGACCAAAAAATCACAGATTGCCTCTGTGACCCAGCCTACTGCAGGTTGTTTCTCCCAGCAGGCTCGAACCCAAGCCAAGGCCTTCAACACGCCCAGGCACTGACTGAGGTTGATACACACAATAAGGATCCTAAACAAGACACAATGTTTCCCTCTTCCTGCCTCCCTACCCCTTGAATAGGTGGCTCTGGTATATGAAGTCCATCCCATGTAAAGAGGCAAGGCGTACCTTTCTGCCAAAGGGAAGAACACTGTTCTTTGAAACCAAAAGCCACTTCCAGTCTGGTCTGTGGCCTGGACTTACAAAGAAAGGCATCACTCCCCCATGCCAATTCTTGCATACACACTGGAAAAAAACAATTGCTCTGTTCTTACCTGGAGAGTCTGTGCCTTGAGTCATGGAGGAATCCAGTCGGGTCAGATTCACTAGCAGAGCCACCACCCAGGGGACCCACCCAGAACCCATTCTGGAGAAAGGAAAAAAATGAGATAGTAAAATCGTCAGCCTCTTCAGAATGAGCTCATAAAATTCAGTCAGAAAGTACCCATTAAGAGTATAAATCGCTGTTTTTCTGGCTTCCCCAGGATTGGAAACTCCTCAGATTGACAACCAATCAAGATAGAAGAGTTTTGCATCATCAGGTACTGGGTAGGATACTTTCACAAAGTTGTGTCATACAACTCAACCATTGTTTGCCTGCAGAATCACTGACAGTAATTTAGGTATACTAAAAATGGGCTGGGAGAAGAAGTAAAAATATATGTTTGACATATTATGGGGCCCTAGAAGAACTAGGCAGACTGTTTATTATGTATTCTTCTATTCCCTGGCCTGTTCTGACCAATAGGTCTCCCTTCTTATTGGGTGTTGACATTGCCGACAGGCAGTGTGTAAATTAAGAAGGAATTAAGAGTATGTAAATTAAGCATTCTGAAGCATATGCCTCAAGAAGATTTAGTAAAGGGATTATCAGAGAAGAAATAGAAGACATAGAGAACATTTGGAGAGTACGATTTCCTATAAGCCAAAATGACCACAAAAAAAGAAAAGAAAAGAAAACATGGAAAGAGAATTCTCAAAGAATAAAATTTTGCAAAAAGGCTCACCAGGATACAATCTAAGAGAGCATTATTGTGTTTTATGGTTAGTAGGGCACCAATAACCTTCAAGAGGACAGCAGAGTGTTAAAGGTAGAAGCCATATTTCAAAAGAATGAATTGGAAACAAGAAAACAAAGGCCGCAGATTAAAACAGTCTTTCAAGAATTTTGAAAGTGAAAACAAAGGAAAAAATGGGATACACTTTAGAAAAAAACAACACTAAGAAAAAATACTTTTCTTGGGTTTTTTAAATTGACACGTAATAATTGTACATATTTATGGGGTACAGCATGATGTTCCAACACACCTATACATTGTGTATTGATCAAATCAGGGTAATTAGTATGTGATATATATACATGATGGAATACTATTCCGCCATAAAAAAGCATGAAATCCTGTCATTTTCAACAACATGGGTGAACCTGGAGGGCTCTATGTTAAGTGAAATAAGCCAAGAACAGAAGGACTATATTACGTGATTTCACTCATATGTGGAATCTAAAAAAGTTGACCTCATCGAAGTAAAGAGTACGTTAGGAGTTACCAGAGGCTGGGGAGTCAGGGGTAGAAATGGGTAGAGGTTGGTAACAAGTACAAAGTTACAGTTAGACAGAAGGAATGAGTTCTGGTGTTTTGGGAAAAGAAACTTTTAAGACAGGAGAGACTTCAACAAGGTTGCAAGTGAAGTGCAAGGTATCTGTAGAAAGGAGAAACTGAAGAGAAAAAAGAGAAGAAAGGGGACATTTTCTCCAAAATGCTGTGGTCTGAATGTCACTCAAAATTCAAGTGTTGCAATTTAATCACCAATGTGATAGTATCAAAAGGTGGGCCCTTTAGGAGGTGATTAAGTCATGAATGCAGAGGCCTCCTGAATGGGATTAGAGACTTTAAAAAGGGCTAGAGAGAGCAGGGATGATGGCTCATGCCTGTAATCCCAGCACTTTGGGAGGCTGAGGAGGAAGATTGCTTGAGGCTAGGAGTTAGAGACCTGCCTGGAAAACATAGTGAGACCCCCATGTCCAAATAAAATTTAAAAAATTAAAGAAATAAACATGGTGGCATGCACCTGTGGTCTTAGTTACTTTGGAGGCTGAGGTGGGAAGACTACTTGAGCCCAGAAGTTCAAAGTTGCAGTGAACCATGAATGCACCACTGTACTCCAGCATGGGTAACAGAACGAGGCCCTGTCTCAATCAATCAATCAGTCAATCAATAAAAATAGAAGGGCTGGAGGCAATAGCTTGGCACTTTTGCCCTTCTGCCTTCCTCCTTGTGAGGACTGTTACACTGGAATGATTTGACTCAAGTGTTTAGTTAAGTATTCTTTCAGTAAAACCTAGACAGTAAAACACTATCTTTAAGCAAATAAAACCAAAAGTGCAAATTGTAATTCACCATCTATGTTATTATTATTTAAAGGGCAATGTTTACTCATCATTTCACATCATCTTTCAGCATGAAATGTGCCCCTGATTTGCCTATACTGTGCATGTTAAGAATGAACCCAGGGTATCATGGTAACCACAAGTTCACTTCAGTGACTTTTTTCAGGTCGATGGCCAAGGCATCAAATCTTCCAGGGCCATGACCTTGAACTTCTAGCTTCCAGAACTGTGAGAAATAAATTTCTGTTCTTCATAAATTACCCTATCTCGTGTATCTTGTTACACTAACACAAATGGACTAAGACAGAGAGCATAAGGCTTGGGGGAAGAAGGGTACACTTCTTCAGATAAAAGAATAAAGACAGGACGATTAGCAGGGGATAAAGGGGAATGAGGAAGTTCCATTTAGATGGTTGCAAGGGAGTCAGCTGAGAACAAGGCAAGATCTGTCAAAAAGGAGTTGGAAGAAAATATATTTGATAACTAAGAAGAGCAAGAAGTGGTCTGTAAGTGAGTTTTTAAAGTTTTAATTAAGCAGGATTCAGAAAAGAGAGGTGAGATGCAATTGTGCAACCTTTTACTGTTCTATGACCCTTAGTAAATGCCCTTGGTTAGAGGCCTGGATCAGACCAATCAGAAAAATAATTTCTTCTCCATGGGAGATTATAACAGGTAAAGAAAAAGAGAGCAAGACGTGGAAGACATCGCTAGTGTTCATCCTCTAATTCCTAGGCCCATGGAAAACGAGAAACTAGACTTCCTACTCTCCTGGAGCTGTGTGACTCGTTCTCACCAATGGAAAGTGAACAAAAGGTTCCTGGTCAAAGAATTTAACTCCTCGTGCATGACTCTTCTCCTCCTCCCCTACCAAGTCAACCAAGACAGCCTTGTGTTGAGATGGCACAATCCCAGTAGAAAAGCAGTCTAATTAGCTGAGTCACCATGAAGAGCAGCTGCCCCAGGGAATCACTCACACCTACAACACACTCTGTATGAATGAGAAACAACTGTTCTTTAAAGAAGGTACTGGCTTGGTTACCACAGCCTGGCCTGACTTGACTTAACTGCTACAGGACAGGAGCTAGGAGGCTGACCCCTCTCCCTCCACATCTCTCATGTAAATGTGACGATTCATGAAGTGGAAGGCTGGCCACAGGCTTACTGGTAGACCCCCGAGTACAAGGCATTTGACCCTGGTTTTGAGTACTCCTCCTCCAGGTGGATGGCTGTGGAGCTCACACTGGCGAGGGCTTGTGTGGAGCCGAGGATAAGGAGGCATCAGAGGGCACTCAAGCCACTGGGTCTAACTTCCTCCCTTCTTCCTGCCCACACCTACCTTAGTCTTTCCCAGATGTTTTATTGCATTTGGAAATGGAGACAAACACTCAACACAGGCTAAGTGAACAAGGACACGGCACGGAGATGATCAGATGCAGTAACAGCATGAGCGGGTGGAAGAGGCGTGTGTCCCCTTCTTTGTAGACAGCACCATGGCTGGCTTCTGCAGCTTCCCTCAGAGCTGAAGGAAGGGCCATGTGGAGAGGAGAGGAAGGGCCTAGACAATATGGATCAAACGGGGGCCTGTATTTAGATTTAGAGGAGAGAGGGGGTTGATAAATGGCAAGGGATGTGGGGATGGGGAGGAAGTGGAGGATATGGCGCTGGACCAGAAAGTTAGGAGGGCTGCTCTTTCTTCTCTGTAAATGTGTCTAAGGCTCACAAACTCTAAAATCTGACTTGCCTACATAATAATAGCTAATGTTTGTCAATTGCTTATTATGAGTTCATTTTCTAAGCATTATATAAATGTGTGCGTGTGTGTGTATGAGAGAGAGAGAAAGAGAGAGAATCATCACACAAAACCCTTTGCAGTAGATACTATCATGATCTCCCTTTTACAGATGAGGTAAGGATGGAATGAACCAAAGTTCACATAACTAGTAAGTCCCTAGGCTATACTTTTTCTGTCACACTGTATTTCTTGGGAAGCCAGGGAAACTTTATTCCTACAGCTTTAGCATTCCGGTAATGATAAGGTACACAAAAAGGGAAAATAACCAAGGAATTTCATCATAGCTGTTTGGTGTCAGGACAGATCTCTGTAAGGAAATCATATCCTACCTAACCAAAGGAAATCAGTGATCTCACATGACAAGCAAGGAATGGCATAGAGCCTGGCATGGGAACTAAGAAGAGAAAGCAATAAGCTTCAGTTAGCAAGCTATGGATCTCCTTAGATGGCCTCTGGTACATCTTAAATAAACTGAAGCATCAGATTCACCCCCATTAGAAGCGTTTTTGAGTCATTTTCTGTGCATAGTGTCAGTGTCTACGATAGAAGGGCCTGGGCTTATCAGAGACACTGTTCAGTTCTGGGGAGACAAGAGGAAAAAGATGTGGTTTTCTTCCTTTCTCCTGTATTTATGTTTTTGTCTTCTACTTGAACGAGCCTGAAAAATAGGGCAGGGTGTTTTGATCTTTTTTTCCTGCCTGACTTCAGCCAGCAGCCCTCCCTAAATAGCTACAGGCTCCTCTGTGATTTTTCACTCAAGCTCATATTTTGCTTCTCTCTTTTCTTTCCTTCCCCTTTCTCTGAGGAGTGAGAGAATTTGGGTGTATGTGTGGTTGTTTTTTGAGGGTGGCATAAAATTATTATTCTCCCTATTGCCTGACACAAATATCCCTTCAACTGCTATTTTGGTGACTTTGACATGGAAGTAAAACGTACATCTCAATTCATTTTCTTCCTTCTACTTCCTCCTAACACATCAACATAATCCACACTGCCCTGGAGGAGTTATGAAAAATATTCTGAGTTTCTAGGTAGAATATTAAATCATACTTTTAGAGAACACATTGTTGAGCTACAGTTTAATTGAAGGAATTGTACTAGGCTAAGAATTTTGCCAGCTCAAAATACTGGTTTAATTCTTTCTCAGTGGTGATTGACGTCTCAAACCAGCAAGAGGTGTAACATGAGGGGAAGGGGCTGGGGAAGAGGGAAAGGATGTAAGAAACAAAAGAAATAGTTAGAATTTGGGGTGTCCAAAGCAAACTCATGATCCCACCTAGTGAGAATCCATTTGGAAACTGAGGAACCAAAGGCTTTGGGCTCCAATCTGCAGCCACTTCTTTGATACGACTTTGGGATAGGTGGACTCACCCGAAGTATTGTTTTACATGTACTATTTGCCTCAATTTCCCTGTGATGGTTTTGTCCATCACCTCATCCTGAAAAAATAAATGTTGGTGATGCTTTGTTCCACATATTCGTTCATTTGAACTCATTATTCCCAGGAAATATCCATTGAAATTCAAAATATCATGAACTTCCAAAGGGTTTTCTAGAAAAAAAAAACAAAAAAAACCCCTTGATCTTAATGGGTGTTTTTTAATCTGTGCTAGAATCTGTTTGCAATGTTTTATTTAGGATTTTTGTGTCAGTATAATAAGTAAATTCATCTACAATTTTTATATTTGTGCATTGTCATAGTTTAACATCAATATTATACTTGCTTCATAAAAAAATTTTCTTCTATGCCATTGAGCCATTTAATTTTTGTTTGTTTGTTTGTTTGTTTTAGAGACAAGGCCTCACTCTGTTGCCCAGGCTGGAGTGCAGTGGCACAATCATAGCTCACTGCAGCCTTGAACTGGGCCCAAGCGATCCTCCCACCTCAGCCAAGTAGTTGAAACCACAGGCACGAGCCACCACATCTGGCTAATTTTTGTATTTTTTGTAGAGACGGGTTTTCGCTGTTGCCCACACTGGTCTTGAGCTCCTGAGTTCAAGCAATCCGACTGCTTAGGCCTCCCAAAGTGCTGGGATTATAGGTGTGAGCCACTGCACCCGGCCTCTATTTTCAATTTTAAAAGTTTGATATAGATGTAGCATATCTATTTTTTTATTGATAGTAATATCTTCTATCTTCTGTGTTCATACTTTTTTTTTTTTTTTTTTTTGAGGCAGAGTCTCACTGTGCCGCCCAGGCTGGAGTGCAGTGGTGCGATCTTGGCTCGCTACAACCTTTGCCTCCCAGATTCAAGCAATTCTCCTGCCTCGGCCTCCCAAGTAGCTGGGATTACAGGCGCCCACCACCACACCCAGCTAATTTTTGTATTTTTGGTAGAGACAGGGTTTCACCATGTTGGCCAGGCTGCCCTCGAAATCCTGACCTCAGGTGATCCGCCCGCCTTGGCCTACCAAAGTGCTGAGATTACAGGCATGAATCACCAGGCCCAGCCTATTTTTTTGTCCACTTAACTGGTCTAGTCCAGGGAAAGGGAATTAAAGTGTTCTATTGGTAGTACATTTCTGAATATTTTCCTTGTATCTACCTTAATTTCTGCTTTATAAGAGCTACCTATTTGGTATTTAGAACTTAAACACATGTCTCATATATTCATATGAATTTTATACTTTACATTATAAAGTGCCCTTCTTGTCACACTCAATTTTTTTTTTTTTTTTTTTTTTTTGGTGAGGAGTGTCTGAATTTCATCTTGTTTGGTAAGACGAATGTGACCTCTGCTTCCCTTTTGTTTGCCTTCTCTTGTTATGTCTTTGCCCATCATCTTATTTGTTGAAAATAATGAATACATCTTTCTGAGTGGCTTTATGTTAGGTGTCTTTTGCATATTGCAAATAATAGAGTTTTTATCTTAATCTAATTTAAAAATATTTTCATTTATTTAGTTCAGTTAAGAAGCCCATTTATAATTATTCATACAGCAAATAGATTCAGTCTAATTCAGAGATATTAACTTCTGTTAAGTATAATGTTTACATGAGTATTTTTAAAAATCTTTCACTATGTCTTTATTGTGCATTTTAAAAATTTTACCTTTTCAGATATTAAGGAAGGTGTATATTTCAAGGTTGCTTTGATAAGTTTATTTGTATATAATACACTTAGTTCCCTCTTCCTTTAGATAATTCCTATTAGTTTTAAATAATGAACAATCACAAAACTAGCTCATATCCTCTCCCTTCCTCTTTCTGTGTGTGTGTCTACCTTTGTAGTCTTAAATGTGTAAATACGAGCACTTGATTTATTAGTTTTAAAGAATATATTTTGATTCCTAGATGTTACAGACAAGAACATCAACAGGCTTATTTGATATCCTTATTCATTTTTCCACTTATTCTATAATCATTGAGAAATGTGTTTCAATTTCTCAATTAATTTCTTCCTATAATTCTCCTATATTTCTTACATATTTTGTAGTTTTATTGCTAGGTGCAAACTGATTCAGTTTTAGTATAATGTTCTGGTGACTTCATTATCACTATGTAATGGCTGTCTTTGTTTTTACTAATGCCTTTGGTTTTAGACTATATGTTTAGATATTTCTGTAATTACATAAGCTGTCTTTCTGTCTTCTGTTAGTGTTTGCTTTGTGTATCTTATATCTGGTTTTGATTTAACATTTTCATGTTTTTAGGTTTCTTGTGATCTTATGAAGGGCATATAACTGGATTTTGCGATATTGTTAATCTAATCTGAGAACTTTCCTTTAACTCCCATATTTAAGCTATTTATACTTGTGATCACTGTGCTATTTACATTCGTTTCTGTTACAATATATGGTGCTCTGTATTTGCTATGTCTTACTTTGCTTCTTTTGTTTTCCTTGCATCACTTATATTAAATCAATTACATTTTTATTTAAAGTATTATTTAATTTCCCCTTACTGATTTAGGAATTTTAAATTCTAATTATATTAGTTAAAAGTCAGTCTTATATTTTTAACATGTTTACCAAATGTGGCAGCATCTGAAGGTAATCAATATCTCTACCCTCCTTTCAAACAAGACAAAGACTTTAGGTGCTTTAACTTTGTCTGCCTCATTCTCATGTCACTTGTGGTTGCTCTGCCTTATTTTTAAATTTAATAGTCATTTTTATTACTGATTTTTATCGTTACAGTCATATTTCATTTCTCATTCTGATTTTCCAATATTTTAGACAGATTTGTTATTGTTGTTTGTGTGTGTGTTTATTTTTCTCATCTTTGCTCCCTTATCCTTCTGGGTTTAGTATCTCTGTTACTTACATGATAATATTAAAAAGCAAATGATAACTACAATACAATGCTACTTTCACCCAGAAGATTGTCAAAATTTTAAAAATTAACACTGTCTGTTGGTTATATACATATATATATATATGGAGAAACAGATAAACTCATATGTTGCTGCTGGAACTATAAATTAATATAGCCTCTATGAAGGCAATTTTGCAATATCTATCAATATTTGTAATGTATATATTGGACTCAGCAACTCCCCTTTAAGATTGTATCATACTTGTATTTTTGCACATGTGCATTACAATGTCTATACAAGACTAACTAGCAACAGCAAAAGACTTCCAATAACCTAACTAGCCATCAGTAGAAGGAAACAGGATAAATGAAATATGGAACTTCCATAAAATAGAATACTACATAGCCATATATTTTTAATTTAAAAAATAAAGTTCAGAACAGTGAACTTAGACAGCTGCTGTTTGCGAAAATACTGAGCAAGAATAAAGATATACATATTTGCTTAATACACAGTAAACTTCTCTGGAAAGATAAACACAAAGCTGGAAGAACGGATTGCCTATGCAAGAGGAATTAGCAAACCTTGAGAAGGATTGAGAGTGAGGCTTTCCTCTGTATACTTCTTTGTGTCTTTTGAATTTCAAACCACATTCATATATTGCTTATTTAAATAAATAAATAATATATTTTAAAAAGAGGATAGTAGGAAGATAAGTGGAGTCAGGGAGTATAGGCAACTCTTTTGAGGAGTTTTATGCAAAGCTGGGCAAGTCCACCTCTTCCTTAGCTATGTGACCCAGGCAAGTTAGTAAATGTTTCTAAAACTCCATTTTCTCACTCTTAGAATTGAGATAGTAATACCTGCCACATAGAATTATCTTGAAAAATAAGGTAAGAAGACAGGTTTCAGATACTTGGCACAGCAATAGCACATAGTAAGCACCAGTGAATGCTTAGTAGTAGTAGTAGTCTAATTCCTAAGAGTCCATGGAACTCTAGGTTCAAAACCCAGTTTCTTCTGGGACCATTAGATGGCATCAGACTCAAGCAGGTGCTCCTCTAGCTGACAGCTCTAAAACACAAGGAAGATCTTTGTTTTCCTTATTCCCTAGTCCTTTCCCCACAAAATTCTGACAATTACGCATTTCCTGCTTGTTTCACAATTGCCATGTGGATTACAAGTGGCTATCCCTGGGTGGAGGCATAAAGGACTTGAAACTCAATGCTGTTTCCACATAGGGCCGGGCAGACAGGCTATGGAGGTGTTTTGGCATCCAAGGAAATCTATCAGTTTCCCAAGCTTTCCCCTCTCCATTCATACTTTCCTTTAGAAAGAATAAGGCATGCCTGGGTGGGAAAGATACTGCAGGTAAGCGACAAGAAGGGGAAATTACAGGGTAAGGAGATCAATCAAATGGTGATGGGGGGTAGGAGTGAACAAAAAGAACTCTGGAGCAAACCAGGATTAGTGACATCTGTGGTTCCCAGACAAACCACACTTACAGGAATTTGTCTGTCTAGCCCGAATATTTTGACTTTCAGGGAGCATTTTTCTGTGTCCCTGACATAAAGCCTACCTGGGAGTTTCCCCTGAGATAAGAAACTTTCAGGACATCTTAAGGTCTACTGCATCTTCCTGTACTGCCCATCAAGATAAGTTTTCCACCCAGCTTTATCATGATTAGCTGCGTGATTTCATGTCAGTTTCTCTGTAAAATTAGGTTTGACTGTTGCATTATTTTTAAGATGCCTTCCAGGCTTAAAGTATTATGATGCATGGGTATAACTGTACTGAGGAAATCAAAGAATTTCTCAGATCATCTTCTTCTGTGAGGGCTGCAGCTTCCATGTAGTTGGGAGATACAGGAATTATTATTCCTGTTTTATGAATAAAGGACATTTGTGGGAGAGAAAGGAATCAGGCCAGAGTTCTTTCTCTCCAAATGCCTATTTTACCCTCTGTGAAATTTGAGAGATGGATGGGTGTGGAGCTGCAAGTCAGCCCCAGGATGAAAGAAAGGCAAATCTGCACAAGAAACTGCCCACTCTCACCCCATCCTCACTGCACCCTGCTCCCAACAGCTGCCAGGCAAGAAAAAATCCAAAACAGCAGTTCTGGGGAATTCATTGCCAGCACTGGAAACTACCTGCTGTTTCCAGGAATATGAAGGTTTCTCTTTCCTAGAATAGCAACTTTCCAAGGTAAGTCCCTCCCAACAACCAGTGATGTGTACAATGTTGCATTTTCAGTGGTGGGAGTGGGCAGGGAGGATTAAGATTAGTACGATGGTGGAGATATTTATTCATTTATTCAATTGACTATTTATTCTCCACTATGAATTAGGCCCTCGGCCAGGTAGCAGATATAAAGCTTAATAAGATATATGGCTTTCCGCCCAGGTGCTCATGGTCTAGTGGAAGGTCAAAAAAGGTGGGAAAGGGAAGATAGAACTTTAAAAGGGCTGTGAAAGAGGTAACCGCACAGTGATAGAAGCACATGGAGAGTTCCCCAGACTGACGACATAAGTAAGGCCTCCTGGAAGACCTGAACCCTGAGTTAAGTCTTGAACTTGAAAATCAGGGGCGAGTCGAGCAGAAAATGGGCAAGAAAACACCATATGCAAAGGCACAAAGGTGTTGGGGAAGGCAGAAGTTTGTCGTGGAGCTGGATACAACAGGAGAGGGTGAGACAGATGGGCTGGAACAGTGTGTGCTCTGAAAAGGATCTCTGCAGCAGGGCTTGAGAGCACCTGAAGGAATTTCCAGAAATGCCATCATCGTATGTGACACAGAATTTAGAAAAATGACTTTGTGAAGAATGGCCGGAAGAGGGAAGCTAATGGTAGAGAAACCTCTCTGGTGATGGGATCATCTTAAGTCTATGAGTGAAGACTATAACAACGGGACTGGAGAGAAGAGAATAGATTCTGAATTATTTAGAGCTAAGAGCAGCAGAGCTTTTCTTGATGGGATTATGGATTAGGGTTTATGGACCCAAGATGCAATATAATTGATTGGGTCAGGGTGTGGACTCTAGGGTCAGGCCTGTGTTCAAACTCCAACTCCACCACTACGACCACCTTGGGAAAGTCATTGAGCCTCTTTGAGCTTCAGTTTCCTCATCTGTAAAATGGGGATAATAACCAACCTCATAGGGTTGGGGATAATGATTAAAAACGATAATACATGAAAAACACTTAGCATAGCTCCTACTCCCATTAAAACTCTATAAATGGTAGCTGTTACCAATGTCGCTATTAATACTGTTAATCAGGGAACTGTTCTCTGTCCCTCCAGACCCTAGCTTCTTCAAAATAGCAGACACTGGTAGGAACAAGGAAGGATATAGGAAGGCAATCTCATGAATATTTATGTCATTTTTGGTTAATTTCTATCTCAAACAACAGATAAACGACTGATGGGACAGGCAGCAAAATAGCAACTATGGTTATCTCCAGGAAGTGAAACAATGGGTACTTTTACTTTTCTTCTTTGTACTTTTTTATATTGTCTAAATTTTCTATATGAATGTATACAGTTCATGTAAGAAGGAAAATATTTTAAAATATATGTATTATGCCACAAAATACTCCTCATCACCAGGCAAAGCTCTAGTCACCAGGGAATTAAGTTTCCTGGACACAGACAGCCCCCACCCCACCCCACCCCACCTCTCTACCCCACCAAAAGCACACAGTGTCCAAATCTCCATCGTGCCTGCAACTCAGGAACAGCTATCTGGCCGCACAGCTCTAGGGAAACTCAAAGCAGGAACAGCTCTGGGTCCTGGAGACGCCCCTGAGAAGAGGGCCCAGTATCCCTGGGGCCTCAGTCCATCAGCCGCTGCTGCACCAGGCGGGAATAGAGGTCCTGTCCCTCCTAGAGCTGGGCAAGCTTCTGCAGCTTGCCCTCCTGGAGCACCAGGATCTGGTGGGCGCGCTGAACTGTCTGCAGCCTGTGAGCAATCACCAGCACTGTGCGATCCCCACGGGAATTCCAGTCCTGCAGCTGAAGGGGTGATCACAGTGCCTCAGAAAGACAGGAATGAGATGGACACCACATCCACCTGGGCACCATCTCTTATGATTTAGGGTAAAGAAGGTGTGAAATAAAAGAAGGTAGGAAAGGGCAGTAGATAAAGGCCTGGACTGCCCTTCTCTCCCGGCTGTACTGCCACAGCTGGAGGAATGGAAGCCCAGGAGGGAACTGGGGCTGCCCTCACACCACCGGATTCCATTCCCCAACCCCAAGAAGGCACAGACTGTTTCCACTAGTAGGTCCTTCGTCCTCCCTCTGCCCAATTCTGCACAGTCTGATCCTCCCAGCATGCCCCTCCCAGGCCCCACTGTCCCCTGCCCTCTCACGGTACTCACGGCCTGCTCGCACTGCACATCTAGGGCACTAGTAGCCTCATCCAGGATGAGGACCCGCGGGTCTCGTACAAGGGCCCGGGCAATGGCCAGACGTTGTTTCTGTCCCGCAGCCAGCTGGCTTCCCTTCTCCCCTACATCTGAGGAAATCAGAGAAATTCCCTTCCTCAGATACAAGTGACACAGACAACACACAAGGAGGGACAAGTGCACAGCAGGTACTTCCAGTAGGACCTCGGGAGGTGGGAGGGCCCAGTGCGGGGAGGGCCCAGTGGGAGGAGGGCCATGGGGTGGGGACCTGACGGGGCTGCCCACGGAGGGAGCACCACTGCTGCATTGCTCTCTGCAAACAAAGACTCTTGATCAAGAGGGAGGCTGAAGAATTCAGTGTGTGGGGAAGGAGACGTAGGAATGGAGGAAAGGGCAGAGGAACAGCAAACATCAAGCTACAGGGACACGACCTTCACCACTAAGAGTAAGTCTGATTTTCTCTTTTTTACTGAAGGAGCAAGCTTACAATTTGTAGAAGATACCTGTGTATATTCCATGCTCCATTTCCTGGATGAAGTCATCTGCGTGGGCAGCCTGGGCAGCCGCCATCACCTTATCATCTTCGCAGCTCTGCAGCCCATAAGCAATGTTGTTCCTCACAGAACCGGAGAACAGCACAGGCTCCTGCCCAACTGAAACCACCTGTGCAGCAGGGACAGGGGCAGAGGACTATGTGTAAACCCCCAAGGCAGGGGCCCTTTTGTCCTCCCCACCTACCTCCCTCAGAATGAACACCTGGTGCGCCTTCCCGTGGATCTCCCATCCTCTCTCTGTACATGCTCCCCTCTCCTGTCCCCTGTCTTCTCCCTCCTCACCCACCTGGCTGTGCAGGTAGCAGTGTTCATACTGTGAGATGGGCTTTTCATCCAGCAGCACCTGTCCCCCTGTGGGCTGGTACAGATTCTGCAGCAGGGCAGCCACTGTGCTCTTCCCAGACCCATTGGGTCCCACCAGCGCCGTCACCTCACCAGGACGTAGGGTAAACGTCAGCCCCTAGAAAACCAGAAAAAGAGTTAAGGGCCTGCCCCTTCTCCCTCAAAATCCCTCCATTTCTCTTCTTAGCAGAGGCAAGACCAGGTTCTCAGAGGCAAATGAACTATAGGCTGTGATGTCCAATTATGCATTAGCAGCAGAGAGCAAGGGTCCAGGTTTCCTCCCTCTTTCAGGCACCTTGAGCACAGGCCTGTCAGGGCGATTGGGATATGCAAAGGAGACGTCTTGGAATTTCACAACCCCCTGCAGAGTGGTGGGGGCAAGCGTGCCAGGTGAAGGCAGATTTGGCTGTCGGTCCATGTAGGAGAAAACCTTCTCTGCAGCTCCCACGTTGCTGAGCATATCCCCATATATGTATACCAGGGTCTGGAAAACAGGAATGGGAGAGCCGGCTAATTAAACACACTTCTACCAGAAACCACCCTCCCAACTCCTCACACACTCCACTCACAACTGCACTGCTCCTCCTCCATACTCAAAAGAGATTCTCCACTTTTAAATGTACAATTTGGACGGAATTTAAAAGTGGCACCAATACCCCAGTGTTCCAATTTGCAATATAAAGGATATACAGTCCCTTCTCCTACCATACAGCATTGCCTCTAGCCCCAGATCTTTTCAGTTACTGCTTCCTATTACTTGTGCCCAGTTCTGTCTTGCTTGATTAGACGGGGAGCTCCTTAAATGCAGGCACTGTGCCCAACTCACCTTTGTAGCCGTCAGAGTGCCCAGCGCAGTTCTCTACACAAAAAAGATGTTTATCAAGTGTCTAGGAAAATGTTTAAATAAAGCCCTGGATGAAGTAGCTGTTTTTGAGAACTGGTAAATGTAGGAAGAGATCTAAATGCTCACTCTGCCTTTCCTCATCAAACTGTACCACCGGGTAATGAAATGGTAGATGAGGGGAAGTCTCCCTTCATAGACTACTTCAGCTAATACATGAAGAATGATAGAGTATCTCCCTTTTGCAGCCCTAATTCTGTCATGGATGTAGGTACTGCTCATCAGTGGCTGATGTTGCCACAAATAGAGAACCAGACATTGTGTGCCTCTTGGAGGAAGAATGCATCACCACCTAAAAAGTACTGTTGCTGGAAAAAGACCAAAAAAAACCCCTCAATCTCACAAGCTTCTAGGTTTATCTATCAATAGACAGGAAGTACAGAGGCAGAAGAGCATATAATACCACAGGGATTCAGTCAACAAAATCCAGACCCTAAGAAACTCCACAGGACAAACAACCTATTTCTTCAACAAATAAACTGTGCAAGGGAAACTTTTAGACAGATACATGGATTGATGGGTGGATGGATGGATAGATGGATGGATAGATAGATAGACAGACAGACTTAAAAGATGTATCAACCAGTCACAATATGTGGACCATTTCTGGATCCTGATTTAAGCAAAGTATAATAAACACACTCATACACATATACTACATGGATACCACAAGTGGAAATTTGACAATTGACTATTTGATAAATTTTAAGAACTACTGTTAATTTTTTGGTGTGATAATGGCTTTGTTGTTATACACTTTTAAAGATGTTTGTATTTTTAAGAAACATACTGAAATATTTACAGATGAAAGTATACAATATCTTGGATTTGCTTCAGAATAATATGGGTGGGGGGAAGTGGCTGGGGATACAGATCCAACAAGATTGGGCATGAGTTGATCATTGTTAAAGCACAGGATGTATACATGTGAGTTTGTAATATTATTTTGTCTCATTTTTGGCATATGTTTAAAATTCTCCATAGCAAAATTACTTGCGGGTTTTGGTTTTGTATTGTATTGTTAAAAAGAACAAATAAAGCCCAAGGCCCAGGAGTCCACAAAGAAAAAGAGAGGGAAAAAAGGAGAGCAGGCTTGGCTTCTCGCTCACCTGCACATAGCTCCCCACGCTCTCCTGGTAGATCATAAAGGAAAGCAGGCTGCCCTGGGTGAGCTCCCCATCCTGCATCTGCTGCAGCCCACAGCTCAGCATCAGCATCTGCACCCCCAAGTGCAGCACCTGGAAGAGGAGAAGAAAGAGATGAGGCTGGGAATCTTCCCATTCTTTCCCCCTCTCTGCCTCTATGAGACTGAGCTGCAAAGGCCTCTAGAACCAGCTGTAGTTTCCTCTTCCCTTGCCCTCCCCCTTTCCTGGGCTCCTTTCACAACCACTCTGGTATCTTACCCTCCTTACGAGCAGGTACAAGGCGCGTTCCAGGTCTCTCCGCCAATACAGCTGCCGACATTGTTCAAGGGCCTCTTTATAGCGACAGACTTCATGCTCCTCGGCCCCAAAACTGCGAACGGTCTGCAGCCCTCCAACGGCTTCCCGCACCACCTGCCCCGCCCTGGCCACTGCATCCTGGATCTCCCGAAGCACTTCCTGGAAAAGAGGGCCAGCAAACACCAGGGCTGATGTGCAAAGACAGCAGGCCCCCACATCTTACTCCAGCCAGTGAGATGCTCCCTAGTCTACCTAAAAATACCAAACTGTTTCTCTCCCTCTTCCTTACTCTTCTTTCCAGAAGGAATAAGAGTGAAGGAGCAAGGGAACAAAATATTATTGAGCTCTCAGTGTTAGGTAGTATAGGAGATACATGCAATTTTTTTAACCTTCATTTGAGGTAATTTTCCCATCCCCAGTGTCTGAATCAGGAAAGAAGGGTAGTTTTCCCAAGGAGCCACAGATAGTTAAGAAAGGTGGAGATGTAATTCCAAATGGATCAGAGGCCTAAACATAAGAGCTAACACTATAAAACTCCTAGGAAAATGTAGAAGAAAAGCCTCATGCCACTAGATTTGGCAGTGATTTCTTGGATATAACACCAAACGCACAGGCAACAAAAAATAGATAAATCAGACTTCATCAGAATTTAAAACGTTTGTGCATCAAAGAACTCTAGCAACAGAGTGAAAAAGCAACCATGAAATACAAGAAAATATTTGTGAATCATATATCTGATAGGAAATTAATAGGCAAAACATATAGTGAACTCCCACAACTTAAAAAAAAATCAGAAAATGGGCAAAGAACTTGCAGACATTCTTTCAAGAAAGAAACATAAGTGGCCAAAATCACACGAAAAGATGCTCAATATTTACTAATCATTAGGGAAATGCAAATCAAAACCACAATGAGATAATCCTAATCACCTAATCACCATTAGAATGGCTATTAAAAAAAAAGACAACAGAAAGTGGTGTTGATGAGGATGTGGAGAAATTGGAAACCTTATGCACTGCTGGTGGGAATTTAAAATGGTGCTGCCGCTATGGAAAACTGTATGGTGGTTTGATACGATCTGGCTGTGTCCCTACCCATATCTGATCTTGAATTCCCATGTGTTGTGGGAGGGACTGGGTAGGAGGTAATTGAATCATGAGGGCAAGTCTTTCCCATGCTGTTCTTGTGATATTGAATAAGTCTCACGAGATATAATGGTTTTAAAAAGGGGAATTCCCCTGCACAAGCTGTCTTTTCTCTTGTCTGCTGCCATGTGAAATGTGTCTTTCACCTTCCGCCATGATTTGAGGTCTTCCCAGCCACATGGAACTGTAAGTCCAATAAACCTCTTTCTTTTGTAAATTGCCCAATCTTGGGTATGTCTTTATCAGCAGCGTAAAAATGGACTAATACATGGTTCCTCAAAAATTGTTAAATAGAATTGCCATATGATCCAGCAGCTCCACTTCTAAGTATATACCCAAAAGAACCAAAAGCAGGGTTTCAAACAGGTGTACACTCATGTCCACAGCAGCATAATTCACAACAGCCAAAAGGTGGAAACAACGCAAATGTCCATTGACAGATGAATGGATAATCAAAATGTGATATATGCACACAACAGAATATTATTCAGCCTTAAAAGGGAGGAAATTCTAACACATGCTACAATATGGATGAGGCCTGAAGACATTACGCTAAGTAAAATATGCCAGTCACAAAAAGACAAATACTGTATGGTTCCACTTACGTACCGCACCGGGAGTCATCACAATTCATGGAGACAGAAGGTACAATGGAGGTTGCCAGCGGCCAGGGGTTGGGGGTAGTAGGCAGTTACTATTTAGTGGGTACAGAGTTTCATTTTAGGAAGATGAAAAAAGTTCTGGAGATGGATGGTGATGATGGTTACCCAATAACAATGTGGGTTTCCTAAATGTCACTGAACTGTACACTTCAAATGGTTGAAATGGTAAATTTTATGTTATGTATGTTTTACCACAATATAAGAGAAAAAGAGAAGGTGGAGCTGACATTCAGACTTAGGACTTCCTGATGACGCCTCCTTTCCCTATGCTGCATCCAGACTTCTTCTGCTGATTTTAAAGGGAAAATCTCCCTGCCTAAAAGCCTCTAAGAAACCATTTTTAATCTTCGCAGTGGGGGCGGGGGATGTACAGACTCCTTTGAGAAGCTAATGAAAAGTTATCATCGCCTATCATCTCCCCTTCCTATTCCCTCCCCCATACCTTCACATACACTTTACATTTTTGTTTACAGTTCTGGAGAATCATGAATCTTCTGAAGTCAAATATCCATTGTTGGATGGCTGGACAAACAAAATGTAGTATATACTACAATATACCTTCTCCCCTAATGGCTGAGAAGAGAACATCTCTCTCTAGGGGATCCTCTAGCCACAAATGTGGAAGCCTCCTCACCTGTCAGTTTTATTCTCCCTTTGGGGTTCCCTTACATGCACGCTCACCTGATGGCGGGTGTTGTACACCTTCTCCGCTGCTATTGTGAAGGGCATGTGCAGCAGAGAAAGGAGGGTGAGTCGAGGCGATATGCTGAGCATGAAGCCATACAGCCCCACCACTTTCACCAGGCTTCGCAAGAGCACATTGGCATTTAAAGGAAGCCAGTTACTCATCAGGGTGGTATCCGAGCTCAGCCGTGAGTTCAGCTCCCCTAAGAAGGACAGAGCAGGTGAGGAAAAAGGAAACCATGTGTACTGCAGGGCCCCCAGAAACTCCCTCCTGACCGTTCCCTCTGACACAGCCCCCTCCTCTGAACATCCTCCTTCACTTGCAGAGGGACAGTGGAGGCTGCTTCTCCACCCTGTCCCAAACAAGAGAAAAGCATCCCCAAGTCCTGGCATACGGGTGAAGGCAGGAGGAGAGGCTGTGGGTGGAAGGTCACTGAGGGGCAAGGGATGTCCATGGGAATCTCAGACCTGGACTCCAGGCCCCACCTGTCTTAGTCTCCTGGAAGAAACCGAGGTCCTGGCGCAGCAGGGAGGAGAAAAGCTGCTCCCGGATCCGCAAGTTGATTCGAGACATGGTGTAGGTGAAGCAGCCTCCTCGGCAGCCTGCAGACAGTGAGCTGTGGGGTAGGAGAATAAGAGGGGAGGGAGATGCAGAGAAGGAGCAAGCCAGCGGGTGAAACAGAGGAGCAAGCCAGGAGTGCAGAGAAGCGCAAAGTCAGGGGAAAGCATGCCAGGAGGGGCAAAAGAGAAAGAAATGAGAGACAGACACACAGAGAGAGAAGAGGTAAGGAATACACAGAGGAAGAAGAAAGAGGAGACATGGTGAGCTAGATGTGAGAACAAAATCATAACATGTACAAATTTACAAGTATTTATGGAGTGCACTCTGTACTAGACACAATAGAAAACTACAATAGAAGGGAAAAGATATTGTGAAAACAAGTATCCCAGTGCTTGCTTCTGTCCCAGCGTCCCTCAGGCTTGTCCCTCTGTGCGTCTCCTCCGCCTTGGTCTCCTTCCTGCCCCATACCCAAAGCCCTTCTCTGTCATCATAGATACTTCATCATGGGAACTGCAATAATAAATTCCCTGCCCCCACAATTCTCTGGAGCCCCAGAGTCATGTGATTCCCATCTTTCATCCTTCGAGTTGGAAAATCCCTCTTAGACCAACTACATGCTACAGTAACACTTAGAGGAAAAAATATAAAGCATAAAAGCATGTATTTTACAAAATATATGTTTCTAATACAAATTTAGTTACCATATTGAAGAGGCGTTTGGGAGAGTCAGACATGATATAATGAGGGTTTGTACTTTAATGACAGGGATGTGTTCTGAGAAATGTGTCGTTAGATGGTTTCATCGTTGTATGAACATCATAGAGTGTACTTACACAAACCTAGATGTCATAGCCTACTGCACACCTAGGCCATGTAGTTTAGCCTATTGCTCCTAGGCTACAAATCTGTACAACATATAACTGCACCTAACACTGTGGGCGACTGTAACACAGAAGTAAGTATTTGTGTATCTAAACATAGAAAAGGTACAGTAAAAATATGGTATTATAATCTTGTGGGTCCACCATCTTATATGTGGCCCATCATTGACCTAAACTTCGTTATGCAGTGCACGACTGTAGTTTCAGCAGAAAGCAGCCAGGATGGAATGAAGGCACAATGAAATGGTTTTCGAGGGTACTCTAAATTAAGTATGACCATAAAAATAGAGACAATCAGGCCGGCTGGGATTTGGGTAAGGTGAGTGCACACCTCCTTAAACTTTGCACCCCAGGTGCCTCGCTCACCTCATCCCAGTCCCAGCCTTATCAAACAGTTTGTTTGTTTGAGTATGTCTAGAAAGAGAAAGGAAAGCAAGTGAAGGGAAAAGAGTAATGATTCTGGAAAGAAAGGTGATAAGCCTCAGAGTAAGATCTTCAGGGACTGGCAAGATGAGCTGGGAAAGAAGAGTGAAAGGGAGAAGCATACCCATCCTGAGGGAGTGACCCTGGAGAGATACTTTGGAGACAGACTTAGGGGTAGGAGGTAGGAGGCAGAAAGAAATGGAATTTCATGGACCTAGGAATGTTGAGAGACAACTGAGAGACATTCCATCTGAGACTTAAATTCCTTTTGTACTACCTTCACTCATAACTTGTTCCTATAATAAGATCAGATAAACTTTGAAGATATTGGATGAATATGAACGAAGGAAGAAATGAATGGATAGATGAAACAGAATGGTGACTACATTCACCATATTTTAGTTTAAGTATTTTTGTGTTTTGCGCCTGAAAGGGCCTAGAAATGGAGTTAGGGAAGTGAAGACCCCTATAAAGATTTGGGGCTAGCAAATGGACCCAGCTGCCCACCACCTACCTGCCAAAGGAGAAGAGGCACATGAAGAAGATGGCACTGGCAAAGGCATGGGGGTCAAAATCACCTCCCAGGATGTCAATCACACGACCAGAATAGTGAGGGATTAATGTCTCACCTGAAAGAGGCATGAAAAATAACACAAGAATGTGCTGGTGCCCAGGCCCTTTTACCACCTCCAACTCACAACGTCCTCTCCTGACTCACCCAAAACAGCAAGGACAAGGAAGAAGAAGGCGGCAACGAGGAGAGGCAGGTCCGGCCTGGAGAGCTTCAGCAGCCTCCACATCAAGACTTTGTTGTTCACCTGGTCCTGCTCCTTCTCCTGGGCTCCAGGAGGGCTCAGAACAGCCCACAGTGACCAGCTGAGCCCCGCAGCCCCGTACCCCACCAGCAGCCAGCTCCAAGGGGCTGAAGCGACTCTGGCTGGGGGAGCACGTGAGGCCCCCGCGACCAGGGCTCTCAGGGAGACAGTCAGGGGGGTGGCCAGACAGAGCGGGAGCAGCAGTGTCCCCACAAATCCCAGCAGCCCTCTTAGCTTTAGCAGCCCCCACAGCCCTCCCAGCCGCAGGGTCCCCTCCAGCCATAGTCCTGGCAGCCCTTGAGGAAGCAAAGTCCCCAGAGGGCCCTGAAGCAGCCACAGTAAAGCCGCGTCCACCAGCAGCAGGGAGGTCCAGGGTCTCAGGTCAGGGAGCCGCATGGCTCTGTCAACGGATACGAGATGAGAAATCATGGGGGTGGAGTCCCAATCCTTGTCCCTGCCCTCCTACCCGCCCGGCTCCGCCTAACCCGTCCATCGGCTTCTCATTTTATCCTATTCAACCCTGAGAGCTCTCCTGAGTAACCGGTGCTCATCCGTACACCCCTCCTACGACAGACAGCTTTCGGCCTTCTGGGGAGCTGGAAGCATGACCATCAGGAGCCTCGTGCTTAAAAAAAAAAAAAAAAAATCCCCGGACCCCCACCCCCACCCCCGCCTGCCGCGGCGAGCTAAGTGGTCCGGGCTCCGCTCCCTCCTATCGCCGGGTGCAGAGGGACTGGGAAGCAGGAGCGTGGAGTGGGTAGTCACTTGGGCTGCGTCCCTGTTGGCGCTCCAGGTTCCCCTCCGCACCAACTCACCAGCCGCGGCGGGGAGACCGCAGCTCCGGGGACTTCTGCTTCAGCGCTGAGGTCCGCTCCGTCTCTCCCAACCTCGCTACCGGCTCTGGTCCGCCAGCTACGCTCGGCCAGGGCGGGCGTCAGGGCTCGGGCAGCTTTCGCTTTCGCTTCCCCAGCCAAGGCCTTCATTCTGGGCTGGGCCGCCGGGAGGGGGCGCGCGAGACCCGCAGACAGCGGAACTGGAGCCCGAACTCTGGTTCGCACTGTACAGGCCTGCAATGAGTCTCACTCGCCTTTAGTGGCGGTTACTCTGGGATATAAAACTGCAAAAATGTTTCTTTATCATTAAGTAAAATACAGTTGTCTCAAGGGCAACTTTATCTGTTGTCCTTGCTTTGTAATTGGAGAATGCTTTGTAATTGGAGAATCACTGAATTTTCTCAAAGTTACTACTTCAAGCTCTGAGCCTACTATTAAGAAGTGCCTTCTTTCTGGTCCGGCGCGGTGGCTCACGCCTGTAATCACAGCACTTTGGGAGGCCGAGGCGGGCGGATCGCCTGAGGTCAGGGGTTCGAGACCAGCCTGGCCAACATGGTGAAACCCTGTCTCTACTAAAAATACAAAAATTAGCCAGGGCGTGGTGGCGGACGCCTGTAATCCCAGCTACTCGGGAGGCTGAGGCAGGGGAATCGCTTGAACTCAGGAGGCAGAGGTTTCAGTGAGCCGAGATCGGGTCATTGCACTCCAGCCTGGGCGACAAGAGTGAGACTTCGTCTAAAAAAAAAAAAAGTGCCCTCTTCCATGCAAGCTCCAGTTTTAGGCGAGCGAGCCGGGCTCTCCTAAATAGAAGGTTCCAACCAATCTCACCAGGCCAAAGGGGATTTTCACGTACAGACTTTGAATTTAGTAGGCCCTGAGCGTTCATCTTCATCCGTCCTTCTCAGCCGGAGCACCTTGAGCTGGCGCGTGTTCAGGTGCCTCTGAGTCTGTACTCCAAATTATGTTGGGCGCACCTTCAGCCTATGAGGGAAATGCCCCGTACTGAGCTTTGGTTCTTGTTCTATTTTAACACTGTTTAGAACAGTAATTAGGTTTTTAAATATCCTTCCTGACCCAGAGCCTTCCTATGCAACAGAAAGATTCGTTTATTCCAGAAAGGACTCTTCAGATTGAAACCACCTCCCAAACTAAAAACAAACAAACAAACAAATTCCCCAAAGGAAGGGTCGCTTGGATTCCAGATCACCATTTTGAAATGTTACCTGTGTGACTACCAAGGAGTCACTTAAAGTTTAAAATAGTGGTGGTGGGGAGGAGGGATTTTAAGTAGGGGCTCGCTAAAGTTTTACAACTCTATTCATTCTGGCATTTTAAGAATCTCTCTCTAATGAAAAAAGCTCCATGCTCAAGCTCATGCTCCTACTTTCAAGCATTTGTTTCCTTTATTTTCTGGAAAGTGACATGGTCCATAGTTCCAGCATGATTCCGAAAATCTCATGATGTGTGTCTCTTTCTTCTAACCTGGATCTTTTACATTTTCCCCACACTCCTCACTTAGGGGAGTCCTCCTGATCTCTTCTTCCTCTAAAATTATAGTCCTGCCATCTTGCAATTCAGCATGACACATCATGAAATTAGACCCTTAATGTCTGTCTTTATATTCAATATCCAATATCTCCAAAGTGTTATTTGGGATAAATGGTATGGTGTTTATATGATTACCATATTAAAGTGAAGTGGAAGCTTTTTCATCCTACTCTATAAAGTCAAAAACAGTTATCCTAGGTGCCCTACTCCCTGTTCCTCAAACCATTAACAATGGAACACACAGGAGTCCCCAGGTGCCTCTCTATGGAAAGGACCCTAACCTATGTGAAATTGCAAACAAGTGTCCATGGACAGCAATGAGCAGCCTTCCTGAGGTCTTGGAGAGATGAGTGTGGAAGGAAACCCCAGGAAGAACTATGTGGTGAGGCCACATTTCTTAGATAGGGGTCTGAGCCCCTTCTCCAGAAAAAGCGTCTCTTTACTTTCTGCCCCACCCAACAACCACAGGCCCAACCCCATTCAGCCACAAGACAGAGGTATTTATAACCGTTTTTCTTTATTCTACTTAGTGGGGCACCCAGAAACTTCCCTGGGGGAAATGCTTGTTCAAATAGAGAACACGCAGAAGATGCACTTCACCGGCCTCCTCTGGCTGCTGAGCCCGTACTCTCTCTTTGGCTCAGGCTAGGCCTCTTCTTCTCCTTGGACTTAACGTGGCTTAGGTCCCTGAGTCGGCCAAGACCTCCCAGAGGAGACCTGCCCAGCTGCCACCACCACCATTATTGATTGGCTTCCCGGTACTGGTGCAGCAGGTCACTGACATCTGTACTTTCTACTTTCACCCAACCATCTTCCTTCATGTGGTACACTGTGGACAAATGAGAAAAGAACATGGAGTCACCTTTCACCTCAGCAAGTTCCTGTCACTGATGTTATGTTGAAGGCAGCAACAAGACACATGCGCAAGCTTAAAACCATATGACTGGGCCTTTAATGCCCTTCTTCTGACTCTGAAAATTTCCTCCCTACTACTCTCCCTCCTTTGAGTCTCTCAATCATTTTCTTTTTTTTCTTTTGAGAAGGAGTCTCACTCTGTGGCCCAGACTGGAATGCAGTGGCGCCATCTTGGCTCACTGCAAGCTCCACCTCCCAGGTTCAAGTGATTCTCCTGCCTCAGCCTCCCAAGTAGCTGGGACTACAGGCACCCGTCACCACGTCCGGCTAATTTTTGTAGTTTTAGTAGAGACGGGGTTTCGCCATGTTGGCCAGGCTGGTTTCTCAATCTTAAATCACCCCCCCCACCACCCGCCGACTCCTCCCAGGCATGGTGGTGGGAGCATTGGTCTCTTACTATTGACAACGCCTCCAGAATAGCTGTCTCTGTGAGTGGCATAAGCAATAGCCCTGCGGCCAAGGTCATAGGCCTCTTCAGGGCTAAGATTAGGCCGATAGCCACTGTCCATGACCCCGTAGGCATAAGTGTTCCCACTACCCGTGGAGAACATATTTCCTGAGAGCCGAGTCCCATGTTCATCCACGTAGTAGAGTCCAGGACCCTATAAGATGAAAGATTTCAGGCTGAAATTGGAGAGGAAGATGTTGGTAACATGGGGGTTCAAATATGAGACATAAAAAGTGAACAAAAGAATTAATATTACCACAAGAACATTGGAATTAGGAAACCACTTTGGTAAAGTCATCGAACTTTAGAAATGAAAAAGGAAAAACAAACTTGAAATCAACTGTTTAACAAAAGGGACAAGCTTACAAAACACATGCAATGATTCATATCTGGGCCAATAAATAGTCCATGGATATACTGAAACAGTTCTATAACCAAGCACTCTATATGCCATGCATCTTGTCAGGGAGGGAGTAGGAGTATATGATGGGAAACAGATCTGTCATCCATAGGGAACATGGTGGGGGAACATGAAGAATGGAGAGCACCCACCTTCTTATCCCAGCCACAGATCATACTGCCCATAGAGAGGCCCATGCCCCGGTACTGGCACATCATGTTGGACAGCAGCTTGGAGGCTGCCGACACTGAAATACGTTCTCCATTTCGCAGATAGTACAGCCTGGGTGAGGACAAGGTGGAGTGAGGAAAGAGAGGTTAGCTCTTTCCAACTTGATGGGGCAGGAAATGATTAAAGAGATAAGCATTGGAAAGGAATTATTTTGTAGGATCTAAAGATCAGAGAAAGATTTGGAATTTAAAGTATCTGAAACATACAAAGGCAGCCTAGTAAATGATACTGTCCCGCCAGGGTGGATGTGTCAGTGCTAAATACCTGACGTACTATCTGGCTTATGAGTGGAGCACAGGCTGAGATTTGGGAGAAGGGTCTTATCACCAAAAAGCTGTTTTGTGAAATATACTATTAGCACTAAGATGGACCACATAGGACAAGAGTAAGGAGCAATGATCTGAGAGATCCAGGGATTAACCACTAGGCTAAGAAAGGAAGATGAGAGGCCTCGCTTACCTGCATTCCTTGGCCAGCAGGCGCTCCCAGTACTGACAGTCTGCTGCACAGCCAGACATGGTGCCAAGCAGGTAAGGGTTAATCTCAATCACCTTGTTCACCCGTAAGGCACCTGGAAGAAGATGGAGCTTTGGGAGAGAAGGGATGACCCCATAGATCCCCCAGTGTGTCCTAAATCAATATCCACTTCCACTTTGTTGCAGAGTTGGCCTCCTGTGGAAAGGAGAGCCCAGCTCCCCAGATTCTGCCTGCTGGAGCGTATACACTCACTAATGTAGGACCCAGCTGAGGCCCGAGAATCCACTGCTGCAATCACTCCATGCTGGAACTTGAAGGCGAGCGTGGTGGTGCCATGGGCCATCTCAATCTGAACGTTCCTTTCTCCGTCCCCACCCAGGGACTGGAAGAATTCTGTGGGCTGATAAGAGAAAAGAGGTTGAGAAAGGCAATGAAAAATTCTGTAGTAAGAGGCTCCAGGAAAAGGTTTTAGGGAGTATGAGGGTGAGGAGATATGCAGAAATGATCTAACCATCAATAAATGAAACAGTTAATAACCAATCTCTAGAAGGAAATGGCTTGGGAGAAGGAAAAGAAGAGGCATGCCAGTATCAACCTTTTCCATTTTCCAGCACAACAGAAATGAAAGCAAGCACATGTTACCATTACTAAAAAATTTTGAGAGTGACTTAAAGGGTTTCTTCCATGCATAAAGCATTCAACCCTCACAAAACACGTTTAGTAACAGTATCCTCACTTTACAGAAGAGGGGCTTGGGACCTAGACTAAGTGACTTGTTCTAAGTCGCGCAACAGTGAGTTGCTGAGAGGAGGCCAGCAGGCAAATTTCATAGGTTTCCCAAGACACCACACACCTCCTATATCATGTGATAACCCCATGAAAAAGGCTCCACCATTTGTGTGTGGACAAGGGCAGGAAAGTTCTCTTGTCTTCCTTTGGGAGCCCCCACCTCACCTGTAACTCTTTGTCCTAACTTGCACTTCCTCCTCTCAGGCCCCATCCCCATGTGGCCTCTTCTTTGGGTCTGGCGCTCTCCGGGACTGAAGGCTACCCCCGACCCTGTACCCCGCGCTCCCGCTCTCGCCTCCTCCTCTCAGGCGACCCTCCACTCCTCAGCGCCCGCCTCCCTGCATCCCTAGGGGCTTCCCTACTGCCCCGACCTGCATTCCCCGGGGTAAAGCGAGCTCTGGAGATCGCATAGAGAAACTGTAGTGTCCTGGGTCCGAGCGACGCCCGCTTCCCGCAACCGGGAGAGCCGATTCCGGCCGCTGCCCTCGGGGGGCTCCGCATACATCTAGTAGCGCCATGACCGCCCAGCACCCAGAGATCTGTCCGCTCTCGGAGGAGGAAGTGAAAGCGAAAGCCACAGATCGAAGGGGAGGGAACAAGACTCTTTTCCACATCCCCCTGCCTTTTCCGAGAAAAGGACAGTTAGTGCCTGGACCAGGACCATCACACTGGGGACCGGCTTCTCTGCTCTCCCGTTATGGGGGTCGGGGGAATGATGGGTCAAGGGTCTTCCGAAGAAAGCGAGAAAGGAACAGGCGCCTTCAAAAGCCCACTTGGCGATGGGTTACAGTAAGAGGTACCTCCAGGCCCGGGCATCCGCTGGAAACAGGGGTGGGTAGGGTCGTGTCATCTAAAGGCGCAGCTTCAACCAGAAGACTAGAAGTCAGCCAGGAGCTGGGAGTAGTGTCACGCGGGGTGGGGGTTCCTATGAGCATCACTTTACAAAACCAGGAGGGACGGAAGTGCGAGGGGGCAGAGTCTTGGAAACAGGTCCTGGGCCAACTGCAACAGAATATACCCGCCGCGTGTAGGGGAAGGCGGCGCCAGGGAGAGGGCGCAGTCTCTGAATCTTTCCACGGGGTCCATCCTAGGGCCCCTCCAGGTTCAACGGTCTCCTAACCTGTAGTCACCCACAAGAGCGTGCCCTTTCTGCCCGCCCTTCCTAGCGTTGCTCCCTGCTTGGCTGAGCACTGCGGAGTTTCACGCCTCTAAACCCCGCCTCTTCTTGCAACCTGTGTTGGCCTCATCTACCCAGCAACTGTCGACGTCACACGACCTGGGCCTCCCTGAATGGGAGATATTTACTAGGCAATCCCGCCTACTGTTCTGAGGTTTCCCCTCCAGGTGCAGCTTCAGAGCCAGGCGAGCCAGGAAGGACCAGCGGGCGAGGTGGTGAGTTGTGAGGCGCGCCCAGTCCCTCTGTTCCCGCCTGGCACTTGCTCTGGCCGCGCCCGCCCCATCTGCCACTTCGGAGAGGCCACGGCTCTGAGCTGCGGCCGCTAGTGCCCTGATGGGCCCTGTGGCTGGGGTCTTGCACATTCTTGGGGGTGGGCCTAAGGGGATAGGGGAAGTGGAAGGGGCCTCATAGGAATTAAAAAGCTTAAGGGAAAAGGTGATGCAGTTAGGGGGTAAAACATTGAGGATGATAAAAGAGGAGACATCCGCAGCTGAAAAGTGCGCTGCAAAAGGCAGTGGGCCGTTTGGTGTGCCGGAAACATAAGAAACCACAGTACAAAACACCAATTTTATTATAAATATCAAGAACCTACAGGGTGTTTATGGGCCAGCATATGCCTTCAGTTATGTTGAAAATAGCTGATCATCTTTCCGTACATTCTGAACATTTCTCAGTTTCAGAGTGCTGGCCACACCAAAGCATCAGCCCTGGCTCTAAACTCCGTTACAGTAAGGAATTACAAATCCTGTGTTTGTACTCCAGGAAGTCTGCATTATCACGAGGAGCTTGGAAAGGAGGTAACACACTCAAGGCAAATTTCAAGTAACTCATCCTGGAGGCAGCTGCCTACTCTGCAGCTGTGGTTCTCCACCACAGAGAGAAGAAAAGGGAGGGAGATGGAGTGCGCAGGTCTGAGAAGGCTTTCATTCTGGAGCATCTGCAGGAGCCTGCACCATGGCCCAGTAGCACCCCTTTTTCTCCATGAGCTGCTGGTGGGTTCCCCCCTCCCGGATAGCGCCTCCTTCCAGAAAGAGGATGTGGTCAGCCTGCTCCACCAGGCTGAGGTGCTGGGTGATGAGAAGCACTGAGCGGGAGTACCGCTCAGGGCTTTCGTACAGGAGCTGCTCCACCTGAGGAAAGACATCGGACCGTCAGAGCCGGGGACTACCCTCAGCCCAGGGAGACACCTGTGTTTCCAGGGCTGGGACTGACCTCACAGGATCACTGCTGGCTCTGCTAACAACCCCAAGGACACCAACGTTTCCCATTCTGAGTACTTCTCCGCAAACCCTTTGTTTCATTAAGGACTGTTTTACATGAAGGGTGCAAAAGTAGGATAAAAATGAGAACCCTAGGGTGAAACACGTGACAGAAGAATAAAGACTATTGAATAGTCCTCTTCTCTACCCATGGACTTGGCATTTTTATATTCGATTTTAAGGAAATATAACTTAGTAGTAAAGAGATGAGCATTCAAGTCAGGCAGACCTGAATTTGGGTCAAGGCTGCGCCACTCAAAAGCTATATGACCTCTATATGAGCAGCTTATTCAACCTCTTTTAACCTCCATTTTGTCATCTGTAGAATGATGATAAATGCCTAGCTCAGAAGGATTCCTAATGAATAAATGAGTGACAGTGCATGTAAACAGACTAGCTTAATTAATATTAATATGATTAGGATGGGCTGGGCCCGGTGGCTCATGCCTATAATCCTAGCACTTTGGGAGGTCAAGGAGGGAGGATCACTTGGGCCCAGGAGTTCAAGGCCAGCCTGGGCAACATAGCGGGACGCTGTCTGTACAAAAAATAATTTTTTTAAATAAACGATATTATGAGGATGGTCTTTTCCTTATGTTTCGCTTTAGAAATTCAGTCTATAGGACTGGGCGCAGTGGCTCACACCTATAACCCCAGCCCTTTGGGAGGCTGAGGGGGGCAGATTACCTGAGCTCAGGAATTCAAGGCCAGCCTGGGCAACATGGTGAAACCCATCTCTACTAAAAATATAAAAGTCAACCAGGCATAGTGGTGTACACCTGTAGTCCCAGCTACTCGGGAGGCTGAGGGGAGAATCGCTTGAGCCCAGCAGGTTGAAGCTGCAGTGAGCCAAGATTGTGCCACTGCGCTCCAGCCTGGGCAACTGAGTGAGACACTGTCTTAAAAAAAAAAAAGGAAAGAAAGAAAGAAATTCAGTCTGTAGTTTGTAGATAGTCTCTTTTAACTGATTCTAGGTGTCTTTGCCTCGTCTTCTATCTCTACTCCTTGGGGAGGCATCCAATGGAACTGGATTTGGGAACTGAGAACTGCAAGGACTGGTTTGTATAATTATGATGTTAGTAAAACTAACAGAAGATGTATAAAAGAAGCAAGATTGGGTGGGATATAGCCATTAAGAAGATGACTGCCTCACCTGTAACTGGCTGTTTGCATCCAGGGCACTGGTGGCATCATCCAGGATAAGTACACACGGTTTCCGGATCAATGCTCGGGCCAACGCCACTGCCTGTCGCTGACCCCCTGACAGCTGGCTCCCAGCCTCGTCTACCTCTGCAGAGCAAAGGGCCAAGATGAGAACGGTATAGCCACATGTGTGCACGCATGTACATGCACACAGACACACTCATGCATTCACGCACTCACACACACCAAGATCTGACGGTTGTAGCTGGATAGGGGAGATTCTGGGAAGATGAACAGAATCCTGAGGATGTCAGGATGAAGAAGCCATAGGAGCATGATCTTACAACTTCAAATTGATGTCCATGAGTAAGGAGGAACTGAAGGATAAAGGCAAGACTACTGGGGTTTCAGCAAAGGTAAAGATGGCTGGGTGGTGAGATGAGTGGAGAGAGTACCTGTGTCATAGCCCTGAGGGAGTCCAGAGATGAAACTATGGGCCCCAGACTTTACTGCAGCAGCTGTGATTTCCTCCATAGTTGGCTTCTGGGTCAGGCCATAGGCAATATTTTCTTGAAGACTTCTTCCAAATACCTGTGGCTCTTGTCCCACTGCAGCCACCTGAGATGAAATATGATGAAGAGTCATAGAACAAGGCACATGGGAGTATGGTTATCTAGAGATCGAAGACTCAAAATCTTTATTGAGAACATGTCACAAAATCATACTACCTCCCTCCTGACTACACCACCATCTCCACCCAAGGTCTCTTATCATTCCCTAACCCCTCTTTCAGAGTGCTCAGTAAGAATGCTCTTCGTATTTGATGCTCCCTGCCCTCCTTCAAGCCACCTGCTTCCATACCTGCCTGTGCAGGTAGCGGTGCTCATATTGGGGAAGGGGCTTCCCATCCAACAGCAGCTGTCCCCCGGTGGGCTGGTACAGATTCTGCAGCAGGGCAGCCACTGTGCTCTTCCCAGACCCATTGGGTCCCACCAGCGCCGTCACCTCGCCAGGGCGTAGGGTGAATGTCAGCCCCTAGAGGCCAGAGAAGCACACGATAAGAGGCTACCAAGGCCTCTAACCTTGAGAGTGTCATTGCCTTGTTACATAGCATGATGTCTTACCCCAGAAGAAAAACAGGGAAATATAGAAACTCCTACCCTCCCACATGCACAGATTTCTGGGTGATGCCTCCCCAAGGAGTAGAGATAGAAGAAGCGGCAAAGACAAGGGCAGAGACCCAGCACCACTATGCCACACACTTGATGTCAGATACCACCAGGAAAGGGAAAAATCACATTCCAAATTACAAAGGAAAAGGAAAGATGGAAGACCGAAGACACAGATTTTGCTGCAGCAATTCCTTGGAACGTGAGAGCACTCTCTTCGAAACCTCTTCTCTCATTCTCTTTGGAAGCCCAAACTGGGTTCTTGAGTTTGGGGAAGATTTATGGAACAGATGATGCCTACCATTGCCTTTAAAGGGTTAGGGAGGATATATGCTTGGCAGTAAGCAGGCTGAAGGCAGGAAGAAAATTTAGGATGGCAGAATTGCAGTTGGGGCCAGTGGAATACAGGGAGTGGTAGGTTGTACCTGTAGCACTAAGACATCTGGGCGGTTTGGGTAGGCAAAGGAGACATCTTGGAACTGGACAAGGCCCTCCAAGTGTAAGGGAGTCAACAGACCACTGGGTGGGCAGCGAGGGGTGCGGTCCAGGTACTCAAATATTTTCTCTGAGGAGCCCACAGCCTTCTGTACTCTGGGGTAGATGGAGAGCAGTACCTAGAGGGAGGTAAGAATAGTGAAAGTGAGGTAGTCTGCTTGCCAGCATTATGTGAAGCAAGAAGGGTAAAGAATGGAAGGACATCACACAGATGGTGCTGGGCCAGAGGAAGGAATCACACTGGGGAGTGAAGGTGGAGGGACCTCACCTCCACAGCCTGGGTGAACTGCATCTGGTAGAGAACAAATGTGACAAGGTTCCCACTGCTTACAGCCCCACTGGTCACCAGCTGCCCACCAATGTAGAGGATTCCCACTTTCAGCAGCATACCTGAAATCTATAAAGAGACCACAAAAAAAGGGACTGAGGTAGAGAAATCTGGAGGGGACACAAAGAACCGCAGTCATTAACCTGAAGGAAATATCAAGTCCCTGTCTCCTAAGTGACATCGGCAGGCTCAATAGGCAGACAGGAGAATGAACCAGAGACCCCATGGAGTCTGACTCAATGCACATCATGCAAGTCACAGTTATCTTCACCACCATCACCACTATCACCTTGTCTGGGGAGCATTTTACTCTTCACAAAAGGCTTTCATTCATGTGATGTCAGCTAATACATGAAGAGCCTTATAAAGAAGGTTATATCACTCCATTTTTGAAAAATGAGGAAACAACCAGTCGGGCGCAGTGGCTCATGCCTGCAATTCCAGCACTTTGGGAGGCCGAAGTGGGCGGATCACAAGGTCAGGAGATTGAGACCATCCTGGCTAACACGGAGAAACCTCGTCTCTACTAAAAATACAAAAAAAAAAAAAAAATTAGCCGGGCGTGGTGGCGGGTGCCTGTAGTCCCAGCTACTCAGGAGGCTGAGGCGGGAGAACGGCGTGAACCCGGGAGGCGGAGCTTGCAGTGAGCCCAGATCGCGCCACTGCACTCCAGCCTGGGCGACAAAGCGAGACTCCAGCTCAAAAATAATAATAATAAGTAAAAATAAACAAACAAACAAACAAATAAATAAATAAAGAGGAAACAGTCTCAGAGAAGGTAAATTTGTTGTCATGATCACAAGACAAGTAAATTGCATCATCAAGCCAGGATCTTCGGATCACTGGCGTAGCTCTCTTTCCAGTGCATCACAGATGTCCCTCATCCCTGGCTTCCACTATTCCCATCACTCTCACTAACAAATCTACAAGGTACCAGCATGAAGCAGTCCCAGGTGCAAGAATTTATGGCGCCCTGCACTTCCCCTGAGAGGCAAAGGAAGGCCCTAGGACTGGAAGACACGCATCTCTCCAATCCACATGGTTGGGTGGATTTTATGTACCATACTGAAAGGAAGCCACCTAGCATCTTTAAAGAGAGGGA
Organism: Homo sapiens; assembly: GCF_000001405.40. NCBI lineage: Eukaryota > Metazoa > Chordata > Mammalia > Primates > Hominidae > Homo > Homo sapiens. Next base: position 32,850,152 of record NC_000006.12, read on the forward strand.
GGGGGCTAGGGACACTGAGTAGAGTCATTGAGCCTCAGGTTGCTAGGACGAAAATACTGAACCAACCATTTCCCAGTAAAGGAGGAGTGGGAGCAGGGTCATAGGAATGGGAATGGAGTCACGGCATCTTAAGGACAAGGGAATGGGTATTCATCTTCAGGTGCTCACACTAGTGGTCCAGGAGTTGACTGCATAGGCCACAGCCTCCTTCTGGTTGAGTGTCTTTATTTCTTGCAGCTTTTCCCTAAACTTCTGGGCTTCGCCCTCCTCGTTGGCAAAGCTTCGAACTGTAGGCATGGCCGACAGAGCCTCAATGGCCACCTGGCTGGACTTTGCCAGAGATTCCCGCACCTGCACTTCCAGCAACTGTGGATACATGGACAAGAGATGTCACACGGGTTGGCAAACCATCAGGGACACTAATACCTGAGTTACCTATTTGGAAATTAAAGGTGAGAAGAGACAGAGGAAAAGGAGAAAAGAGAAAGAGACACAGCTATGCCCCTTGGATGCTAAAGAAATACGAGGAAGAGGAAAATGACTCAGAACGGGTTGGGGATCAAATTCTTAAAGACAGATTGTGGGGAGAAGCTAGAAAAGAAGACCCAGAGAGTATGGAGGTTAATGTTGAGCAACCTGGGAACATGGACCACAGGGACAGGGTGTTCCATGAAGATGGAGAATCAGTAAGGGTGCCAGGAAAGCTGGACTGAAAGCAATGTGAGAGGAACTGAGTCTGCCAAGTCTGGGAGATGAGGGTCTGTGTAGAGCGGGCCAACTCCATGAACATACCTGGTACCATTTTCCCACCTTCTTGGGCAGAAGGAAAAGCAGAGGCAGGGTGATCAGGGTGACCATGGTGAGGGACACTGATCCCCAGAGCATGATCCCCAAGAGACATAGGCCTCGCACCAGGTACCACAGAAATAAGCTCAGATTCTCACTCAGAGAATCACTCAGGGTGGACGTGTCCTCTGTTACCCGAGACATGATGTTACCTGCAGGGTTGGGGAGAAGAGAGTGAGGTGAATCAGACAGGTTCCAAGTGATGAGACGAACTAACAATGAGCCAGGATGCCAGGGTCAGGGGTGTCAACATGGGGTTCTAAGGAGGCTGCAGGAAACAAGGTTAGGGTTCTCCAGAGGTCTGCAAATCTCAGTGCAGGGAAGATGAGTGTTAAAGAGGAAAGGCCTGACCTTCATTTTAATTATAAAGTCATTAATGCACATGTGAATTTCCATTTTCCTGAAAGCTTTCTGTTCCCTAGAGAACCTGTATGTCCCATGCTATACACACAGGCAGGAAGAGCTTAAACTGGTCACATAACAGAGATGGAGGAGGAGGGTGCTGCTAGGAAGCATGCCAAAGTCTGTGGAGCACTCACTGGGACTAGGGTTCTAACCCCAGGTCTATCTCTAGCCATATGTAACTGTACAGCTTCTAGTGCTGCTAGAAAGCATGCCGAAGTCTGTGGAGCACTCAAGAGACCAGGGTTCTAACCCCAAGTGTGTCTCTAGCCATATGTAACTGTGCAGTTTCAGCATTTAGGGTCTTGGCCTCAGTTTCCTTCTCTGTCAGATGAGGCAGTTGGTCTCTATGAGCTCAAAATTTCCAGGTTTGAAATTCTATGGTTTCTATCTAAGGATACATAGGAATAGATTTATAAGAAAATGCTAGATGAAAACTCTAGGTTTTTCTTAAGGTAAGGAGGACAATATTTTGCTCCTGAGGTATATCAAGAATGAGAAAAACAATTGTGTGTGTGTGTGTGTGAGAGAGAGAGAGAGAGAGACAGAGACAGAGAGAGAGAGACAGGGAGAGGGTATATCAAGAATGAGAAGGAACAATGTGTGTATGTGTGTGTGAGAGAGAGAGAGCGGGGAGGGGGGAGATCAAAGCAGATGTATGAGGATATGAACAGTACATGGCGTATAATGAAAGAGTTTCAGGAGAAACCTGTCTGGTTCTGTTGGAAAAACTCCGTCTCCTGGCGCAGGACAGCCCCAAACACCTCTCCCTGCAAGTGGCTGTGCACGTGGCCCATGGTGTTGTTATAGATCCCGTCACCCACGAACTCCAGCACTGCACTATAAAGAACCCGGAAAAAAAGGGGATCAGGGTGTGTTCAGGGAACAGACTGAAGGTCCCAGGTATCCCCATATAAGTGCATTTCGGACAGCAGCCCCAACTTCCAACTCCCTCATTTGCAGGGTGCCCCATTTTCAGCCCCCAGACCTGGCTATGGTGAGAATGGACATGAGAGTTAAGTTTCGAGTGAAGGTATCGGCTGAGCCATCTTGTAGAATCCAGTCAGTGAGGCGGCCCGTAAAGAATGGAATGGCCATCTCCCCTGGAGAAAGAGAAGAGAGGTCACGCACAAATATTAAGTCTAAGTAGGTCAGTTCCAGTCAGACTGGCCCCACCACGCCTCCTCCCCCTCACCATTATCCTGGAGGGCATCAGCAGAAAGGAAACACTGACGTCTCAATCCCGAACCTAAATAGGCTGCCCTGGAACTCACTACCCTGTGGTTGCTCTACCAGAACTTTCAGGATTTTATTAGGAAGGCTGGAGATCATGAAGTAGAAAAGCCTCCTGTTAGAGATGAGGATGCCCCGCCCTTCGGCCCCAGAGCAAAGGATTTCCCCGCTTCCGGCGTGGCCCAAAGAATCAAGACCCGGTCAGCAATGGAGCCCAGAACCTCTGGCCCCCGCCAGTCCAGTGCCGTTTCTTCTACACCGAAGTGGTGTTCCAAGACCCACGCTAGGAGTCCTTCTCCTGCTCCACATTTCCCAGAACCCACGCTACTCTACCTTACTGACAATTACCTTTGATTCCTGTCCCAGTCCCCTTGTGTCCTCCCCTCTTGCCCTGCGTTCCCCTTACCAAGAGAGGAGAGGACCACCAGGACCAGGAACAGCGAGAGGCGGCGCGTCTCCGAGCCCAGGCAGCCTAGAAGCCGACGCACAGGGTTTCCAGAGCCGCCCTGACCGCCGGGCACCCAGAGGCTCCCGAGTTTGTGCCACAGGGCTGCTGCGGGCAGTGCCGCTGCATAACTGACAACGAAGGCGGTAGGGTGACTTCCCCAGTGCAGTAGCCTGGTGCTATCCGCGGACCCGGGGGCTCCCCATGAGATCAGCTCTCGGAACAAGGCAAGTCCCGGCAGGGCCAAGCCCAGTGCCGCAGCTAATGGCTTCAAAGCAGCCAGCCAGCCCTGGGCACCTGCGTTTTCGCTCTTGGAGCCAACCGTTGCCCTGAGGACCCCGCAGGCCCCCAGCCAGAGCACGGCCCAGCGGCTCAGGCCCACCGCCCAGACCCGGAGCAGTGGCAGCGCGGTGGGCACCAGCAGGGAGAATATGCGGGGCAGCGCGGTCCGGAGCAGCACCCAGTCGGCGAGAAGTAGCAGTACTGTCCCCAGCCATGCGAGAGAAGCTCCGGGGAGGCAGCGGCACCCGCGGGGAGCGGGACACCTAGAGCTAGCCATTGGCACTCGGACGCCGTCCCGGTCCCGGCCGGGCCTGGGACTCTCCGCGCCCCGGTGGGGCCTGAAGCTCCGGGTACCGCCGAGTCCTCCCCTACTGGCGGCTGGGGGAGGGAACGAGGGCGGGGCTCTCGGAAAGTCCCAGGAACAGGCTGATCCTGCGCTGGCGAGAAGCTCAGCCATTTAGGGGAAAGCGAAATCGAAAGCGGCCGCCTGCTCACTAGATAACGCCTACTTCCAAAAGTGGCCTGCCCAGACTATTTTGGTAGCAAGCGTGGAAATCAGATCTGAGAATCTCGGGAGCAGCCCTGGTGCCCAATTTTCTCCATCACGCACACCCTTCTCGCCTCTCCCTGCCTCCTGCCTTTCCACTTGCACCAGTTTTCCCACCCCAGCCTCAGGGCGGGGCTGCCTCGTCACTTGTCTCGGGGCAGATCTGCCCTACACACGTTAGCGCCGCGCGCAAAGCAGCCCCGCAGCACCCAGGCGCCTCCTGGCGGCGCCGCGAAGGGGCGGGGCTGTCGGCTGCGCGTTGTGCGCTGTCCCAGGTTGGAAACCAGTGCCCCAGGCGGCGAGGAGAGCGGTGCCTTGCAGGGATGCTGCGGGCGGGAGCACCAACCGGGGACTTACCCCGGGCGGGAGAAGTCCACACCGGGGTAATGGGTCTGGGCTTGAGGGTTGGCAGAGGGGTGGAGGAGATGCAGCGGCCAGGGGACCCTGGAAGCGCGCGCGGAGAAGTGAATGCAGAGACCAACGGGAGCGCAGGGAGGTCGCCTGTAGCAGCCAGCGCTTGCAACCCGCAATGAGCATAGAGTATTTCTTTTCTGAGGGGGGTCGTCTAGAGTGTCCGTGAAGGGAACAGGCACGCGAGGCTGGTGGAAAAAGCGGGTGCTTTGACTCTTAGCTGGAAGCGTCAACGGGAAGCTACTCTAAAGCGCTTTCGCTTTCACTCTGGTCCCGGACAGTGGGGGCTGGTTAAATCAAGAAAGGGGGTTGGGGATGGTGCAAAGAGATGAGGAAATGGTGCCCTGGGTGAAGTAGAACAGCACTTGGGAGAAGGAAATATAGGCACTTATTGAGAAGGACCAACTCATCACACAGACTTTTGATAAACTTGCCACTGGGCAACTCTTAGCCCAAGCACTGATAATGGGCGTTCTGTGTTAACTAGTGATGCCCTTCCCTAGCTTGACCCAGGAAGGCCTCTCCTTGGCCCAGATGCTGCCTTACTCCCTTCCCTGTGTCTTCCCTGCCCACTCCCATGTGCCCACTGGGGGGACTTTGCTTAGGATGGGCGCCTGGGGCAGATGGCAGCCCCAAGACTGGCTGGCTGGCTTCTGCTCTGGACTACTGCCACCACTCGTGGCTTGGGGGCGGCTTTGTTAGAGAGGAATAGCCTCTAACTTGAAGTTAACCCTGTTCTTTGACCCTCTATTCATGATAAGTCGGTCCGTCGGAAAGCATACTCAGAGGAGCGTCCTTTGGGGCCAGAGTAACTTACGGCCTGGTAAGAAAGACACAGTGAAACCACTTATAATTTGGGAAATCTCCCCTCACTGCCAAATGAGCAGTGGCAAGTAGGAAGTAGAAGTGGAAACAAGGGATAAGAGTTAGACCTGAATTTTAGTCCCAGGTCTACTATTAACTCTGTGTGACTTTGCATAAGTCGTTTGCATTTTCTGTGACTTGGTTTCCTCATTTGAACCGAGGATCTTTAAGGCTCCTTCCAACTCAATAGTAGAATAAATGTAGCTTTATCTTCCCTCACTTCTTCTTGATTCTTTTCTTGACCTGGAAAAGTCAGCTTAAACTTCTCAGTCAAATTATCTCTTGGTACAAATTTACCTCCCTGGCTGCTGAGATATGTATTTACCTCTTGATCGGAAATTCCATAACTGAAACTTTTATTTTCAACCATCTGTATGTGTTCCTTGCTGCTTCTCTCCTGCCTTGCCCCTGGCCATGCTAACCACTGCCCTCCTCGATTTTTTCCAATGTTCAGTAAATTGGAAGAGCTCACTTCTGATGAAATGGGGGGTGAGAGTGGAGGATTGTGGACCAAAAAAAAAAAAATAGACTGACCTTGTTTCCCAAGATCATAGTCAATTACTCTGTGTTGGGTCTACACCACATCTGCACATACTATGAGCCCTTCCGTTGGAGATAATTTTCACTTGCGGAGCTGCTTCACTTCTACCTGTAGGAGCCTCATCTCCACCTCTCTACAGTGGAGAGGATTCCACTAGGCAAGTTGGAACTTAGGGACACAGTTCTTTCTGTGTTGTATCACAGCTGGGCTGTGGCATTCCCCTGCAGCCGGATGAAGCAATAGAGAAAGTGGAAAGATGAAGGGAAAAAAAGCCTGTACTGACAGTCAGCTCTGGCCTGTTACTGTGTAATCTTTGAGCCAGTCACTTCGCCTCTCTGGGAATGTTTCTTCTTCTCTAACATGAGGGCATCAAGGCTGTTCTTGCCCTGACATTCCATATTCTGTGTCTCTGCAGACCACCATCATGGCAGTGGAGTTTGACGGGGGCGTTGTGATGGGTTCTGATTCCCGAGTGTCTGCAGGGTGAGTAAAAGTGAAGATGTATGCATTTGGAAAGAAGCTAATGGCCTCAAATACACACTTTCCTTACCCATTCATGAAAAGACTGGCAAACTGGAGCCTTGGAGGAATGGAGTTGACCTTCCCCAAAAGCCACTATGATAAGCTATTTGGTGGGTGCTTGGGTCTCTGAATTTGTGGAGGAGGATCTGGGGTCTGAATGTGTATGTGACCTGTCCCAGTAGTGTACAGGGATGAGTAAAGGAATAGGGTCTGAGAGGGGGACAGGAGATAGATTTTTGAGGGTCTTCTTTCCATCTGTGCTTAGGGATCAAAAAGATGATTCTGTCAAGCAGATACCTGGTTTCTCATTTACCATATATTGAACTATTTTGTCTCTTCTCCCACTCCTAACCAATTTCCTCACATGCAAAATGAGTATATGGGGTTAGGTCAATATTACTGACATTATGTTCCATAGAACATAACTCTCTCAAGATTGTTAATAGCAAAGAAAATTGATGAGGCATATTTTTCTTACCTTAGCATTTTTTGCTTTGTTATAAAATCTAAGCCTGAAAAATAAGCCTAATTTTGATTAACATCTGCAGTGATTAATAATATCTGAGATGATTATTTGCCTCCTGCTTTAATCCAAGCATTAAACTTCATGCTATTCTCTTGTCAAAGAAATTTGAGAGACATTGAATGATCACCCTCAAAAATTCCTGAGTTCTGGTTGGGTGCAGTGGCTCACATCTATAATCTCAGCACTTTGGGATGCCGAGGTGGGCAGATATTTGAGGTCAGGAGTTTGAGACCAGCCTGGCCAACATGTTGGGACCTTGTCTCTACTGAAAATACAAACATTAGCTGGGCTTGGTGGTGGGTGCCTGTAATCCCAGCTATTCGGGAGGCTGAGGCAGGAGAATCACTTGAACCAGGGAGGCGAAGTTTGCAGTGAGCCCAAGATTGATCCACTGCACTCCAGCCTGGGTGACAGAGTGAGACTGTCTCAAAAAAAAAAAAAAAAAAAAAAACCTGAGTTTTAACTTGGTGACTGTTGACTCCCTCCTGACAGCGAGGCGGTGGTGAACCGAGTGTTTGACAAGCTGTCCCCGCTGCACGAGCGCATCTACTGTGCACTCTCTGGTTCAGCTGCTGATGCCCAAGCCGTGGCCGACATGGCCGCCTACCAGCTGGAGCTCCATGGGTATGAAGCTCTGGAGTTCTGACTCCCCACCCACTAGAGCTCCCCCAACCTGCATGAATCCCTGTACAGTGTGCTGTTCCAGGAGCTGGACACTGGGAAATGGAAAAGTCTTGTTTCGGCTCTTGCTGGCACTTGAATCTGTCAGTTTCTGCATCTGTAAAGTGGAGATAATATAGTACCTCATGAGACGGTTATTTTGAGAACCACATTCTATATGTGAACACAGTTTAAAAGCTGTAAATCACTATCCTGATATAAATAATCAGGAAGAAGGTGATATTGTGACCCACCATAATATCAGGCAGTTACCATACGAGAAATCAAGGTCGTTGGGACGGAAGTAACCTTATCTGCTTTTCCCCATAAGAGCAGGGTCCTTGCAGCCAAAAGAAAGTTATGTGGGTGGGGCTGAGCAAAAGAGTGAGCAATTGAAAGCTTCTTACCAGTTGGTGGTGTGGGACTCTGGTTCCCCTGTACATGTGGGAGGGAGGCTGCAGTTTGAGCTATTGCAGTTACAGTTTTCAGGGGTCGTTTAGCAGGGATGATGGTAACAGTATAGGAGAATGAGACTTAAAATTCTATCAACCTTTATTCCTAATATTTCCCTCAGGATAGAACTGGAGGAACCTCCACTTGTTTTGGCTGCTGCAAATGTGGTGAGAAATATCAGCTATAAATATCGAGAGGACTTGTCTGCACATCTCATGGTAGCTGGCTGGGACCAACGTGAAGGAGGTCAGGTGAGTTTCTCCCAAAGCACTCTCTCCTCTGGGCTTCCCCACTCTCCTGCAGAGGAAGATGGAAGTCCTATGTCATTCTAGCAATGAGTTCCAAGGACACTACCTCTGAAAGCATAGTACTTTGGGGATATGAGATACCAGGGCTTCATTGCAGGGTGCAGAGACCACTTAATGTCTCAGTGGGAAGGAAGGGCTTGATGATTCTTTAACCTGAGGATCCCTTTCCCAGGTATATGGAACCCTGGGAGGAATGCTGACTCGACAGCCTTTTGCCATTGGTGGCTCCGGCAGCACCTTTATCTATGGTTATGTGGATGCAGCATATAAGCCAGGCATGTCTCCCGAGGAGTGCAGGCGCTTCACCACAGACGGTAACCAGCCAAGTGGAAGGGTACCTGGGGAGGGCTTTGAAACATGGGAAGGAAGTAGATTATGAGGAACAGGAAGAGAAATACAGGGGTGGCCATTTAAGTTAATGCCGGGCCTGGTACACTTTTAAGAGTGAAAAGGGGCAGGACAAATGCAAAGCTCAATGGGGTTCTTGGGCAATACGGATAAACCAGGGCTGTTCTGAGTAAATCAAATGAGGATACACAGTCACTGTGAGAACCAGTGGTGTGCTAAGCACAGTGGCTCACACCTGTAATGCCAACAATTTGGGAGGCTGAGGCAGGAGGATTACTTGAGCCCAGGAGTTTGAGGCCAGCCTAGGCAAGATGGTGAAACCCTGTCTCCACAAAAAACAATAAAAAAAAGTAAAAAAAAAAATGAACTGGGCATAGTGGTGCACACCTGTAGTCCCAGCTACTCAGGAGGCTGAGGTGGAAAGATCATCTGAGCCGGGGAGATCAAGGCTGTAGTGAGCGGTGATTGCACCACTGCGCTGCAGCCTAGGTGACAGAGAGAGACCCTGTCTGGAGAAAAAAAAAAAAAAAAAGAACCAGTGGTGTGCTGAGGTGTGCTGAGGCTGGCTTGGGACCACTCATGAGAGCGGACTGTTAAATAGTCAAGGATTTGTGAACTGCTTAGCTATTTGTAACTTGCAATTCATCATAGCGGGAGCATTTACACCACGGACATCAGCAGATGCCACATATGGAAGCCTTTTTGTAAAAAAACTGATTTACCAGCACACCACTAAATATGCCTTCCTGGAAGATGAGTTTTGAGGTGAAAGTGGTAGTAGGCATATGGATGGAGGGGGAGTAAAAAGATTTTTGAAGCTAAGCCATCCTCTCTCTCCCTCTCTCCAACTTGAAACCCTCTGCAGCTATTGCTCTGGCCATGAGCCGGGATGGCTCAAGCGGGGGTGTCATCTACCTGGTCACTATTACAGCTGCCGGTGTGGACCATCGAGTCATCTTGGGCAATGAACTGCCAAAATTCTATGATGAGTGAACCTTCCCCAGACTTCTCTTTCTTATTTTGTAATAAACTCTCTAGGGCCAAAACCTGGTATGGTCATTGGGAAATGAGTGCTCAGGGAGATGGAGCTTAGGGGAGGTGGGTGCTTCCCTCCTAGATGTCAGCATACACTCTTTCTTCTTTTGTCCCAGGTCTAAAACATCTTTCCTAGAGAAAACAAAAGGGACTAAACTAGAAATATAAAGAGCCCTATACATGACAGGTGATCACGTACTGAATGATTTTGAAGTAGTACAAACAATAAAAATTCTCATTCCGCATCATCATGCGGTCCATGATGATGAGGCCGCAAGTGAGGTGATGGGACTCTTTCCTTTAAGGCTAAGACTGACAGATAGGCAAGACACCTACACACATGAGAATTAGCTAAGACTATCAGCAAACTCGCATGTAAAAGAATTCCTTTCATAATGCATTCATTCATATTAAAGGGCAATACATGAAAAATGCTTAAATATTTTGGGGCACTTGTGAATTTCAAAGAATAATGACAATAACCAAAAGAAGCTACATTTGTGGCATTGGCTAAATGTTTTATAAATTTTATCTCTTAAAATTCAAACCAAAAAACCCCCTGTATTCACACCTGTAATCCCAGCACTTTGGGAGGTCAAGGCGGGAGGATTGCTTGAGCCCAGGAGTTAGTGACCAGCCTGGGCAACATAGTGAGAACCCCATCTCTACAAAAAAATTTAAAAATTAGTCGGGTGCGGTGGTGCATGCCTGTAGTCCCAGCTGCCTGGGAGGCTGAGTGGGAGGATCGCTTAGGCCTGGGAGTTTGAGGCTACAGTGAGCTGTGATTGCGCCACTGCACTCTAGCGTGGGTGACAGAGAAAGACCCTATCTTAAGAAAAAAAAAAGAAAAGAAAAAGAAAAAACAAACAAAAAAAACACCCAACCCTATATAGGTATTATTATTACTTCTATAGGACACATAGAGGTTTGGAAAGATTAAATCACTTGACCAAGGTCACAAAATAAGTTCTGAGGCTGGGATCTGGGATTCAGTCTTATTATATGCCCTTCCTCTACCACTCCCTAAAACTTCTCATTCCCTCAATCCCCATATATCATCTTAAAATCTGCAATAAATAGCCCCATACATTCGTTGGCACTTAGGAAACTGTTACCAGATGGCTGAGTAACTGTATTAAAACAAATTTAATTCTGCTTCTATCTTTGCCTTGCACTTCCTGAGTGACAGGAGTGAACTCTCATATCCTTTTCTGTCAAAAGATGGTGCTGAATGATTTCTAAGGTAGTTTACAGTTCCAACATTCAATGCCATTTTGCTAACAAGTGGGCAGTCAACAGGCATATTCAACAGAAATACTAGTAGGATCTCAGGCTAAACATACGAATTCAAAACTCTAAAACAATCACATCCCCCTGGAGTGTAAAGAAAAAAATCTAAAATTACAAATGCCTGGAGTTGTTTCTAGCCATGATATTTAACTTATTTGAGATTTTAAATAGCCCATTTTTCCCACTGATCACAAGTAGAAATTCTGGGCAGTATACAAAAAGCAAGTACTCAAGGACTCCAAAAAGTAAACAAAAGCAGGTGGATTGTGAAGAGGGTCAAAACTGGGAGAGGGGCCCCTCCTGGGGAGTGGGTTTTCAATGTTTTCCCCTTTTTTCCTCCCAGCTCTGCCCTGACGTCAGGCCTCAGGTGCAGAGCTGCACTGCGTGGTAGCACAAGCCCTGAGTTAACAAGAGAAATACCGGCTTTCTGGCCAGAGGAATGAAGAAAAAGGGCCCCTGCGGGCAGGAATGTGTAGGGGAATCTCCAAACTGAGAGTACAGGCGGAAATTCCCTAATTCTGAGTCTGAACCCTCAGGAGTACCAGGTTACCCCTGAGCTGCACATGCGTGTGACATGCCTTAAGGGCACAGCAAAGACTTTGAGAACTGAATGAAGATTAGATCTTTTAAAATTGGAAGACTTCGGCCAGGCGCGGTGGCTCGTGCCTGTAATTCCAGAACTTTGGGAGGCCAAGGCGGGTGGTTCACCTGAGGTCAGGAGTTCGTGACCAGTCTGGCCAACATGGTGAAACCTCATCTCTACTTAAAATACAAAAATTAGCTGGGCATGGTGCCTGTAATCCCAGCTACTCGGGAGGCTGAGGCAGGGAGAATCGCTTGAACCCGGGAGGCAAAGGTGGCAGTGAGCCAAGATTGCGCCATTGCACTCCACCTGGACGACAAGAGAGAAATTCCATCTCAAAAAAAAAAAAAAAAAAAAAAATTAGAAGACTTCATTTTTCTGTATTGGCCAAATAACTGTTCTAATGCCCTTCATTCCAATAAAAGGTTTGTAGCAGCTTACAGAGATAATTTAAAACAATTTTTAAAAGAAGAAAACAACACTGGGTCAGAGAGAAAATATGGTTAAGAAAAGTAAGTGAAGCCAAGGAGTGAAACTAATGGAAACTAATGGACAACGTGAATATCTTAAAAAAAAAAAAAAGTGGTGCGCTGTCTTATACTGGCTAGCAAGAGCAGATTGCAAAGTATTCAGGATTTTTGAAGACAGTTGTTAACTATTGGTAACTTGATATTGACCACTATGGAAGTATTTATACTATAGAAATCAGCAATGCTACAAGTCAGAAGCATTGTTTTTCTTCAGAGAGCCGGTTTAACAGGACACATATTTATCAGCCAACTATAAATGGATAAAAAATAATTGGCTCCAGGCCATAGGATAGTGAAAGCAAAGAAGGAAATAAAATGAGGTACAAGATTCATAAAATTCATTTTTTAAAAGTTGCCAGAAAACCAAAAATTATATATAATAGTTCAAGCCACACAGAACATTTACTCAAATAGGACATGCATCATTCCATAAAGGTAACGCCAATAAATTCCAGAGTATCGGTATCTTAGAAACTATCTATATTCTAGGCCAGGAGCAGTGGCTCATGCCTGTAATCCCAACATTTTGGGAGGTCAAGGTGGGCAGATCCCTAGAGCCCAGGAGTTTGAGACCAGCCTGGGCAACATGGCAAAACCCCGTCTCTACAAAAAATTTAGCTGGATGGGGTGCACCTGTAATCCCAACTAGTCAGAAGGCTAGACGGGAGGATCGCTTGAACCCAGGAGGCAGAGGTTGCAGTGAGCTGAGATTGTGCCACTGCCCTCCAGCCTGGGCAACAGAGTAAGACACTGTCTTAAAAAAAAAAAAAAAAAAAAAGAAAAAGAAAGAAAGAAACTATATTCTGCAACCATACTGTAATAAAATTAGAACTTGATAACTAAAATATACTTAAAATTGTAAGTGAACAAATATATTTATCAGTAACATGGATTTAAAAGGCAGTCGTGGATGGGAGCATCGCTGGAGTCCAGAAGATGGAGGCTGCAGTGAGGCATGATTGCGTCACTGCACTCCAGCCTCAGCAATAGAGTGGGACCCTGTGTCAAATAAATAAACAGCAGTTATAAAGAAAATTAACTCTTTTAGAACCAGGTGTTAAAAATGTTACACATAAAATATACATATAAAATAATATTATAATTTCAAATACATTTATTAGAACAAGAAAAGTTAAAATAAAGGACCTAGAAATTCTACTCAAAAATTTGGAAAAAGAGAAGTTGAGCAAACCTAAAGAAATACGAAGAAAAGGAGTTATAAAGATAAGAATAGAAAGCAATGAAACAGAAATAGAGAACAAAAAACTAGGTAGTGAAAATTAACATACTTTTGATTCCAAAAGCTGCTTACTTAAAAATATTTGTAAGATATTCAGAGTTACAACAAGGCCGATTATGGATAAAGGGAGAAAAAATGAATAAACAAATACATAATGAAAAAGGGGGAACAGCTACAGATATGACACAGATATAAAGCATAGAGTGTTATGAACAAGTATATGCTAATAAATTTGAAAACCTAGGTGAGATAAGCAAATTCCTAGAAACATTTAATCTATCAAAATTAGCACAAAAAGAAATACAAAACTTGACTATACCAATGAGTATTAAAGCAATTTTTAAAGTTATCAATGGCATCTAATAAAAAAATATATTTTTGAAAATGCCCAGATGGTTTCACAGATGAGTTCTATCAAACATTCAAGGAACATGAAACTTCTATATTATATACTTTTTCCAGAAAACAGAAAAAAACTAAACCTGATTAGCTAATTTTATCAGCCGAGTGTAATCTTGACTCCAAATTGAGTTGTGGAAAACTCAAGGAAAAAAAAATAATAGACCCATTTCACCTTGAACACAGATGGGAGAAAAAAATAATTATTTATGAACCGAATTCAACAATATTACAAATAATAATACTGGGAGGCCGAGGTGGGAGGATCGCCTGAGGCCAGGAGTTCAAGACCAGCATTGTCAACATACTGAGATCCTGTGAGATCCTGTCTCTACAAAAAATTAAAAAATTAGCCAGGTGTGATGGTGAGCACCTGTAGTCTCAGCTACTAGGGAGGCTGAGGCAGGAAGATCATTTGAGCCCAGGAGTTTGAGGCTGCAGTAAGCTATGATTGCACCACTGCATTTCGGCCTGTGCAACAGAGCAAGGCCCTGTCTCTAAAAATATGTATAATAATAACAATAATAATAATGATTATGCTAATAATGATACATCAAGATCAAATAGGGAATCCTTGGAATACTAGGGTGGTTCAATATAATAAAACATATTGTTGCTATAATTTACCATATTCATAGAAAAGTCATTTCCTTTGCTCAGTCTATTAATAAAAGACATTTGGTAAAGTATATCCATTTGTGATTTTTGAAAAACAGTTAAGGAAGCAGGAATCAAAACTTTCCTATTTTGGCAAAGGTTATAATCCAAAAAATCTGTAACCACTAGTATACATAACGGAAAAACCTTGGGTATCCAAGACAAGAATGTTCACTATAATTACTAGCTTATCATAGCACTAAAGCCTATGGGCAACATAACAAGACCCCATTTACCAAAAATAAATTTAAAACATTTTAATTAGCTGGCATGGTGGCATGCACCTGTAGTCCTACCTACTTGGGAGGCCAAGGCAGGAAGATTGCTTGAGCCCAGGAGTTTGAGCTTACTGTGAGCTGTGATCACACCACTGCACTCCAGCCTGGGTGACAAAGGAAGACCGTATTTCTAAAAAATAAAAAATACAAATACAACTACAAACTAGCACTAGACCAACAGTGACTATGTACCATGAACTGAGGAATATTATTAATTCCACCATTTGCATCTGAGGTTAACAATATGTCAATGACTTAAATAACATCATATCTCTGAGAGTAATTTCTCCTATATTTCCATGACAAATGTTAGATAATTTTCCATTTTTTCCATTCAATAAAATAAACAGGAAATATAATTAAAGAGTTCAATTGAGGATTGGGATTTAGAAAGGAAGGCAGGAATTAAGAATAATCCTTAGTTCTCTTCCTAATTTGCACCTCTCTCACTGATACACATGTATTATTTTCTTTTTATGTCTTTTAGAATCTAATAAACATGTTTTATATTATATAACAAACTAGAATATATGGATTATCTTTGGTCTTCCTTACCAAGTTCTTAACTCTGCTGGCTCTGGGGCACTGGACATACCATGTAAGAAGAAAAATGTTTTAACTCCATTGAACTTATTCAGAAGCATCGGAAATTGGTTCAGCAATATTCAACTTTGCCCAGCAATGTTTATGAAAGTTTCATATATAGTATAGTATAAGTATGTGTAATACAGAATTTATGTTCTCAAAAATGAAGAGATAAAGTATGGAGATTCTAAACTCTGTTGACATAGAAGAGGGTGGATTTCTCGAAGAAACAGCCTTCTATAGAAAGTGGCTTGTATGAGTCGGGATTCTCCAGAGAAGCAGAACCAATAGGATGTTGGCAGAGAGAGATTTATTTTAAGTAATTGGCTCATACTACTGTGGGAGCTGGCACGGTCGAAATCTGCAGGTAGGCTGGAGACCCAGGAAGAGCTGATGTTGCGGCTTGAGTCTGAAGGTGGTCCAGAGGCAGAATTCCCTCTTCCTTGGAGGACCTCAGTCTTTGCCCCTAAGACCTTCAACTGATTGGAAGGGCCACTTACATTATGGAGGGTAATCTGCTTTACCCAAAATCTATTGATTTAAATGTAAATCTCATCTAAAAAATACCTTCACTGCAATATCTAGACTGGTATTCAAATGTCTAGAAACCATAGCCTAGCCAAGTTAACACATAAAATTAACTATCACTTGGCTCAAGGTGAAACTTCCAGATCAATGTGGCAGGAGTGTTGAGGAAGGAAGTGAACTCGGTTCTAACCAAGTAGGACAGCCGAATCATCACTGAAGTGTGGCACTGGCCTTTCGCCAAGGTAACATGTGGCAAGGTTTTAGGTTAGGATAGGTACCAGGCAAAAGCTGGGTGACTCGATGGAGGCTTTTGTGCCAACCTTCAGAGACTGGCTGCGTCAGACTGCCCTCAAGAGCATACAAAGGAAAAAAAGACAAATTAAAAGCCTTTAATCCAAACTCAAGACATGAATGAAAAACTGTAAATGCCTCTATAGCAGTTTTAAAGGCTATCTTTTCTCCTGCAACCCAGCACAGATATGGCTGAGGGTCAAGCCCGGGGGCTTATGATAAAGGTTATGAAGTTGTAGAAATGTTTGTTGCATCATCCAACAGCAGCTGTTGTGATAAGGCAAGACCCCTGGTTGGGATAGACCGGACCCTGAGATATGAAATAGGGACATATGAGCAGACACAGAGAAGTCTGAGTGAGAACTATGAATCACCGCACCCCCTGAGGGTCCTTGCTGGAAGAAGCAGACTCACCGTATTAGTTACCTATTGCCATGTAATGAATGACACCCGCTTAAAATAACAGACATTTACTATAAGGTGTTACTGGGACAATAGGGGATTTTTTAATATGGATTGTGTGTTTGATAATATGGTATCAATTTTAAGTATCTTGGGGGTGATGACAGTATTAGGGTTTTGCAGGAGAAATGTCCTTATTCTTAAATTATACATGACAAAATATTTAGGGGTCAAGTGGCATAATTTCCACAGATTACTCTCAAATTGTTTAACAAAATGGTTCTTCAACAGTAAATGGATAAACAAAACGTAGTCTATTCGTGCAACACAGTACTATGTAAACAATGAAACTTCATCAACTACTGAAAATGTAACAACATGGACGAATCTCATAGAAACAATATTAAGTGAAGAAGCCAGACTTGCAGAAATACATACTGTATGTTTCCATTATCTATTGCTGGGCAGCACACCAACTCCAAACTTAATGGCTTAAAACAAAAATAATCATTTTATTATCTCTCATGAATCTGTGAATTACTGGACTTTAAGAGCCACTGATGTAGTCCATGAACCAAAACACATATTCACGGCAGCCACTCCACCCAGCACCTCACACCTGTGATGTTTACTGGCTGCCCATGGGATTTGAACACCTTTAGAGTACTGTGAAATTTCCCCTACCTTTTGAGTCCTGCCTCCCTAAAGTGGAAACCAGAAAGCTCACTTCCCCTAGCCTTCTTTGAAGCTAGAGCACCTAAGTTCCACCAATTAAATTCATCCACCTAAGACTTCAGTTACAAAGGGGCCACAGGAGGAACCAGGGTGTGGGGGTTGCAGAGCACCTTTTACTGTATTTATTTCTCTGGCAAAGGTGACAGAAGAAGCAACTGTCTTTTGGGGAAGCGGTGGGTTTTTTCCTTTTTTTTTTTTTTTTTTAAGTGAAGTTCCTGAAACAGAAGTGGTTTAGGAGGTGTCTTCAGTGGTGGCTGCAGCAACCTCCAGGTCCTAACAACAGAACCAACAGCAGCGTCTAGAAGCCATGGGGCAGCAGCAGTGGTGTGGCTCATCAGACCTGCTCTCTGCGTGGTCTGACCCTGTACATACATGTGCCTCTCATCCGTAGTTCCAGCATTTCCTCTCTAAAGTCTAGTTCTGAGAGAAATTTCTTTGGTAGACTTTTCAAAGTTTTATCAAACTCAAAGAGGGAACCAGCAAGAATACAAGAGCCTTGATCCAAAGAGTATTTGAAAAACAGAGCTGTATCTCTCTGTGAGGAAATAATTTCTAGGCTAGAGATTCAAAATGGCTAACGTGCTAGAGGGCAATAAAATCATAACCTTGGTGTTATCTTCTTTACCGGAGAAAAAGAGAAAGCCAGCATCCCTTATCAGCTCTCTGCTGATTAACCTCTAATCGCACAGGGCTGGCCGGGTTCGTCTTAGGCAAATTACAATCCCTGAAACACTCTGGTTTTGATCAGGCAGAATTATGAGCAAAGGTTCAAGTGTGATATAAAATAATCAAGCACGTACAATTTTGCCTTATTTATAATTTTGAAACACTTTTCCTACACAATTTCTGACCTTAAGGGGCAGAATTAACCAAATAAAACTTTTCAGAAATGCTCTAATTCAGTTCCACTCATTTTATCGTCTCTATTTGGCCTGTTTTAGGGCTAAACCCAGAAGCAAAATCTTCTTCAAAATGAATGTATTGACAGTCACCATGCCAGACTTGGAGTACGAACAAGAGCATCCTTTTACCCTTACTGAAACCTATGTGGTCACTAAAACATATATCAATAATATTTTTAACCTGGACAAAATTAATCTAGAAAATTGAGCTACTGTTTTTTATTTGTCAGCTTTTACCACATTGTGGGTTTGAGACACAGGTAGTTCTTTTGATAGTACAGCGTTAATTTAAAATATAAAAATCATGCCAAACACATCTAATTACTTTTAGCTTCCTTCACAGTAGGCGGAGGAAGGTGAAAAATTAAGCCTTTTGCGCCACCTAGTGGCCAAATGGGTAGTGGCTGTCTAGTGAGAAAAAACAAAGATTTGGGGGCGTGAAAAATAGCTTGACAGTGTTAGTATTCTGAATTCAGGGTATGAGGTTGGAAGAAGGCAACAACAAAAAAGAATTTTCAGAGAAACTGGTCACTTAAGTGCATAGGTACCTGAGAGTGAGCAATTGTTATAACTTTGATATCTCAATAACCAGAGTGACAATAAAACATTTGAAAATAAACATAAAGAAGGTAACAATTATAAGAAACTTTAGGTGTTTCAGAAGCAAATGGTTTTTTGTTGTTGTTTGTTTTTAAAATAATTTAAAAACTTGATGCTATCAGCACAAAGCACTAAAAGTTATCAAGGTATTAAGTGAGAGCATTCTGATAAGAAACCACCGCTAGCTGGGCAGATTATGCTAAAGGGAAAGAAAAAGTTTTTTCTCTGTCTTAAGTGTAGAGTGTATATTCCAAGATCAATTTTAAATTACAAATCCTCTCCTTTTTTGCTTATTAATTCGAATTCATCATTACGTGTGTGTTTTACAGAAATACATATATAGTTGAATGACAATTTTGTTTAAAACTTTCCACTTTAGTTTTAAAACGTAGTTAATCTTATCAATACAATACATGAATGTATATCCACACTAAGTTTACCACCTTAATTTGAGTTTTGCAAAAATTAAATATGGACAAAGGTATATATATAGAAAGCCACTTAGTGACCCAATAATCTTTCTCTCTATGATACACTTAAGAATTTTTTAGACAATAAAAAGTCACTTATTAACTAGCTCAGTGAAAATTAGTCCAAAGTAACAAAATCATTTGAGGCTGCAAAACAACAATATCACTATTGATATTAGGAGTTTTTCAAAGAGGTAAAATTCTAAAATTTTTACATAGAGTGCAAGCTAAGTAGCTAAGTCAAATGACTTGCAATATTTTTCTGAAATTCACAAGAGCCAATAGTTTAAAAAAAGCATCTCATAACATTTAATTAAAAATATACATTTTCATTTAAGTTTGCTTCCCACAAACCACTGACACACTCATTGACACAGTGAATGAGTCTAGTGACAAGAAACAAATCCTTTTTGTTAGGTCACTTCTAACACTCTGCCTCCAACAAAATAAAGAGGACCTATTCAAGCTGTCAGCTATTATATCATTTAAAGTAATTTTGGGAAGGAGGCCAGGCAGGAGGATCGCTTGAGGCCAGGAGTTCAAGACCAGCCCTGGGCAACATAATGAGACCCTGTCTCTATGAATAATAATAATAAAATTAGTCAGGCATAGTTCGATGTGTCATAGTCCTAGATACTCTGAAGGCTGAGGCAGGAGGATCACTTGAGCCCAGGAGTTCGAGGTTACAGTGAGCTATGATCGCACCACTACACTCCATCTTGGGTAATGGGGCCAGCCAAACACCACAGAAAAAACTGCGACTCCACCCCCACCAGCTAAGGTCAAATGAGGAGCCTAGACTTTCACCCTCACCAGGCTGTCATAAGGAACCCAACACTTCAACACACACATGCACACACACCAGGATGGTGTCAGAGAAAGTGAATAGGGAGTCAGGATGGTCATGCCCTCTTGGTGAAAATGTACTCCTTTCCCCAAGCCCCTGAAATGTCAATGGAAACCTAGACTTCCATTCCTCACCCAACAGTAATGAAGCATCTCTTCCCCTCTCCTCTAGGGTGATGTCAGACAATGCCTAATGGAGAGTCAGGATTTTCATCACCACCCAGAGTTAATCCAGCAACCACTCCCTGATACCTACCACTCACTCCTCCACTCCACTGTCCCATCTTGGTGTCAATAAAGGTCATGTGAGGGATAGTAAGTGGCACTCCTCTCCCAACCAACCAGGGAGGTATTAGTGGGCACCTAATAGGGAGCCAGAATTTCTGTCCCCACTCAGTAATAATGGGGACCTATCTGAGGTGTCAATGAAGGCAGAGTGAGAAGCCTGGACTCCTACCCCTACCTGGCGTCATGAAGCTCACCTGCCTACCTGCTGGAGAGGTGTTAAAAGAAGCCAGCTAAAACAGTTTAAATAAGACCAATAGCCTTATAACATAATGCCTGAAATGTCCAAGTTTCAATTGGAAATTATTTGTCATATCAGGAACCAGGAATATCTCAAATTGAATTTTTAAAAGACAATAAAATAGATGCCAAAACGGAAAGAAAAGCCTGATGAAGATTTTAAAGCCACCATTATTAAAATGCTTTGATGAGCAATTAACACTTAAAAGAATGAAAAAAATAGGATGTCCAGTTCAGTGGTTTAAAAAAAGAAAGAAGAAGAAAAGAGCAGAAAAGAAAAAAATAGGATGTTTCAGCATAAAAATAGGATATATACGGAAGAAAACGTGGAAATTTTAGAACTGAAAAGTGCAATAGCCAAAATAAAAAGCCCAGTAAATAAGCTCAGCAGCAGAAGGAGAGAACAGAGGAAAGAATTAGCTACCTTGAAGACACAGCAATAGCAATCACTTAATCTGAACAAAAGAAAGAAAGAAAATACACTGGAAAAAATGGACAAAGCCTCAGGGACCCATGGGGCTATAACAAAAGATTTAATGTTCATGTACTCAGAGTCCCAAAATGAGAGGAAAAAGAGAGTGAAGCTGAAAAAAATTATCAAATAAATATGGTTGAAAACTTCCCAAATTTGGCAGAAGACATAAACCTAGTGATTTAAGAAGGTGAGTGAACCCCAAATAGGACAAACCCAAAGAAAGCCACACCAAAATCATAGTAATTAACTAAAAATTAAAGATAAAAAGAATCTTGAAAGCAGTGAGATAAATGACATCTAACAGGTGAAAAAAATGACAGAGCAAAATTTTCATCAGAAACTGTGTAAGCCCGAAGGAGGTCACCACCTTTTTCCAGTGCTGAAAGGAAAAAAAAATATCAACTTAGAACACTATATCAGCAAAAATATCCAGGGAAATTAAGACATACAGAGATGAGGGAAAACTAACAGAATTTGTCACTAACAGGTCTACCCTAAAAAAACAAAAAGTTAAATTGAGGACAGTTGGAACATCAGGAAGGAAGAAAGAACATGGCAAGAAAAAATATGGGTTAAAAAATGGACTTTACTTCTTCTCTTGAGTTATTTAAATTATAGGATTGAAGAAAAACGTATAATACTGTATCATATGGTTATAAATGTATATAGAGAAAATATTACAGGCAATTATAAATGAGGGAGGGTAAACAAAGAGAGAAGAAATTTCTACACATCACTCAGACTGGTAATTAATGACAATAAATAAGTTACATAAATATAATGTAATACCTAGAACAACCACTAAAAGAGCTATCCAAAGAGGTACACACACATACACACACACAGCTATAGATAAATTAAAATGGAATTTTAAAATTATTTAGGAAGCAATGAAAAAGAAAACAAAGAAATGAAAAACAGAGAGAACAAACAGAAAACAGAAAATAAAATGTCAGACTTAAGCCTGGACATAACAATATTATAGGAAATATAAATCGCCTAAATACATCAATTTTAAGAGACAGAGCTTGGCAGAATAGATTTAAAAATATGACTCTGTCAGGTGCGGTGGCTCACGCCTGTAATCCCAACACTTTGGGAGGCCAAGGCAGGTGGATCACAAGGTCAGGAGATGACCATCCTGGCTAACATGGTGAAACTCCATCTTTACTAAAGGTACAAAAATTAGCCAGCTGTGGTGGCACAAGCCTGTAGCCCCAGCTACTCGGGAGGCTGAAGCAGGAGAATCTCTTGAACCCGGGAGGTGGAGGTTGCAGTGAGCTGAGATCACACCACTTCACACCGCTGCACTCCAGCCTGGGCAACAGAGCGAGACTCCGTCTCAAAAAAAAAAAAAAAAAGACTCAATTATTTGCTGTTTATGATAAACTCACTTCAAATATAATGATATAGGCGGTTTATAAGTTAAAGGATAGAAAAACATATATCAGACAAAAAATAATAAAGGGAGGCTATATTAATATCAAATAAACTTAGAACAAAGAAAATTACTAGAAATGGATAGGAACACTATGTAATAATAAAAGGGTAAATCTACCAAAAAGACATAGCAATCTTAAATATGTATGCACCAAACAACAGGGCTGCAAATTATGTAAAGCAAAAACTGATAGAACTGAAAAGAAAATAGGCAAGTCAACAATGATAGTTGAAGACTTCAATAGTTTTCTCTCAACAATTGATTAAACAAATAGACAAAAATTGAGAAAAAACATAGAAGAATAAACAACATCAAACCATAAGATCTAATCAACATTTATAGAACACACCACCCAACAACAGAAGATACATTATTTTCTTTTTCGTTGCTTTTAGTAGATTCCACGAGATTTTCCTTTTTCTTTTTTCTTTTTTTTCCTTTTATTTTAAGTTCAGGGGTACATGTGCAGGTCTGTTACATAGGTAAACAGTGTCATGGAGGTTTGTTGTACAGATTATTTCATCATCCAGGAATTAAGTCTAGTACCCATTAGTTATTTTTCCTGACCCTCTGCCTCCTCCCAACCTCCACCCTCCAATAGGCCCCAGTATGTGTTTTTCCTCTTTGTGTCCATGTGTCCATCATTTAGCCCCCACTTATGAGAACATGCAGTATTTGGTTTTCTGTACCTGCAATAGTTTGCTAAGGATAATGGCCTCCAGCTCCATCCATGTCCCTGCAAAAGACGTGATCTCATTATTTTTATGGCTGCATAGTATTCCATGGCAGAATACACTTTTTTTTTTTTTTTTTTTGAGATGGAGTTTCACTCTTATTGCCCACACTGGAGTACAATGGCACAATCTCGGCTCATTGCAACCTCTGCCTCCCAGGTTCAAGCAATTCTCCTGCCTCAGCCTCCTGAGTAGCTGAGATTACAGGCACACACCACCATGCCTGGCTAATTTTTTATTTATTTATTTATTTATTTATTTATTTATTTATTTTTTGTATAGATGAGGTTTCACCATGTTGATCAGGCTGGTCTCAAACTCCTGACCTCAGGTGATCCACCCACCTCAGCCTCCCAAAGTGCTGGGATTGCAGGCATGAGCCACTGCACCCAGCCAGAATAACATTTTTTTAAGTGCCCACAGAATATATGCCAAGATAGACCATATCTAAGACAATAAAAGACCAACAAATTTTTTAAATAAAATCATAAAGAAAGTGTTCTCCTACCACAATGGAACCAAACCAGAAATCAACAACAGGAAAATATCTAAACATTTGGAGACAAAACAACACACTTAGAAATACATGGGTCAAGGAGGAAGTCTCAAGGAAATTTTTTAAAAATACACACAATAAACACAACTAAACAAAAATGAAAATATGCCATATCAGAATTTGTGGGATACAGTTATAGTAGTTATAAGAGGTAAATTTAAGTTCCAGGATACATGTACAGGATGTGCAGGTTTGTTACATAGGTAAACATGTGCCATGGTGGTTTGCTGCACATATCAACCCATCACCTAGGTATTAAGACAAGCATGCATTAGCTATTTTTCCTGATGCTCTCCCTCCCTCCAACCTCGCCCCAGACAGACCCCAGTGTGTGTTTTTCCCCTCCCTGTGTCCTTGTGTTCTCATTGTTCAGCTCCCACTTATAAGTGAGAACATGTGGTGTTTGGTTTTCTGTTCCTGCATTAGTTTGATGAGGATAATGGCTTCCAGCTTCATCCATGTCTCTGCAAATAACAGGATCTCATTCCTTTTTATGGCTGTATAGTATTCCATGGTGCATATGTACATTTTCCTTATCCAGTCTGTCATTGATGGGCAGTTGGGTTGATTCCATGTCTTTGCTATTGTGAATAGTACTGCAATGAACATACAAGTGCATGTATCTTTATAATAGAATGATTTGTATTCCTTTGGGT
Organism: Homo sapiens; assembly: GCF_000001405.40. Lineage (NCBI taxonomy): Eukaryota > Metazoa > Chordata > Mammalia > Primates > Hominidae > Homo > Homo sapiens. The sequence continues at coordinate 32,874,298 of NC_000006.12, forward strand.
ATATACTCAGTAATGGGATTGCTGGGTCAAATGGTATTTCTGGTTCTAGATCTTTGAGGAATTGCCACACTGTCTTCCACAATGGTTGAACTAATTTACATTCCATCAACAATGTAAAAGCATTTCTATTTCTCCACAACCTTGTCAGCATCTGTTGTTTCTTGAGTTTTAATAATCACCATTCTGACTGGCGTGAGATGGCATTTCATTGTGGTTTTGATTTGCATTTGAGAAGTAAATTTAAAGCACTAACTGCATACATTGGAAAAGAGGAAAAGTCTCAAACCAATAATCTAAACTCTCACCTCAAGAATCTAGTAAAAGAATAACAAAATAAAAAGCAAGCAGAACAATGAAACTGAAAACAGAAAAACAAAAGCAAAAAAAAATCAATGAAGCAAAGAGCTGGCTCTTTGAAAGATTAATAAAATTGGCAAACCACTAGCAAGACTCAGAAAAAAAGACGACAGAAGATAGAAGCTACCAACATCAGAAATGAAATGGGATATCATCAAAGATTCTACAGACATCAAAAGGATAACAAAAGAATACTATGAACAATTCTACACACATAAATTTGACACTTAAATTAAATGGATCATTTTCTCAAAAAATATAAAGTGCCACAACTCACTAAATATAAAATAATTCAAAAATGTCTACACCTATTGAGGAAATTGAATTCATAATTTAAAAACTCACAAAAGGAAATATTTAGGAACAAATAGTTTCAATGAAGAATTCTACCAAAGATTTAAAGAAGAATTAACACCAATTAATCTCTTCCAGAAAATAGAAGCAGAGGAAGCATTTCCCAGTTTATTTTATAAAGCTAGAATTACCTCAATACCAAAACCAAACAATGACAATGGGAAGAAAAGAAAACTGTAGACTAATATTCCTCATGATGCAGCAATCTTTAACAAAATATTAGCAAGTGGAATTTACCAACATATAAAAAGAATTATATACAATGACCACGTGAGAGTTATCCCAGGGATGCAAAGCTGGTTGGATATTCACAATTAATTAATGTAATCCATCATATTATAGGCTGAAGAGGAAAATTTACTTGTTCATATCAATTGATGAAGAAAAAGTATTTAACCCACTTTAACACCCATTCATTATTTTTTTTTAATCTCAGAAATATAGGAGTAGAGGAGATCTTTCTTTACTTGATAAAGATCGTCTACAAAAATCCTATGGTGAACATACTTGATTCTGAAAGACTGAATAGTTTCTACCTAAAATCAGGAACAAGGCAAGAATGTCCACTCTCACCACTCTTATTCACAGTGTTGGAAGTTCTAGACAGTGCAATAGGCATGAAAAAGGAGATTAAAGGCATACAGATTGTGAAGTAAGAAATAAACAGCTCCCATTTGTAAGTGACATGATTGTCTATGTAGAAAATCACAAGGAAGCTACAGAAAAACTTCTAGATATGTGATTTCAGCAAATTAACAGAATACAGGATAAACCAGTATCAATTGTATTTCTACATACTCACAATGAACAAATGATACATATATATATATTTTTTTTTTTTCTTTTTTTTTTTTTTTTTTTGAGACGGAGTCTCACTCTGTCGCCCAGGCTGGAGTGCAGTGGCACGATCTCGGCTCACCACAAGCTCCGCCTCCGGGGTTCACGCCATTCTCCTGCCTCCGGAGTAGCTGGGACTACAGACGCCTACCACCATGCCCGGCTAATTTTTTGTATTTTTAGTAGAGACGGGGTTTCACCGTGTTAGCCAGGATGGTCTCGATCTCCTGACCTTGTGATCCGCCCACCTTGGCCTCCCAAAGTGCTGGGATTACAGGCGTGAGCCACCGCGCCTGGCCCAAAAATATAAATATATTATTTACAATTACTCAAATACATGAAACACTTATGTGTAAATCTAACAAAACATGCAAGACTTGCAAGCTAAAAACTATGTAATGCTGGTGAACGATATCAAAGAAGATCTATTCAGTCTCTATCTATGTGGAGAGAAATACTGTTCATGGATTGGAAGATTCAATATAGTAAATATGTCAATTCTCCCCAAACCAATATACAAGTTTAACACAATTCCAATCAAAATCTTTGCAAGATTTGTTAATTATAGGTAGGATTACTCTAAAATTTACATGGAAAGGCAAAGGGACTAGAATATCTAAAATATTCTTTTTTCATATTATTATATTTTATTGTAGTATGTGTAGTGTATACTAACTTAAAGGGAAAAAATGTAAACAAAATGAAAGACATGGGGAAAATGGCATCTTGCTTTAATCTTCAACTTAAAGTTACCCTTAACAATTCATTTATACCATTATGCCAAATTGTAGTCATCCCTGCAGAATTTTAGACAAATGAAAATGGACAAGGTAACACCAAAGAGATTAAGCACAGAAAGTGATATTGATTAAAAAGTTGAAAGTAAAATCTACCTTGGCTGGAACTGAACATTCAGATCCATCTCTAGAGGAAAATCTAACATGAATCATATGGTTCCTATTTTGACTAGTTCATAGCATATCAATTAGCAACTTATGACTTGAAAATACTTTTTCTCAGCTGCATTTGACTACCTAAAATCCTACCGAGCACGCTGTTTGGCATGTCTTACTCCTCTGAAATCATCATCTACTTTCTAAAAACCAGAAAATTAGTTTGCTTGTGATTTAAAATTCAAAAAAGTTTGTAGAAAACACAAAAAGAATCAACTATTTAAAGTCTCATCCTTTTCTTCTCTCTAAAACAGCTACTTCTACTAAAAGAAGAGTATGTGGATACTTTCTAAGAACTCAAAAACGAGAAAACCAAAATCAGAGGGTGCATGAATATATGTGCACAGGTATGTACAGATTTAATCTCTATATTCCCTAAAACATATTTAAACAGGTAATCCCAGCATTCTAAATTCAGAAAGCAAAAATAAACAGTTTTGTTTCTAAATCAGTGGTATTACTAGCTGAAATGTTTAGTAGAATACTGCACCTATAGTTCAGCAGTACTTTGATTATGTACCATTTAAGAAATCAAAATAATAAGCACATTCTTCTAACAGCAAAGAATTGTCCCACTTTTTATTTTGACATATTGATATTTCCATAAACTTGCAAGTGGAAAATAAGCTGTTCAATAAAAGCCTTCTTACATATATAATATACAGAAATTATTTTAGAAGTCTGTTCATATAACAGATTATTTTGGCACTAACAAAAATTGTATACAATCCATCAGTTGTATGGCTAGAAATGAAACCATCACTAAACCAAGACACACAGGGCTTTCCTGCACTTAGTTTCAGGAAAAAGTTCCAAGTAATTCTTACTGTGTTAGAAGAATAAAGTACATTTGTCATAGTATACATTATCATATTCCCTTAAAGCAGGGACTAAAGTTTTTAAATTAAACAATGTCCAGGCTTACTTCTGTCTGTACATTCAGGAATAATCATATCACTGGTTACATACAATTCTCTCCTCATGCAAAAAAAAAAAAAAAAAACCTCAAAAAAAAAAAACCTGTTGTTTTCTTAAGTCTAATTAAGCCAAACAAACTATTAATAGCAATTTAATTAGCAAGCTATAAATCAGAGAGGTATAAAAATTCAGCAGTTAAACTGTATTTCCCACCTATAGTACTGCTGCTACTCAATCATTTTCTTCATGTATTAGAAGAATTAATAGGCATTGATGGTCAAAATAAGAATTTCAATATTGCAGCAAATGACAGAAGAGTGAGCGAAAGAGTTCCTAATGTGTGACAGTCTTAATGATTCTTTAAAAGGTAAAGGATTGTATGCATGTGTGTGGAAAGGAGTAGGAAATAAAAGTAGGAGGTTAAGACAGGTATTTAAAGGGAATGCCAAGATAGCTGCATTAGAATCTTTATTTTTTAAAAAACTGAAGTCTGCCCAGAGTACCAAAAACATTAAAAAAAAAGAGCAGACATTGGTGCAAGTTTAACCTGTGAGAAAAAAGCTAGTTTTGATGAGAAAAAGTTCAGTCTTTTCCTTGTAAATACAAAGAAATGCAACAGGAATTTTAAAGGTAGTAGGCCAGAAAATGTAACAGTAACTCTTACAATCCTTTTCTTTTTTTTTTTTTTTTTTTTTTTTTTTTTTTTTTTTTGAGACGGAGTCTCGCTCTGTCGCCCAGGCTGGAGTGCAGTGGCACAATCTCGGCTCACTGCAAGCTCCGCCTCCCGGGTTCACGCCATTCTCCCTCCTCAGCCTCCCGAGTAGCTGGAACTACAGGCGCCCGCCACCATGCCTGGCTAGTTTTTTGTATTTTTTTTAGTAGAGACGGGGTTTCACCGTGGTAGTCAGGATGGTCTCGATCTCCTGACCTCGTGATCCACCTGCCTCGGCCTCCCAAAGTGCTGGGATTACAGGCGTGAGCCACCGCGCGAGGTCACAATCCTTTTCAATTAAACAGACAAATCAAGTTGAAGACAAGTGTTAAAATACTATTCAGCCTGAATATTTATCAGCATACATATCCTGTTGTTCAACTGGCTTTTGGTTAAAAAAAAAAAAGTCAACAAACTTTATAAGAGCTATCACCACATTTAGAGTGATGAAAATAAATTAGTTCCCCCCCAAAGATATTGTTTAACCTCTAAAGCATGAAAAGCTATATAATATACAAATTAACCAGTATTTTTACAAAAGTAATACAGTTTTGGACTGATGATATTACACCGTATTTGTGGTAAAGTACTAGGCACAAGAATATATATATCAATTAGGCATTTTCAGTCTAATCAGTCTTTAAGGTTTTCATTTAATTCTTGGCAATATATAATAACTGGTATGCACTTTGGTACTTAAGTCATGACTTGTGGAGAACGAGAAGCAATGTATTATAGCAACGGGGTTCATATCTAACAAACAATAAGAGTGTTGAACAAATCCCTTCTATGAACTTCGTGATTTATTTTGCTGTTGGTCACTTGCAGTAGATCCTTGATTTGATTCTTCCGTATTCATGCTTTCTCCATGTGCAGTCTCTAACATTTCTTCAACTTTGTCATCATCGTGTAGGTCTTTTGAAATTAATTGTCTAGCTAGTTTGATATTGAGTCCTTCATTGTAGTGAAGCGTCCTTCTCATTTCAAATTGTCGCTTTTTTTCTCGTTCTTCAGGTGAGAGGTCACTATCCTCCTCTCCACTGCTTTCTTGTTCCTGAACCTGATACTTTGGCTCCAAGCCTTCAGCAGCAGCTAAGTTCTTAGCCAAGCTATCTGTTGCCATAGCTTCAGTGGTTTCTGTATCACTACATGCATCTTCATCATCACCCATCGTACTATGGTAAGGAGTGCTTGGTTCATCTATTTTCATTAAACCATAGTCTTTGTCTGCTGGACGATATGTCGCCAGGATGTTCATTTCATCCCACTTCTGGGATTTTTTGCTCAGCTGCTCGTGGACACTCCCACGGGGATGTTCGGCCGACGCCACCATAGAGGAAGTCGTAGAGGTGTTGTCCTTCAGGATCCCCTTGAGGGGCCGTTGCGAGGCCGTGGAGGCCGCCATTGCCGGGTGCTCCGCCTGTCGGCTCAGGGTCGCTGCTTGGCGTGGGGTCCGCGAACAGAAGGGTCGGCACTAGCAGAGACCAGCAGGCAGACGCGGAGCCCGCTCAAGGCTAAAGCGGCCGCACCTGCTGCCTCGGAAAGGGGTACCGGAGCGGTTGTCAAGACACAATGACCCCGACGCCAGACTCAAGCGGGGAAAAGCGGGCCTAGAGCTCCAGGGCGGGAGCGACGCCGACGCCTAAAACATTCTTGAAAAAGAAGAATAAAGTGAGTTGAAAATCAGTCTGCCCTATTTCAAGTATTGTTTTATAGCTACAGTAATCAAGACTGTGTGTTACTAGCAGAGGAATGGACACACAAATCAGTGGAACAAAATAGAGAACGTAGAAAAAGACCCACACAATCTGCCCAAATGATTTTTGAAAGAGGTGCAAAAGGAAGTCAGTGGAAGAAAAATAGCCTTTTTCACAAATAGTGAATTGAACAATGGTGAAATGGAACAATTGGGCATCCATAGGCAAGATAATAAAATAAAAATGAAACTTGACCTAAGTCTCACGCCTTATGCAAAATTTAATTCCAACTGGATTGGATTGCTTGAGTCCAGGAGTTCAAGACCAGCCTGGGTAAGATAGCAAGACCCTGTCTATACACAAAAATGAAAAATAATGTTGGTGTGGTGGCTCCTGCCTGTAGTCCCAGCTACTTGGGATGCTGAGGCAGAAGGATTGCTTGAGCCCAGGAGTTCGAGGCTGTCATAAGCTGTGACACACCACTGTACTCTAGCCTGGGTGACTGAGCAAGACTCTGTTTCAAAAAAAAAAAAAAATGTCAGAGAAATGCAATACCTTAACCTTTACCAGATACAATTAATTAAAATAAATAAACAAAATGGATTATGGAGTAAATGTAAAGCATAAAACTCTTAAATTTTAGAAAAATAGAAAATATTTGAGATATAGGTCTAGGCGAAGAATTCTTAGGCTTGACATTGAGAGCATGATCTATGAAAGGAAAAACTGATAAATTGGATTTCATCAAAATGTAAAACTGTTGCTTTGTGAAGATCTGGTAAGTGGATGAAAAAATGAGCTACACAGTAGGAGAAAATATTTGCAAACTATGCATTGAACAAAGGACTAGTATCTAGAGTATATAAAGAACTCTCAAAACTCAACAAAGAAAACACATTAAAAATCCAATTAGAAAATAGGCAAAAGACTTAAGGTAATATTTCACTAAGGAGGATATAAAAATGGCAAATTAGCACATGAAAAGTTGTTCAACATCATTAGCCATTAGGGAAATGCAAATTAAAACCACAATGAGATAATCGCTCCACACCTATCAGGATGGCTAAAATAAAAATAGTGACAATGGGCTGGGTGCGGTGGCTCACACCTGTAATCCCAGCACTTTGTGAGGCCAAGGTGGGCAGATGACCTGAGGTCGGGAGTTTGAGACCAGCCTGGCCAACATGAAGAAACCCTGTCTCTACTGAAAATACAAAAGTAGCCAGGTGTGGTGGCACATGCTTGTAGTCCCAGCTACTCGGGAGACTGAGGCAGGAGAATCACTTGAACCCGGGAGACAGAGGTTGCGGTGAGCAGAGATCGCACCATTGTACCTAGCCTGGGCAACAAGAGTGAAACTCTTTCTCAAAAAAAAAAAAAAAGGCGACAATGCTAAATGCTGGCAAGGAAGAAGAGATACTGGATCTCTCATAATTTCTGATGGGAATATAAAATGGTACAGCCACTCTGGAAGATGATTTGGCAGTTTCTTAAAAACAAAACAAAACCAACAACAACAACAAAAATCCAACAACTAAGCATACTACTACCATCCTGCCCAGCAACTGTACTCCTGGGTATTTAGCCCCAAGAAATGAAAACTTGCATACACAAATACACAAGCACAGACAATGCCTTCACACAAAACCTTGTATGCAAATGTTTGTCTAACTGCCTACTCATTGTAGCCAAAGATAACCCAGATATCCTTTAACAGGTAAATGGTTAAACCAACTATTGTACACTTATACCATGAAATAATACTCAGCAATAAAAAAGAATGACTGATACACACAACAACCTGGATGAATCTCCAGAGAGTTATACTGAGTGAAAAATGCCAGTCCCAAAAGGTTACATACTGCAGTGAGCTGTGATCACGTCACTTCACTCCAGCCTGAGCAACAGAGCAAGACCCCATCTCTAAAAATAGATAAAGAAACAAAAAAGATGGATTACAGAGTAAATGTGAAGTGTAAAACTATTAAAATTTTAGAAAAATAGGAGAAAATCTTTGAGATGTAGGGCCAGGCAAAGAATTCGTAGGCTTGACATCAAAAGCATAATCCAGGCTGGGCGTGGTGGCTCACGCCTGTAATCCCAGCACTTTGGGAGGCCGAGGCAGGCAGATCATTGAGGTCAGGAGTTCGAGACCAGCTGGCCAACATGGTGAAACCCGTCTCTACTAAAAATACAAAAATTAGCTAAGCAAGACGGCACATGCTTGTAATCCCAGCTACTCGGGAGGCTGACTCATGAACATCACTCGAACCTTGGAGGTGGAGGTTGCAGTGAGCTGAGATGGTGCCACTGCACTCCAGCCTGGGTGACAGAGTGAGACTCTATCTCAAAAAAAATAAATAAATAAATAAAATAAACTTTATTGAAAAGAAAAAAAAAGCACAATCCATTTGTATAACATTTTGTATTAAGAAGCTTGAAATGACAAAAGTACAGAAATAGAGAAAAAATTCATAGTTGCCAGTGGTTAAGGAAGTGATGGGGGTGGGAAGGAGGTGAACCGACCATAAAAGGGCAAGATAAGGGATACTTGGAGTGACAAAAATACTGTCTTGACTGTAATATTGACATTGACACAAATGTCAATATCCTGATTGCAATACTGTACTGAAGTGTTATAAGATGTTACCATCAGGGAAACTGGATTAAAGGGTAAAAGGTTCTGTCTGTATTATTTCTTACAACTGCATGTCACTCTCTAATTACCTCAAAATAAAAAGTTAAATTTAAAAAACATGTATGAGGATGTGCATAGTTTTTCAAAATACATTTAAGAAGTTCATGAGTGGAAAGTTTGAGTGAATAAAAATTATATCTGGAATTCTGGTTTGCAAATTAGCCTGGGAAATGTAGCCTGACTCAGTGTGACTCAGTTCTATACCACTGTTCTCAGCTCTGCTGTTGCTCACTGCTAACGTTGAAGCCAAATATCTCTTGAGTTGCAGGGCAACCAAGATCCCATGATCCAATGTTGCTCTCACTCACCTTGGCCTTTGAGAGAGAACAGGAAAGAAGATGGAGAAGAAGGATTTTCCCTTTGCCCCATTTTCCTCTTTTTGGGCTGAACTGTGTCCCCCTATAAGTTCATAATGTTGAATAAACCCAGTACCTCAGAACGTGAATTTTTTTTGGAGTTAGAGTCTTTAAAAAGATAATTAAGTGAAAATGAGGTTATGAAAGTAGGTCCTAATATAGCTAGTATCCATATAAAAAGAGATTAGGACATACATACACAGGGGGCAGTCCATAGGAAGATGCAGGGAAAAGACAACCATCTGCCAGCCAAGGACAGAGACCTCGGAAGAAACCAACCCTGCTGACACCTTGATCTCACATTTCTAGACTCCAGAGCCAGGCGGCAATAAGTTTATGTTGTTTAAGCCATTCAGTCTGTGGTATTTCTTATGGTAGCCCTAGCAAACTAATACATCCTCCTATATTTGGACATAGGCCTGTCCTTCTTGATTAAAGGAATGTAAAAATAAGACTGTTGTCAAAGTTTTAACAAGACTTTATGAAGGCTTGGGCAAAATTGAAAAGGAAAAGACAATAGAAAATTCTTCCATTCTGATCACAGATATTACAGATGTAAGAGATCACAGGCTCCAGTCATCTAAGGGTTCTCCAACTAGAAATAGACCTGGTATGGCTGATGCTACTAATACCTGCCATGTTCCTTGGGCCTTACCACTGTAGTGCACACTGGCTGGACATTTGCATCATTCCTGAAGGCTTCCTCAAAGCCAAGAAGGGCCACTCTGCCCGACTCACAGCAGACTAGAAGGGCCGAAGAGTTCACGTGTCAGGCAGCAGCCTTCAACCAATGGGAATTGATGTACAATTGCCCAACTCCCTCCTTCCGTGGCTGGGTTAACTCTGAGGCAAGTGCTTTCCCAGAATTTCCCCAGGGGATTAAGTTCCAGTCATTCACCCTTCGTTGGCTGTTTTCCCTTCCCAATCTTTTACTCAGCTGCTACTGAAGTTTCATGCACCTCCAAAATAAATTACTTTCATTCATGTCCCTGTGTCAGGGACTGCTTCTGGAAGAAACCAAACGAATGCACCCCGGGTTAGCTTCTAATTTGCTTCACAGCAGTAAAGGTCAACTTTTCTTTGCATTACCCAAGAGAAAACTTAGCCATTACCTCATCATGGTGCTTGGATCCCTAGAACCCTGTCTCTCATGAAACCCTGATTCCTTCCTTTCCTTGTCAAGATCTTTCCTTACCCAGCATGGATGACAGTCCATTCTATTGAGTACTAAGAAAAGAGAGTTTAGAAACTGTCAGAAATATTTTTATTTCATTCAAATTTGTAATATTCCGTAGACCAGAAACAGCACACTCTTTGATCCCATCCTTGTATGCCCAAAATATCTGAGTTGGAGGAGGCACTGACCCTCTGTCACACAGTTTAACTGGATTACAGAGTGCAAGACCCCAAAACCAGTTCCTGACACTCTTTCTGTCTTCAGCCTGTGGATTCTTATCACTTCCACAGAAGAAAATTGGCTCTAAGATTATCCGGAGTACTTCCCAAATCTATTATTTATGGAACAAGTGCTGACTTCAGATATCTAGTAATCTAAGGTTTTTCATCTCCAAAGACCTTTCTTTCATTTGGCCTCTACTGGGTTTTCTATTTTTTTTATTTATTTATTTATTTATTGAGACAAGGTCTCACTCTGTCACCCAGGCTGGAGTACAGTGACCTGAACATGGCTTGCTGTATCCCTAACCTCCTGTGCCCAAGCAATCCTCCTGCTTCAGCCTCCTGAGTAGCTGAAACCACAAGTGAGCGCCACCATGCCCAGCTAATTTTTTTTTCTTTACTTTTCTTTTTTTTTTTTTTTTTTTTTTTTGTAGAAACTGAGTCTCGTCATGTTGTCCGGGCTGGTCTTGAACTCCTGGGCTCAAGCAATCTTCCTGCCTTAGCCTCCTAAATGGTTAAAGGCATGTGACCATCACACCTGGCCTACCATGGTTTTCAAATGTAAAATTTTAAATGAAAAATCTTAATCTTTTGGTCATTGCTGTTTTGCTGTGGTCTGTCTCCCATGGCATGAGGGGAAATGCGTTATCTGCCTCTGTTGTAGAAAGATGCCTGAGGAAAATAATCCTCAGTTGATGTCTCAGGATTTTTCCTGCCATATACCTGGAATGTGTAAAAGCACAGGAAATATCCTAGTATAACACAAACTACACACAGTTACCTTTGGGACCTAGAATGGAATGGGGAGGAGGGAGAAACAAAGGAGACCTTTTACTCCGTACCCTTCTGTATGGTTTGAACTTGTTGTTTTTTTTTTATAGACGGAGTCTTGCTCTGTAGCCCAGGCTGGAGTGCAGTGGCACAATCTTGGCTCACTGCAAGCTCCGCCTCCTGGGTTCACGCCATTCTCCTGCCTCAGCCTCCCGAGTAGCTGGGACTACAGGCGCCCGCCACCACGCAAGGCTAATTTTTTGTGTTTTTAGTAGAGACGGGGGTTTCACTGTGTTAACCAGGATGGTCTCAATCTCCTGACCTTGTGATCCGCCCGCCTTGGCCTCCCAAAGTGCTGGGATTACAGGTGTGAGCCACTGCACCCGGCCGGTTTGAACCTTTTATAACAAGAGTGAATCCAGATATTTACTATGTAATTTTCTCATTTAGTCTAATCATTTAGACTAAATGATTAGAAGAAGCAGGACTTAAAAAGAAATGAATGAATTTCCACTAGGGGGTGGTAGAGAATCATAATCCATATCATAGTCTGAAACTGAAGGGCAAAAGGAAATAGTCAAGTTCAGAATCACATGCTGCAGCCCATTTGTAATTATAAATCTTTATTAACTAGCTCAGTGTGAGATCTAATTTCTTCATAAATGCCCAATAATATATAATATGCTCTTTTGAGCAACGCTTTTCAGATTATGTTCTCATACAGCCTTTTACAGCCCTTTACAGCTTTTCTGTAAACTGGGCTGAGATGTACCACTAAATGAAATTGAATGATAGGAGTCCATTGTGGTTGGAATAGATACACACAGTGATTGATTTAGGTAGATTAGAAGGTGGATGGATGGATAGATAGATAGATAGATAGATAGATAGATAGATAGATAGATAGATATGCGCACACACATTCCTCTCCTTGAGTCCCCCTGGGTAAGCCGAGGCATGAGTACTCTGAAGGAAAAGCAACCATGAGTGAGCTGCAGCATCCTTACTTAACCTCCAAACTTAACCTTTGTTGTAATATATATAGAAAAATGAGTTCCGAATTCCCTCCTTAATCTCCAACATGCAGGCACTATGCCTCTGCCCAGTTTCTTTACCCATGCCTTTTATTATATCCCATCCCCAACTGAACCCTATCTCGACCTGGTCAATAGGTGTGAGACCCAGATATTCTTATCCGGGAGATGCTATTTCTTTTTTTCCAGAGGCCAGAGGTGGTTTTTAGTAACCACCTGTATCATTTTGCAGGGGCTTCTTAAATGCGTGGCCAGACTCACCTCACTGTGCCTAGGTGCCAATATGGCCTCTCAGCTTTATTCCCCTTGCAATCCAAAATCTGCCAGAACTGGACAGCAGTTTGATCCTTGAATTAGACCGTGGTTCATGATGCTTGCTTCTCACCCTCCCACCAGCTGTGCTTTATTTTTCTTTGATTCTAACTATTACAGAAAAGACAAGTCAGACTCCTTCATCGCTGGGCAAAGTTCCAAGTAAACTGCATTGGGAATCCTTGGCATTTTAACAATGGCTCACTGCTCCCCTTGTGACTAATGGGCAACACAGGCCTGTTTATGAGTTCAAGTCTCTGTCCCTGGATCATGTAATTTTAATTGTTCTGTTACTTCATTTCAATCCTGGTCCCCACAGCATTTTTCTCACTGTTCATTTTCAAATTTAGTGTCCAACCTATTACTGTGTGCTTTTCTTAATCCCTAGACCAAGCACTCTCTGGCTTGCTCATTTTCCCACTTGGGCACCCTGGATCCCAGCCAGAGGTGGCCCTTACCACTTGGCTCCTCCCTCAGTGCCCTTGGACCTCTTTGGCTCGTAACTGCTTCTGCTGAAGGTCATCCTTTTGGCTCCATGATCTTCATGGCTGAGGTTGCTTCATTACTTCTGGAGGGAAATCTTGCTGCTTTCTGTAAACATTTTTTTCTCATGGCATATTTATGTGGAACTGTGCCATTTCTTTTCCTACTTATTCTGAATAAATTGAGCATTCCTGGACCAGATATTAGTGGAAGACTCCTATTGGATGGGGGTGGGATGATGGGTTGGTGAGAGAAGACATGGGCAATAGTAACCTCCCAGGTTTTACAACCGAAGGACCAATCCTTTATTACTAACACGTAAACTTTATCTTAAAATACGCTGCATCCATGTTTTTTCCAACTTGGGGAATTTAATCTATTTCAGCAAGGATTCTACCACGGTGTTAGGACCCCCTGCATTCCAGAGGGAACCTTTGTTATCTGCCACCTTGGAACCTCCAAAACAAAGTCTGCTCCCCCAATATGTGGGCCTTCTTCTGCCTTCCCCAGCATCTGGGCCTCACTGTAGCTCAGGCCAACTGCCAACAGCTCCAACCTAGGCTGGCTTCTACTCTTAGAGAGAGAATATTTTCGGGCCCTTTCCGAGATCCCGCACCACTAGTTCCCTCCACGCTTTCATCTGTTGCCACAGCAACATTTTGGCTTCTTATGCCCAGTTCTGCTCTCCGTTGCTTTAAGCACAAATGACATGCAATTTGGGATGTAACCATACTTTTTGTTTCCTAGTTTCACTAAAAATGAGGTTCTTGTGTGGTTTTCTTTTTCATTCTCTTTGCTGTACTATATAGAGAAATGAATTCTGAACTGAATTCCCTCCATATTCCTAGCAAAAACATAACTCCTTTGAATTGCAATTTTGATTTCCTTTTCAACCCAAAAATTAGTGAGATGTTTTTAAGTTTCCAAGTGGAGGCTTTCTTGTTAGTACTGTTTTGGTGAGGTTTTGTTTTGTTTTATTTTAGTTTTGTTTTGTTTTTCTATGTATGTGTTTTATACCGGTGAGAGAATATAGCCCGTGTAGTTTCTAATTTCTATTTAATTTTACTTTGTGGTTTAATGCATTATGTTTGGGAAAATATGCATTCACTATTTGTTGAGTACACAATTTTATAAATATTTGATAAGATCATTATTTGCTTTAGCAAAATATCTTACATTCACATTATTTTACAATTGGATATGACAGTTTAGTTTAAAAGTATGCTAAAAGCTCTTAAATGTGTCAATTTATCTTTCCTAACAAAGCACATTTTTTTCCCTAACTTTCAAAGACTTGTTTAGGATATGAAGGCTTATAACTTATGGGTAGTTGGTGAATTGTACATTTTAGCATAATAAAGTATCCTTCTTTGACACTGAAAAATTTCTTCATCATTTATTCTACTTTGTTCAATATTAGTATTTGTAATGGTTTGAATGTGTCCCCAAAAAGCATATGTTGGAAATGTAATATTCAATGCAACAGTGTTAGTAGGTGAGGCTTAATGATGAGAGGTGTTTAGGTCATGACGACTCCATCCTCATAAATGAATTAATGCCAATTACAAAAAGGCTAAAAGCCTGTGAATTCAACCTGTTGCACTTGGGCGCTCTCTCTTTCTCTTTCTCTCTCTCAGCTCTCTTTTTATCCCTTTTGCCTTCCACCACAGTATGAGGCAGCCAGAAGATTTTTGCAAGATGCAGGCCTCTCAACCTTGGATTTCCTAGCCTCTAGGACTGTAATAAGTCAATCTCTGTTCTTTAAAAATTATCCAGTCTTGGATATTCTATTATAGCAGCACAAAATGGAGTAAGACAGTATTTCTATCCATAATTAATTTTTGTTAGCATTTGCCTGAGTTTATCATTGTCCATTGGTTTAATCACTCGGTGTCATTTTGTTTTAGGTGCTTTTTGTTTGTTTTTGTTTTTATTTTGAGACAGGGTCTCAGTCTGCCGCTCAGGCTGGAGTGCAGGGGTGCGACTACGGCTCACTGCAACCTCAACCTTCCAGGCTCAAGCGATCCTTGCACCTCAGTTTCCTCAGTAGCTGGGACTACAGGCATGCACAACCACGCCTGGCTAATTTTTTTATTTTTGTAGAGATAGGGTCTCGCTATGTTACCCAGGCTGATCTCAAACTCCTGGGCTCAAGTGATCCTCCCTCCTTGGCCTCCCAAAGTGCTGGGATTACAGGTATAAGCCATTGCCACCAGCACTTTTTGAATAGCAAATACACACACACACACACACAGACCATCTTTACTGAGCAGAAAAATTTAGATTTAATGCAATGATATAAATGGACATTACAAATGCATATATATCTGGATTACTTCTGCCATCATATTTTTATATTTACCATGTTTTTTCATTTTTTAGTCTTCTGTCTCAATAAATTTCATCAAATTGCCTTTGTTACTTCTGTCTCTATGCAAATGATTTCTTATACATCTTTTTCCTTTTTTCTTATGATCCAGTTTTTGAAATATTTTTCTACAAATAAGTAATGCATGTGATGCATATCTACAAGAATTTTAAGCATCCATTTTTTCCCACCAGTCACATGAAGGAATGGAACGTTACCCTTAACATTAAAGTTTCCTGTATTTGTCTTCCCTTAGAATCTCCCTTCCTCTCTGCAAAATGCAACTATTATTCCAAATTTGGAGTTGATCATTATCTTGCTTTTCATCATAGTAAATATTGTCTTTGTCTGACAACAAATTAACATCATAATTAATATCAAAATGTAGTTTTCTGTTGTTTTCTTCATTCAACAATATGATTTTAAGAATTATGCAAGTTTATTATTTTATCTGTATTCCACTGATCTTGATGTTGCATAGAATTCCACATTATGATTATGCCAAAATTTGTGTATCAGTTTACCTGCAAATGGACACTGGGTTGTTTCCAGCTTTTTGCAATTACAAAGAATGCTCTCATGACTTTTCCTGCACATTGCTCTTGGTGCCTTATTCAATAATTTCCCTAAGGTGCATATATATTTAAGGGTAGAGCTGCTATGCTTTAGGATATTCTCAGCTTCAACTCTACAAAATGCCAATTTTTTTCCAAGTAGATTATTTCAGTTTGAAGTCCACCATCAGAGTATGAGTTCCCCTCACCCTACATCCTCATTGATTTTTGATAATGTTAGACTTTTCAATGTTTGTCTATTTAGTGATTTTAAAATGTTATTTCAAGGACTGTTCTAATTCACAATTCTCTGATAACTATTGTGAGCTTAACTTTTGTACGTTTATTGGTCTTTTATATATCCCTTTTTGTGAACTGCCCTTTCACATCTTTTGATCATTTTCCTATGGGGCTATTCTTAGATGTTCTGGATATTGATCCTATGTAAATTATGTGTGATATAAATAAGTTTAGATTGTGGCTTTTTTTCCTTTAGAGTGTGTTTTGATTAAAGTTTCTAATTTTAATGTGGTCAAATTTATTCATCTTCTCTTAACATTTTTGTTTTTAAAATGTGTATGTGTGTCTTTTTAATAAATATTTTTCTACCTTGAAGTCATACAAATATTTCTTTCACATTTTCATTTAAAAGTTTTACAGTTTTGCCTTCAATACGTCGGTACTTAGTTCATCTGGAATTTATTATGATGTATATATATCCACTAATCCAGTGTCATAAATTCAAACTTATTGAATTATACATCCTTTACCCACTGGTCTTTAATGACCATTCTTCACATACAAGGGGTCCTGACACTCTTTCCATTCTATTCTATTGGCCCAGTTGTCTACTCCCTCTCTCACCAATAATAGCACATGGTCTTAAATCCAGTGGTGTATATAATATCTTCTCATGTAGTCAGGAAATTCCCCAACTTCCTCTTTATTTTCAATGGTATTTTGGCTCTTCTTGAACTTGTGTTCCTTCGTTTCATTTTAATATCATTGTGTCCAATTCTATAAAACATTTTGTTGAAATTTTTCTAGAAATAGCATGAAACTATAGATCACATTGGGGAAAACTGGCATTTTAATGATATTGATGCTTCCTAACCATGAATGTATCTCTCCATCTGTGCAGTACTTCTTCAACTTCTTTTAATGATTTTAATTTTCCCCACTAAGATCTTGCATGCCTTTCCTTTTTGAGAATTTATTCCTGATTACAGTGGACCCTTCAACAATGCGAGGGTTAGTAGCGCTGACCACCTGTGCAGTCAAAAATCTGCACATAATTTTTGACTCCTCCAAAACTTTACTAATAGCCTACTGTTGATCAGAAGTCTTACCAATAACATAAAGTTATTTAACATATATTTTATATTTTTATGTGTTATATACTGTACTCTTACAGTAAAGTAAGCTAGAGAAAAGAAAATGTTGGCCAGGTGCGGTGGCCCATGGCTGTAATTCCAGCAGTTTGGGAGGCTGAGGCAGAAGTGCTTGAGACAAGGAGTTGGAGACCAGCCTCAGCAACATAGCGAGACCCCATCTCTACAAAAAATTAAAAATTTAGCCAGGTAGGGTGGCGTGCACCTGTAGTCCCAGCTACTTGGGAGGCTGAGGTGGAGAATCGCTTGAGCCCAGGAGGTTGAAGCTACAGTGAGCCATGATAACACTGCACTCTAGCCTGGGCAACAGAGCAAGACCTTGTCTCAGAAAAGCAAAGAAAATGTTATTTAAAAAATCATAAAGAAGAGAAAATATATTTACTATTCATTAAGTGGAAGTGGAGCATCATAAAGGTCTTCATCCTCATGTCTTCATGGTGAATATGCTAAGAAGGAGGAAGGGGAGGAGAGGTTGGTCTCGCTGTCTCAAGGGTGGCAAAGGCAGAAGAAAATCATATATAAGTAGACCTGCACAGTTCAAGCCCATGTTGTTCAAAGGTCAACTGTACTGTAAGTTTGTTATATAAACCAGTTAATCACATTTCTACTTTTTTGTTTTTATAGAAAATGCAATAGATTTGTTTATATATTTAGCCAACCACTGTGCCAAACTCTTAATTCTTATGTTTTAGATTATTTTTCTCTGTAGACAATTGTATCATCTATGAATAATGAAAGTTTGCTTTATTTCATTCCTATCCTTCCAACTTTTTTTTTGGTCTGTTGTTAAAAGCCCCCCTATCCCATGCCTAAGTAATAAGTAATCTCAATATTACATTCCATCTCATATAATAAAATTTGACTTCCTAAAAGGGCTTGCTTCTTTTTAATTCAATGTCAATGCTGGAATTTCAGTTCTTAGCCTTGAAACCCTGGTGAAAAAATTCTCAGCAAGGTAAGAAGGAAAAAAATGTTCTCCCCTGCTCCTGAAGCTGGAGAGAACAATAAATGAAAACTGTTGTCATAAATGGTTATTTCTAACAATTTTTCAAACCCCTAGACTTCAAATATTTTGGACAGGACCTGACAAAATGACCCTTAATCTGTAAAACATCTGTACTTTTGACCACTCATCTTTCTTAATAATTCAGTTCTCTGGTGATAATGTTTGAGCTTAAAATCTCTATCTTCAGAAGGTAACGTGATTTGTGAATTTTCTGTCAAATCAGGAAAGAATCACTGGCATTGCCCTCTTCCCACACATGCATAGGATAAAATAGCTCTACTGGACTTTTTATTAATCAAAGAGCCCGAGAGACAGCTGAATGGCTGAACCAAGCAGAGAGTGGAAACTTGGGGAGGGTAATTCCTTGCTGGGCCTTAAAAGGAGTCCACAAGATAGGAAAAAAACGAAAAAGCCAAATAAGATGAACCTCTATTCAGGCCCCAATGAGAGGCTGCTTGACTCTGATCTTTCGTTAGCTGGCTCAAAATTTTGTTCTTAAAGAATTATTTTTACTCAAAATCAAGAACTGTTAGAAAACAAGAAAAATTATGGAGTTTTGTTGTTGATTTCCACCTCTCTACATATATATATGAAATACATATCTCCTCCCGATACACATGCACACACGCAAAAACATATTTAACTGAAACAACGGTTTCATGAAACTATAGTTACTCTCATTACCTGTGATGCAGGCAAGTATTTTCAATTGTATTTTATTCTATTTCATTCTACTTGGAAAAAAAGTCTTTTGGTCTCAACATAAATGGGTTCTGACCTGCAGTTTCAAGCCAATACGTTACAGTAAGAGTAAATGTAGGGTTTCTCCCAGTTTTATCTGGCAGTCCCAAAGTCAGGATCAGAGTAACCGATGGAGCATCATTTGTACGCTCCACGTCTGAGGAGGAGGTCTGGGAAAAGATCCAACGTGTAGGACTGGCGCAGAGGCTCAGGCCTGTAATCCCAGCACTTTAAGAGGTGGAGGCGGGAGGATAACTTGAGGTCAACAGTTCGAGACAAGCCTGGCAAACATGGTGAAACCCCGTCTCTACTAAAAATACAGAAATTATCCAGGCGTGGTGGTGCGCACCTGTAGATCCAGCTCCTCGGGAGGCTGAGGCACGAAAATCGCTTGAACGCGGGAGGCGGAGGTTGCAGTGAGACAAGATCACACCACTGCACTCCAGCCTGGGCGACAGAGCGAGACCCTGTCTCAAATAAAAAAAATAATAATAATAATCCAATGTGTCCCTAGTCTGGCTTTCAGGGTCTTAGATGAGGTTCGGAAGTGGACTTAGGAGCCTTAGGAGCGCAGCCAGTGCTGTGGATTCCCACATCCACGGGACCTGCGGTTTCGGGTTATTCCATTCAGGGATACATGACGTCCCTCATTTCTACCTACCAGTGGGCTGGTCAAGATTCTCATTTATCAAGTCAGTTGGAGTGGGCTTAAGTAAGTTCTCAGCCAAGGCTGTGGGGTCTGGAGGACCAGATATCCCGACCAAAAGCCCCCCCTCCCATTCCTTTCACACGCCTGCCGCAGAGGTGCACGGGTGCGAGTGGGGAACTGAGGCAAGAAGCAGATGGGGCGGCACCGAGAGAAGAGAAACTACGCTAGAGGAAAAGCTCGAGCTGTTACCCCTCCCAACTTCTTCCGCCTTCCGCCTTCCCCCTTCCCCCTCTTTCCCCTCTTGCCCCTCTCCAGCTTTTCTGGTCCAACCCTCTTCTGCGCCTAACACTGGCACCTCCTTTTCTTCCGGCTGATGAATAATTGTCCGCAAACCAGCCTCTCTGGGGCACTGAGGGGCGGGAAGGTTAGAAGGAGCCAGGGCTAGAGTCCTGGAAGGTGGCAGTCAGGTCGCAGGGCCACAGCAGTCACTCTGCGACTCTCTCTTCCGGTGTTTCTCCAGCGCCAAGCGGGAGAAGACGGAGCCTGGGAGCTGGGACTGGAGGAGCGGGAAGCGCAGTATCGGGACCACGGCTCTGGGACCAGGAAAAACGCAGACTCTCCAGAGTCAATGTCTACTTCAGCCAGCTCAAGGGCGCGACAACCTGGCGCCGAGCATCTCAGGCCGCCGCGGGGACCCCCCCTAAGGGACTCGGGAACACCTGCCTACCCTAGAAGAGGCGGAGA
Source organism: Homo sapiens (assembly GCF_000001405.40). Classification (NCBI taxonomy): domain Eukaryota; kingdom Metazoa; phylum Chordata; class Mammalia; order Primates; family Hominidae; genus Homo; species Homo sapiens. The sequence continues at coordinate 32,894,631 of NC_000006.12, forward strand.
ATAACCCCGTAGGGAGTTAAGCGGCCTCTGCCTACAGCGTTCCTCCCGCCTCCACGGCGCCGAGCCCTGATTGACGTTCAGCCAGGCCAATCATAGCCTGTGTCTGAGGCGCGCGGAGCTGGAGCGCCCAGGGCATGTCCGCCGATCCCAAGGAGGCAATCTGTCAGGCGCCGCCCGGGCGGCAGTATGCCTGAGGGGGTCCTCCGTGTTCGCGCCTCCCGCCGCCTGCACTGAAAGGTCTGTACCTGAGCCTGGATACTTGAACAGAGGCAGACACTGCGGCTCAAAACCCCAAGGGTAGGTACCTATTGTGCGGAGTCTCGGAACGCCTGCCTGGAAGAAGAGTTCCGGCGGCTCCCCGAACGCTTGGAGAAAGCGCTTGGATGCAGTTGCAGGGTGAGATTTGAGACGGTGATTGTGTTTTCCAGCAGGCGCTCAGGCGGGGTGGTGAAGGAGGGATACAGACCTCTAAAGATTCCTCTCTCGTTGGGGTGAGGTGGGGAACAGCAGTGACAGTAGTTCTCATCCCTGAGCCTCCTCCGGGCCGGCCCGTGGAGGAGAGAGAAGGGGAGGGAGAAGGGTTTGCCCAGGCCTTCAGACACTTTACTTTGTGGGAGATGTATGTGCTGAGTGTCCCTGCTCTGGAGGGATTGTTAAAGAATCCAGGTTCTTGGGGAGTGTCTCAGGAGAACACTCCAGGTGATATCCTTATTCTTCCTATTTTCACCGTGTTGGTTTTTTTTTGGATATAACTTGTTCCCTTTAACCCGAGGTGGCCTTGGTGTCTGGCAGCTGTTTTCTCTGCCAGGCACCACCCTCTGGGCCTCACGTCTTCATCCCTCAAGTCCGCTGCCTCTGAGCTGCTACTTAGATCTGGTCTGTTTCTACCTCTGCTGGACCAGAAGTTTGCATTAACGCCCCCACCCCATCCTGCAAGACCGGCGCTTCCAACCAAGGGCTCTCTCCTCTGAACCTAGAACCTGCTTGGAAATCGAGTATTTCCTCTATGCCCAGGTGGAGATTGATGTTTGGGTTTCACATCTCCCAACTCTGTTGGGTACTATGTCGTTTCTCAGCTTGGTTGTATGTGCCTCCATTGAGTGGACCGTATCTCCAGAATTTCTCCTAACCCTCCCAGTGTACTCCCCTGCAATCCTTTCTTTTTTTCTCCAAATCCCCCACCCCCCACCAGAAATGACTTTACCCCTGTGCCACTTATTTTGGCCTGGAGCACTAAGGAGCCATACTACACCCAATGCCAGAGGTGGAACAGAAATGAGGTTTGAAATGGGAACCAGAAGCTAATCTGTGGGAAATTCTTTTACTCCTCAGACGTGTAAAGATGTGTTGGAGACTCTCGTAAATATGTATTCAGTAATGCAGCATATACAGTGATCACCATGTATTCATTTTTTATGGGAATCAACAATTCAGAATGATCAAAAATCCCTGTGTGTAGAGACATGAATCTATAGGAATATCACACATAGTGAGCACAACTGTGAGTGAAATCCCATGTTTCATGCATCCCAGCAGTCCCAAAGGGAGCCTCCAAATGTGTACGGGATTCAGACTCCATGTAACCTGCATCTGTCTATGCACTAGCTATGTGAGCTGTTACCTCAGTCTTGATGAGGTTACTCAGGAAGTCTGGGATCTTGATTTTTGCCGGTCACTGATCACCTGGCTACAGGAAAGGAGACCTAAATCCAGAACTTAAATTTATGAACACCAGGTCTGTAGGCACTAGACCTCAGAAGTAGGTGAGTAGGTGGCTATTGGTTGGTCCCTTCTGGAGTGAGGCAGAGATACCTATGCCATATGCAACATAAAAGGTTGCCTGAGCCCCTCAGCCTGAGGTAGAGTAAGGAGGGAGAGGTGGAGAGGGACTTTCTTCTCAGACCAGGGAAATCAGAAGCCATCAGATGCCTTCAGTAGGGAATCCAGCACAAAGAGGATCATAAGTCATCTCCCCACTTCTCTATAGTCATCATAGACGTAATTGCTAACCTACCCTTCCTTGGTGCTCTGGTTAGTAGAGTGAAGTTGAGATAATATAAATGAAAAAACTGAGCAGAAAGGGAGTGAGGATACGGGGCCTCTTCAGTTTGCCTTATGGGCTTCCCACTCTAAATAGATGAGGTACACAACATTCTGGCAGTATCACACTAGGGCCAGAGTTGGTAGCTCACAGATGTACGATAGAGGATGGAAGGAGTATGCCTCTCAGGCAGGCAAGTTTAGCCTGGTAGACAGAGGATGTGGCTTAAAAGTCACTGCCTACAAGACCAGTGCATGCAAGTGAGTCCCTGCTGCTGCTTGGATCAGAGGAGGTGAGGCAGAAGGCTGATGAAAACCCACCAACTGATGGTCAGTCCGAGAAGCAGTCAAGATGGAGAACTGCAAAATTAACAGCTTAAGTTTTCCAGGAGTCTCAGTGCCCAATGTCAGGTCTACCAGGGATGTCCAGCCCCTCTGGTCAGAGCCCCAGGAGCCTTGTCTGAATGTGGATCCCCTCTGCTTATTCAAAGAGACCTGGGAAGCTGAGCCAGGAACCTGGATAATGACCAGAAAGTCACCCAGACACCTGAGAAATGCCTCCCTTATATCCAAGAGATCCCTGTGTGTAGAACACATGAATCTATTGGAATATCACACACAGTGAGCAGACTCTTCTTACACTTACTAAACTCTCTTCGTAGATTTACTAAATTTTTCACCAGTGACTCAATGGAGCGAAACCAGGTCCCAGACTCGATTTAAAAAAAAAAACCACACACACACACACACAAAAAGTTCTTTAGGTGAGCATGTATGCATGTGTAAATGGTACTATACAATGGTATGATTGGATAGTCAAAGGAATATCTAACCCAAGTGTACATAAGGAGTAAATTTGGAGTCAGAGGAAGTTGGTCATTGTAGGAAAGTAACTGCTGCAAGAAAGATTTCTTAGAATGTAACTGTCTAATATGAGGCATTTATGCCTCTTTTCCTCCATGTTTCTAGTTTCTGCCTTGGGTTTGGCATTTATTGTTTATCCTGCTTCAAGTATAAGACTAGTGGTTTATTCGAGGGCCCACAACTTCCACTTCTACCCTGGCGTCACACAGATCATTTTCTCTTCTCAAGTCATTGTATTTTCACTGGTAGTAAAAGAGGATAATATCTTCATCTTCAAATAAATTAGTGGGAGGGATTCAAATTATGAGGGAAAAGAAAAATTGGTTCTTCTGCTGTAGGGAAGGGTTACTGAAAATTAAAGGACAACCTACTGAGCTGAAGAGAGCTTTGGGGTTTGGTAATTTGGGGTGTGAGGTGGATCTTCAGGAATGCCATGGGCTTCAAGACTAGTGTGTCTCTCCCTTAGTATGTTCCTCCTCAGTTTGAAAGGACTTCCTGGTAAAGGACTGAAAGAAATGTCCACTCCATCATGTCTCTGCTGACACCTAGCTTCTCTTCTCCAGTTATAAGTCCATTTTCCTACTGGGGTAACACAAGAAGGAGGAAGAATAGCTCAGGGGTCTTCCCTTCACATCTCTCCTACAAGGATTGTGAAATGTCATATGCCTCCTCCCATAGACTTAGATAGACCTAAAATTGTCAACATGTGTCCAGATAGTTGCAAAAAATATATAATTTCCAACATATTCTCCATATTAACACTTTAAAATAAAACTGTTAATCACTCATATGTTCAATTCAATCTAAATATCATAATGTTTTGACACCCATTATCATTAATTTAAAAAATATACAAACAACCTCTTTCTTAATGGTTGGAAATTTTACATTGCTCTTTTTTCCCACTTTGAATTCATATTTTTATTCTACCCCCCATGTAGAATTTTTCTTTTTCTTTTTTTTTTTTTTTTTGAGTTCTCAACCCTGGTTACATCCTAATGTAATTTTTTTCTTTGTTCTTGGAAATCTTTTATTGAGCCACCTATTCTGCTTCTTTGCAACAAAATATGTTCTTACATTGAATTTTTAATTTCTTGTTGTAAGTGTAAAAGTTATATGGGCTGGGTGCAGTGGCCCACACCTGTACTCCCAGCACTTTGTGAGGCTGAAGCAGGAGGATTACTTGAGCCCAGGAGTTCAAGACCAGCCTAGGCACATAGGGAAACCTCATCTCTACAAAAAAAAAAAAAATTACTGGACATGGTGGCTCCTGCCTGTAGTCTCAGCTACTTGGGAGGCTGAGGTAGGAGGATCACTTGAGCCCAGGAGGTCGAGGCTGCAGTGAGCCATGATCGTGCCACTGCATGCACTCTACCCTGGATGACAGAGTAAGATGCTGTCTCAAAAAAAAGTTATATGGATTAAGATAGGATTACCAACTGTTAGAGATCAAAATAATGTCAGTACAGATTGGATATGCCTTATTTGAAATGCTTGGGACCAAAAGTGTGTTGGATTTCAGATTATCTTGGATTTTAAAATATTTGTATATACATAATGAGATATCTTGAGGCCGGGACCCAAGTCTAAGCATGAAGTTCACTTATGTTTCTTATATACATTATGCACATAGCCTGAAGGTAATTTTATACCATATTTAAAATAATTTTATATGTGAAATGAAGTTGTGTTAAGTACAGTACTTACATGTGGCATCATATTGGTGCTCAAAAAGTTTCAGATTTTGGAGCATTTCAGATTTTCTGATGAGGGATGCTCAATCTGTAATACACATTTTGGTAAATAAAAGTGTAAGTTTGTAATGGTAAAATTTAACTAGAAATGCATCTCTTAATGAGATGGATAGGGACTTTATTTTCCCAATTTCATGTTGACAAATGTTACTTATTGTTAATGAATCTGGGCTGTATATTATTTCAATTAAAAAATTTTAACATGAAAGAACTAAGGAATCTTGATCATATAAATGAATGAGAAAATAAAGACTTGTTGAGGCAACTTCACCCAATTTTTAAAATTTCTTCTTAGTCGTATGCAAAACTCACATAATGGGCTATTATTAAATAATATTTTTAATAATCTGTCAGCTGACAACTCAAGTATAAGGTTCTTCTTCAATTTTGTTGAAAGCAAAGAATTAGAAACCAATTGACTTGCAAAACTATTTTTATACATACATTAGGTTCTTTCACTTTGTTTTTAGAACTATACCAAAGACTTCACAAAGTCTTATAAAATAACTAATAATTATACCTGCTGCTCTTTCCCTTAGAGATACCTTGTTCATGAATCTCAAATTAGATAAAACTAGGGTTAAAGAAAAACAACCCCCCACACACAAAATTGGAGATCAAAAATCAATAGGTTCTTAAAAAATATCTCTTCATTTTTTATGTCATCTGGAAGTGCCTTTTAAAACTATGACACAGAGATGGTGCTGTATAGTTTACAGTTCATGTGTGTGTGTGTTTAATTTCATTATTGTACAAAATTGTTAATTTTATAATCATGCATTTGATAGATGTAAAACAGTGTGTCAGCCTCCAAGCGGGAGAAATTAATCCAAAATAAATGAAGCTGGATTTCTAAAGTTTAGAGCATCACATCCAAGATTGCATTTGGGAACATTCTGTTTTGTATCCATACACAAATGAATTTCTGTTTTTAAGAACACAATTTAATCTACTTAGTGGAAATCAACAGCAAAATGAAGAGAAGGTATTAGATAATTAATAAATATAGGTTTACAGAAATTCTATTACTGACTGCTATTATGTGCATTAATTACAGCAGAATCCACAAAACATTTCCATCAAATTAAATCTTACTCTAGGAGGTATATGATAAAAATAAATAAATGAACAGAGAAATAACAGCATACTATAAACTGTTACCCAAATAGAAAAATATATTTACACTATCCAGAAATCTTTGGTAAAAGTTAATGAAAATATTTCCCCTATTAGTTAGAAGAAGTTCAAGAAAACATACATTAAAATACCTTCAATATGTGTTTGTTTTACTCCAAGATGTGATGTTGATCTGTGAGAAATTAATTTTGAGCGTTTTGCCTCCACTGCCTTGAAATAATGCAAAATAAGCAACTGAGCTGGGGGCAGTGGCTCATCCCTATAATCCCAGTGCTTTGGGAGGCCAAGGAGGGAGGATCGCTGGAGCCTGGGTGACAGAATAAGACTCTCTCTCTCTCTCTGTGTATATATATATATATTTGCAACTGAAGCACAGATGGGACACAGGTAAGTGGGAGAACTCACCAAGCTCTTTGTTAGTATTTAGAGTGTTTCATAGAAAGTTAATATTTCTTAACTTTTTTTTTTTTTTTTTTTTTTTTTTACAAATTTAGAATATCCTAGCTCTGAGACAAAAATTGGGAACCTCAGCATGAGTTTGTCACCTGAATGAAATAAAAAAAATCACGTTGAAGGCTGGTGCAGTAACATGTGCCTGTAGTCCCAGCTACTCTGGAGGCTGAGTCAGGAGGATCACTTGAGACCAGAAGTTCAGGAATTCAAGACTGGCTTGAGCAACATAGCAAGACTTCATTTCAAAACAAACAGAAAAAAGCCACCACCTTCAGTATTTCTTGCCAAAGCAAAGGAGCCATTTGTTCTTTACGATGGTCAGGAAAGGAAGCATCAAGGTCATCAAATGAAAAATTTTCAGCATTTCAGCCTCTCTGCTCAGGGAAATATCTGAATCTAGAATATCACAACATGAGCCAAAACCGCCCCATTTCTCATGCCACATGTCACTCTTAACACAAGGTTACTCAACCTCGAGCATGGTTGGCATTTGGGGCTGAATAATTCTTTTTTGTAGGGGGCTGTCCTGGGCATTGTAGGATGCTCATGAGCTACCTCAGTCTCTACCACCCACTAGATGCCAGTAGCATTGACCCCTGATCTCTCTACCCAAGTTGTGACAACTAAAACCATCTCTGGATAATGGAGGAACCTTAAATGCATATTGCTAAGGAAAAGCCAATCTGAAAGGATTACATATTGTATGAGTCCAACTATATGGTAATCTGGAAAAGGCAAAACCATGGAGACAGTGAAAAGGTAGTGGTTACCAGTGGTCCATGGGAAGGGTTGGATGAATAGGTGGAGCACAGAGGATTTTTAAGGCAGTGAAACTATTCTGAATGATACTGTAATGGTGGATACATGTCATACCTTTGTCAAAACCAATAAAATATAACAACCAATAAAACTGCACAAAGAGTGAACCCTAATGTAAACTATGGACTTAATAATGTATCAATATTGGCTCACCAATTTTAACAAATGTACCACACTAATGCAAGATGTTACTAATAGTGGAAACTGGAGGGAAGAGGGCTTGAGGGGACATACGGGAACTCTCTGTAATTCCTGTTCAGTTTTTCTGTAACTGTTAAACTGTCCAAAAAAAGTCTGTTTTTATAAATGGAGGCATGGTTTTATATGGACTAAAATACTATGATTGCCTTTTTATTTTACACATGGTGAAATTAGAGCAGGACATATTTTAAACTCAAAATTCACAAAATTAATTTATGAAAATGTTTACCCAGATCAAGAATATTAAAGAAACTTAGATTAATATTGTTACCTTGAATTTATTTTACTGAGTAATCCTCTAAGACTCCTCTACACATTATTAATCTAGAAGGATTTTTAAAGTCTTTATGACAATTAATTATTGGTCTACAGTCAAATTGCGTATCCCCATTAACTAGAGTTATATTTTTCCATTTTCTGATCCAAAAACTTTAGGAACAGGAAATGTTTATTTTAGAAAACAAGAACACTTCTTAAGCATTTGCTGTTAACAGTTATTTTCACATGTGCTTGTACTTATTTTACACTTGTCAGAACATAGTATTTACCTTTGAACCAAGGTTTTATAATAAGCAAGCACTTTTTTTATTTAGAAGTCACATTTTCCAAGTAGAAAAATCATTAAAAATTCAGTCCTCTGAAGGCTAATTTCTTTAAATCATTTAACCTAATTGTTTAAGGTATAGATTGGAATTTTTCTCAGCACTCTCTTGAAAACAGGTGACAGTGGAACCCTGTTAGGTTCACAAATCCTAGACTTTGATTATATAGCCCAGGCTCAAATTTTTCTCGAATGTTACGAACATTCAAAGCATTAGGAGTCTTGGTTTCATTTCTTAATTTTTTTTCTTCTGGGTATATTTGAGACTCATCTTGGATTCAAATAAATTAATAATAGTCTCATGAAACCGATAAAAATGGGAGCTCCATTGAACATGAGAGACATTGATTCGTAGTTTCTAACATCCTCCAAATGAGGAGCCCATCCCTAATTTAGATGCTTCTTTCAAAGGAGGCTCCTTTCCTTCGTTATCCATAATATAGTCACACCAGTCCTGAAAAAACATGGAACAGACTCCAGATCTTTATATTTCATACTCTAAAGTCGTACAAGCCAATCTGCATTTCCTCTAGTGGAAACTGTATAGCTGGTCATCTTTCCAGGACCCTTTTATCAAGAAACAATGCAGCTTCTACATTTGTGCTGCTTCTACACCAAAACAGCTGGAATGTATATAGTATGGTTCTGGATGCTCTTGTATACCTCACTCTTCATTTCTCACCTAACCCATGTGCTATGATTTGAATGTTTCTCCCCTGCAAAACTCATGTTGAAATGTAATTGCCATGATAACAGTATTAATAGGTGGAATATTTAAGAGGTGATTAGGGTGGGATTGGTGATGTTATAAAAGGGTAAGTTCAGCCCCTTCTTGCTCTCTCTGTCACCCTTCCACCTTCCTCTGTGTGATGATGCAACAAAAAAGCCCTTCCCAGATGCCAGCATCTTGATTTTGGACTTCTCAGCCTACAGAACTATAAGCCAATAAATTTCTGTTATTTGTTATTAGTCTGTGATATTCTGTTACAGTAGCACAAAATGGACTATGACACCATGTGTTTACACAGAAAGAAAAAAATATCATACGGTAATTGCTCCTAAATATGCAGAGAATATGTTCTGATATCCTTAGTGGATGCCTGAAACTGCAGATAGTACCAAACCTTATATATACTATGTTTTTTTTCCCATACATATGCATGTTAAAGTTTATAAGTTAGGCAGAGTAAGATATGAACAATAACTAATAATGAAATAGAAACGTAACGATGTGCTGTAATAAAAGTTATGTGACTGACGCCTCTTTTTCTTCCTCTTTCTTTCAAAATATCTTAATATTTTCAAGCCATGGATAACTGAAACTGCAGAAAGTGAAACTGTAGATAAACTATTAACTCTATTTAAACAATAAAAGAATTATAATTATATTCTTGGGAAAATTAACAATTATCCAAAGTCCCTTTGCAAAGGGAAAAAAAATGCATGTATTGGAAAAAATCTCAACCACAGGGTTCCCTAAGCTTTGCAAACAACAAATAGCATCCACCTATCCATCCTCAGAGAGCAACAGTTTTACTGTTATTTAGAAAAAGCAACTATTTCAGGCTGCAGGTTGTGCACATCAGCACTTCCCAGCTCTCTACTAATATGGGAAAACTGACTATCCCTGACTTCAGTTTTTGTGAAGCTAAATGCCTGACTAGAGTTTAAACTGAGGCTAATTGGAGATCATAAAATTTTACAGCTTGCTAGAGGTGGACCACAATTTTGATTGGAAACTTTCCACCAACCAATTCTAAAAGGTGTTAATGGTGACTATTTTCTAAAACAAATCTGAAGAGTAACTAATATGATAAGACCAGAAATATATTTCTCTGGCAAGTCCCTATAAAAAGAAAGCTAGGTAATTAAATAATCTCTCAACAATATTGTTTTAGGAAACCCAATAGAGAGTTTCACAGGCCTGTTTCTTATGGGATTGCTCAATGTAGGTAAATATTATCAAACCAAAAAGTAATTTTGTAACAGAAATTCTACAGAGCCCCAATACCTTACAGAATGATGAGTACAACAGTAGAAACAAATAGAAGATAACCTAGAAAAATAAAGCGAATAACTTAATGGCGTGAGTTAGGTTAAGAAAAGCTTCCTGGAAAAAGACATCTGAATAGAATTTTAGTAGATATAGCTAGGAATTCCCAAGCAGGTAGAAGAAGGGGGACATTCCAGGCAAAGGAATCATGTGAATGCAAAGGTAGGGAGTCATGAATCAATATGTTCGGTTTTTTTGTTGTTTTTGTTTTATAAAGAGCTATAATAGGCTGGGCACAGTGGCTGTAATCCCAGCACTTTGGGAGGCTGAAGCAGGTGGATCACTTGAGCCCAGGAGTTCGAGACCAGCCTGGGCAACATGGCAAAACACTGTCTCTACAAAAACAAAAAAAATTATCCCTGTTCAGTGGTGTGCGCCTGTGGTCCCGGCTACCTGGGAGGCTGAGGCGAGAGGAGTGCTCAAGGTGGGAGGTGGAGATTACAGTGAGCAGAGATCACACCACTGCACTCCAGCCTGAGCGACAGAGAGACTCTGTCTAAAAAAAAAAAAAAAAAGCTATAATAAGATCAGCTTACTAGACAATACAGTGAAATGGGGGAAGCTAGAGAAGAGAGGTGGGCAGTGGCCTCTTATGCTACGTAAGAGATTTGACATCATAAAGTAAGTTGCCAGAGTTCTGAATGAGGGCATTAGAAATAGTAATGAACAGGAAAGCATACACTTAAGAGCTGTCTGCTGTCTGGGAGGTGGAATTTACACTGAGTACTGAGTAATAGAATGAAGGGGTTGAGGGAAAGGTAAGAATCTAGGGTGAGTGTAAATCTTCTGGTTCAGGGGATAAACAACAGGAAGTCATTGAAATCTATTGGCCTATCCGCATTTTGAAATTATTTTTACTCATGTAAGATTCTGTAACATTATATGGTCATTAGGAAATATCTGTTTACTGAATTATGGAGGTATTCGAAATGTTCAAACATTTCATGCAATATCAAAAACTCAAACTGGCTGCAGTGGCTTATGCCTGTAATCCCAGCACATTGGGAGACCAAGGCAGGAGTACTGTCTGAGCCCAGGAGTTCAAGACCAGCCTGGGCAACATGGCAAGACCCCATCTCTACAAAATTTTTTTAAATTTGCCAAGAGTGGAGTGCACATCTGTGGTCTCAGCTACTTGGAAAGCTGAGGCAGGAGGATCACTTGAGCCCATAAGGTTGAGAGCTGCATTCAGTGAGCCCTGTTCATGCCACTGCAATCCAGCCTTAACAACAGAGCAAGACCCTGTCTCAAAAAAATATTATATTCATTAATGTTGCTGCTGATATCAGAAAAAATTCTAAGTATCCCACAGTAGCAGATACAAGCTTTTCAAAATTCCAACTTCTACTTTTAAAAGCTTAAATTTTAGCACTGGCAACAAATACAACTAGTTGTTTTCCCTAAAGTGATAGTATCACTGTTTATTTTCAAGAAAATGTCTGCCAAATTCCCAAGTCTGAATAATCAATTTTCTGTCACTTTTTTTTTCCAAGTGAAAAGATGGTGTTTCCATGAAAGAAAAGAAAAAGTGGCTAATTCAGCTTGCAACTCAAACAAGTGTTTTTCCAAAAGACAACTATATTTCAGCATGCAGTAGAAGTGTTTTATGGGTACATCACATTGTGTCACAAAGAATTTTTTTAAATGTGCTTAAGGGTTGAGATTTAGTAGAAAATAATTTTTACAACTTCATCAAGGACATTATTTTAGTAAAACTGTTTTTTTTTTACTACGAATGTGTGGTGGTGAAGAATACAATGACTACTAATAAAATTTGGTGCCATTGCCTTAATTCGTGCTAAGACACCAGTCATTTTACCCACCATTGGATAAAATCCACCATTTTTGCACCATCAGTGCAAATGTTAACACAGTTAACACAGTTGTTGAGGATAAACCACCAGATTCAAAAAAGTCATATAACACTTTTAATGTTTCAGAACCCCTGTTGCCCAGAATTCACATAAAAGAAGATCATCAATGGTCAATTGATGCTGATACCTGATGAATGAAAGCAAAACAGGATGTATAGCCATCTGTAGATCAGTCCCTTTGTAAGGCTAAGGTACAATTCTTTAGATGATATATTAACTCAGTCTTTATGTTTGCAGTTAAATCTTTAATTTGACAAGTTATTGCATCATTGGAAAATGCCAGCACTATGCATTCTTGTGGTGATTTTTCATCCAGCAGGTATTCAGCAATGTCAACTGTTCAAGCCTTTATTAGTCTCTCTGTGATTGTGTGTGCTCCTCTAGCCAATACAATATGATGGCTTATCCTGTAAGAAGCTTTTAAAGAGTGTATTACATCTACATTTCGGTTATTTAATTCCTTTTTTTAATAAATTCTGAATGATTGGTCCCAAAATGATACTGCAACTTTGTTGGAACCATATAAGTGTTTGAAAATGTTTTACTGCACAAGACACAATATGATAAATTATTAACATCTATAAAGCTGAACAAAAGATCACTTTCAACATATTTTTGTTGTGTATAGTTGTGCTCAGTTTCTTTGGAATAGATTTCTCCTTTTTATGAGGAATCAGATAACTTGCTGATATGTCAATGTCATCCTTTTCAGCATCTCTAGACATAGGCAATCTAGACACCAGAAAATGTGTTTTCTCTTCTCCCTTTTTAAAGCCAACCATCCACCCTATTCAGATAAAATTTTTTAATTAAAAACATTTTTGAAAAATATATTATTGCAAAACAACAAAGTAAACATAATTTTTGTTATGTTTCTGTGTAAAAGGAAAAACTTTAGGATTTAAAAATGATTTCTTGGAAGATAATGAGATTACAGAGATTATAACAGGTATAACTGAAGATAGCTGGTAAGAGCATGGTAGAAAAGAAATAATTTCTGAAAACTACATACTTATACCGTAAACTCACTACCTTTGAAAACTCTAGAAAATACAATACACAGGCACACAATCTGTTAGGTATCAGAGAAATAGTCATCACTATTCATCACATGCCATTGTTGTCTTTGGCGAACCCTTCTGTACACTTATGAGAGTGAGAGTAAAAAAAAGGCAAATAACATCTTAATTTTATGAATATTTTTGACCTTGTTGACCCTCTAAAAGGATCCAAGGGATCTCTCCCTCCCAACATCCCCAGGAATCCTCTGATCACATTTTGAGAACTGTTGGATAAGTCAGTTAATATTGCAGGAACATAGGCTATCACCATGGGGAATAAATGAAACCAGATCTCTACCTCACACCATTACAAAAATAAATTTTAAATGAAATAAAAGGCTAAATGTGAAAAGGTAAAGGTTTAAAGCTTTGGGGGGGAAATGTAGAATAACTTTATTATCTCAAGGTAGATAGCCTAACAATACCACGTGCTGAAGCAGAAATGTGAAGAAATGGGAATTTGCATAGAATCTTGGTGGAAGGGTTAGTTTTCCCACTTATTTCAACTACTTATTTCACATATGCAGTGTTGTACAAATTTAAAGAGACAAGAATCCTACAGACAAGCAATTCTATGTTTATATGCCCTAGAGACCTGAAGACATTCTCAAATACAAAAACAAAGAAGTATGCATAAGGATGTTCATTGCAGGTTTGCTTATAATTGGTGGAAAGTCAGGGGATGCCCATCAGTGCATAAAAAAGTAAATAAAATTGTGTTGCCTTTCTACAATAAATTGTGCAACCATTAAAATAAACTAAATGTCCATATTTCACAAGGACAATTCTCACAACATAATAACAAATGATATGCACTAACTTTAAACTAGTAATTGCATCTGGTGAGGGAAAAGAAAGGTGGACCTGAAGTCAGGTGCAAACAGCACAACTGTATTTGAGTAGTGGTTGCATGACTGTTGTTCCATGTATTTTCTGTATGTTACAAATATTTACTATTAATTATAACAACATAAGATGTACTCTAACTCCTTCATGCTGCTAATTATAGAATATCTACTTTGTTGACTAAACCCTTTAGCATATATATATATATATATATATATATAGCCTATTTCTGTTAATGGTTCTTTGGATAAATAACAGTTGACTTTGTTCCTCTGCTTGGTATTTTAAAAAACCTATTAGTTTACAAATCTCTTACTAATTTTAGTTTTAATATTTGTATTGTTAAGTATTTTAAACACACAGAAAGGCAAATAAACCCCCATTACCCAAACACCCAGCTTTATTAAATCTTAGTATTTTGTCCTATTTGTTTCAATGGTTTTTTTAATAAATCAGTGACTACAATAAAATTGATACCTCTGAATCCTTCCATTTTCTTTTCACTGCCCCCAGATATAACCACCAATGTGAAGTCAGTTTTATCATTGCTATGCATGTTTTTAATATTTTTACTAAATGTTTATGAATTCTTAAACATTATGAAGCATTATGTTATAGAGTTTTTAAGTTTTATAAAATATTATCTAATACTGTTACTTTAAGAAAACCTGCAGTAACCCCTTCTGAAAAAGATTAATCACACGTAATTTGTTACATATTAAAATAACTGCTCCTAAATAGTGATGTGGCCTTGGGCAAGCTCTTTCAAGTTTCTGTGAGCTCCAGCTTTTCCTTATCTGTGTGGTAAAAGAATATGAGACTATGTCTGCGCTCTCTTTCAGATTATAAGTCTCTATAAATTATTCAACTCAAATGTCCCCATGGGTTTACTTAAAGGATAGTTTTGTCCACTTATGAACAACTGTGTTTCATCAAAATCAGAATTTACTGAATGTTCATTCATTTTAACTTTTTTAAGTGGTTTGTCACAGAATTCCTTTCAATGCTGAGATTTTCAAATATATTGCAACCATCGAGAGGACATTCTTGAATATTCACTATAAGCCTGATGCTATGCGAGGTGCCAGAGATACAAGAGGGAACTTGACAGGTACAGTCTGTCTCCCACAAAGCTTATGGCTGAGTTTTTAAAATGTAATTCAAGCTTTTCAGGAATACAGTCAATCCATAAAGCAATAGGGAGAAACATTTCCAATATCAAGAGGCACTGATGAATGAATGTGTGAATAACTAAATTTTGTAACTTTTTTTGTAGACATAAAAATAAGCATTCACTGTGTCATCCTTAAATAAAATCATTGGCAGAGTGTAGCCTATAAATGTCTGGAAATACCTCACCAAAGGCTAGAAGACATTTTGCCAGAAGGAAGTAATGTTTACATTTCTATATTTTGTTTCTTTTTCCTCTACATATGCATTTTGTCCTATGTCTATGTCTCCTTCTTAATAGGCTTTGACATGAACCCAAAGCAAATGTTTCCTATTATTTTATCTATTTATTGAATATACATTGTTTTCTGAATGCTATTCCTTTCATTTACCAGTTCTAGTAGTCTGGGTTTGCTCTTATTTCTCTTTACTCTAAAATGGTTTTTTTAATCTGTAACACAGAACTTAGTGCTTGGTTATATATAGGTAGGCATTGTTTTCTAAAAACACTGGTTTACAAAATGGAATGTGCACACTACAGGGAATGTGCAAATGATCCTTGAGGATACAGGAAGGAAGTGTTAAAGTTTCTATTTATTTTGGTAACTTATAAACTTTCTATTTGTTACAGTGTGAGTTCTGGTGTATATAGTCAAGCCATATGCTAGTACATGGGATAATGTATAAATAAACATGTAAGTGTCGATAAGTACTCAACTCTTTTTTACTGAGAGGGCTTTAGGCTTTTTTTTTTTTTAAGTTTCAATACCACAGTTCAAATGTGTGTGTTGGTCTTATCTATGTAATTGTTTTGTGTGCTCTTTCAGGGAGTGGTGGTGTCTTGTGTCTCTTACTCTGTCCAAAGGACCTTGTATGTATAAATGCGAATAAATATTTATTGAACTCCACTAATAAATGATTCCATTCTTCAGACCATCAAACTAAGGACTACGCTTTGAACATGCTTTGGAAACATTTTCATTAAAGCCAAAATGTCTCAGAAATGTTTAATTAAAAAATAAAATTGGCCGGGCGCAGTGGCTCACGCCTGTAATCCCAGCACTTTGGGAGACCGAGGCTGGCAGATCACAAGGTCAGGAGTTTGGGACCAGCCTGGCCAATATGGTGAAACCCCGTCTCTACTAAAAATACAAAAATTAGCCAGGCATAGTGGCAGGCGCCTGTAGTCCCAGCTACTCGAGAGGCTGAGGCAGGAGAATCGCTTGAACCCAGGAGGTGGAGGTTGCAGTGAGCCGAGATCACACCACTGCACTCCAGCCTGGGAAACAGAGTGAGGCTCTGTCTCAAACAAAATAAATAAATAAAATTAAAAGGGAAGACAAAGATATTTTTCTTTGTACCAGTAGAAGGAAGATTTAATGAAAAATAAACTGCAATAGTAAATTTAGAAGTAATACTGAAAGAGCAACTGGGAAGTCTTAGATGAAGTTGTCACCAGCTTCTTCAAAGCAATGAAATATCCAGTTGTCCCATTTAATTCTCATTTGGTATAATTTTTCATTGATAAGAATAATTCATAATTAACCAGCTTACATATGCTTCTTAAATTTTAGTGTACATAAGAATTGCTAAGAAGTAGGCTTAAATGCAAATTCTCAGGCTCCAGCCCAGGGATCCTAATTCAGCAGTTCTAGAGGTTATTCAGAAATCTGCATTTTCATGAAGTACCCTGGATGATTCTAATGGATGTTGTCTGTAACACAACTTTCAGATAAATGTCCTGTATAAGCATATTCTATCTTGCCATTAGCCATGAGAATTTGATTAAAGAAACAAATCTAAGAACCCAACTACTAGTCTATTACTCCAACCATTCCTTCTTGCCAACTGTGATCAGAAGTATGAAAAAAACAGCCCATGTTCTTCCTTAGAGGAAGACCATATCCCAACTGTGAAATGGTCCAGACATCTTGGAACTGAATATGGATTGTGATCCTGATACCCCCAACCCTCACTGCTCTTCATATACCAGCTGAGCATTTCATAATATTTATTCGATAAACCTTTCCTTGGTCCTGAGCCTCCTTGCTTCCCGACCTACTCCATGTAGCCTGGCTACTCTTATTTCCATGAGGTGGGCTGTCTTCTGGCCCTCCCATCATCCCCAACAGATGTGAACATGAGGGACCTTGGAGCAGGGGTAGATACTCCAGTGCAAAAATAGTGGACACTCACCTCTTCTAAGACCTTTTATCAATCATTCTCTAAACACCTCTCAAACATGTCCTTCCCTTGTATTTCCTCTTTCAGTGGATTAAACCACTGTCCACTCAACTGTCTGAGTGAGAAGATTGGATTCAGTGAGTTTTCAGGTCCTACCAAGTCTATTTCAAAGTGTCATTTCAATGATTTTATTTCCTTTGCTTCTAAATAGTGGCATACATGGATATCAAGTACTGTAGTGGGTTCAAAATTGGAGAAATGGATTTTGAAGTCATCTTTTTGCAGGTACAAGAGAAGCCATATTGAGTCAGTCAGAGAAGAGAAGACAGGAAAAGTAGAATAAAATCTTTAGAATATTCAAAGCATTACACAAATGTAATGTTTTATTATTAACTGTGACTTCATTTTGGTTCCAATTCTGTCCAGAGAAATTTGAATGCTGGAGTTTTGGGAATTTTAAGGCTTTGAGCAAGGAACATTTTATGATCCTCTGCTTACCACTTGTTTATTTACAACAGAATTTCAGCAATGAAGAGAAAGTTATTTTTGTAGGAAAAAAAATCCTACAATGCTTACTTCATACAAATTAGTTGTGCCTTGGGTTCAGATTAACATACACACTCAAAAGACTTGGTGGGCTGTTATACGGCAACTTATTTATTTAGCTTTGTAGAGGAATATTGGATATGGAAACATAGCTTGTCAGCCTGACAGCATTAGACATCTTCATCAGGAGTCTTTATGTATTCTAGATGCTGATTCTTAACCCTCTCATCTCATGGGAATATGCATGGTCATAGTAGACAAGACCACAGGAGTAGGGGAGAGGCACGGGGGAGCCATTCTAGGATGGAAGAATCTCTCACATGACAGGAACCACATCTTATACCAACCCATGAGTGAGGATTCCAAGAAAACAGGCATATTCGGATTCAAGAAACACACCATAACAGAGTCCAGGGCCTACATTTCCCAACAGGTTTTCATACGGGTCTGGTCATATAGGTCCACCAAGTCTAAATGCCTGCCCGCAGTCTGCCCAGCATAGATGTAGTTCACCAACCAGGGGTCATTTCCACACTTATAAATAAATAAATAAATAAATAAATGTGATTTTTTAAAATACAGCTGACATTTCACATTTATCCAAACAGTACATTTCAAAGAAACAGTAAGTATAAGGTAAACTGGAGTTCATCTTCCCATGGGAAAAAAGAGCTTAAAACTGTTGTTAACCCTTTGACCTACCAACAAACATTGCTTACTCCCACTCAAGAGCTCATTCCAGTTAGGACACAACCTGGTGACAGCCCTTCCTGGTAGCAACTACTGAGCATTGCAAGGAGAAGAAATTGGGATGGGTGCCTATAAAGAGAAAAACTCTCTTTTTAACCTTCAAATCTAAAGAAAATCAATCCAACAAGCATTTGCTGCAAACCTAGTGCCAAGCACTGCCACATAGGAAGATGCATCTGCCATCTGTCAAGACAGACTGAGGGAGGAATGGGGGTAGAGACCAATTAGAAAACAGGAAAAAACGAGACCAGCTGGGGACAGCTGCAGCAAAGCACCCTGAGGATACTAAACACCCTCAGTATTTAGCTAGGATGGCCTAAAAGAGCTAATCTGAAAGAATTCATAAATCATATGGATGCTTCTATTATAAATTAGAGGAAAGGCAGATTTATACATCATGAAGCCTATAAGGTAAATATTATCTAGTAGTATGAACATAGCTTCACCACACAGCCTCCTAAAAATCTATGGATACTTTCCTGAAAGTACCCCTGAAGGCATTCCTCCTGGATTCTGTGAAGTAAATTAGCCCTCAAGGTGTACCCAGCAAGGGCTCAATAGAGTGCACAATAAATGCTCAACACACATCTATCTTCCTCCCCTCCCACTATCCAAGCTTCATGCCTACCTCATGAATCTCCAAGTTCCTTTCTCTCCTGTCCCTGGAGCATAGATGAATCAGAATCCCTGCTTGCCACCCCATTGGACACCTTGAAAAGAGACCCTTGGAATGGCTATGACAACACATCAGTCCTGGCTACGAGTGTAAGACCCTGGGCATCAGGAAGCCTCAGGCCATGAGCTATTGAATGTCGCTTGTCACTTTGCCCTTTGAGGACCAGAAATAAAGCTTCCAGTTCCTGTGAAATGGCAAATAGGTAGGTTCAGGCTTCCAGCTCCCTCACCCAAAATTAATTTTTGTAAAGGTAGAGAAGCAAAAGGAAGCAAGGATCTGGGGAGCTGGCAACACCAGAAATAAGTATAAAGTGTTTTTATATTTGCCAGGAGAGACAGAACTGCTGTCTTGAGCTGGTGTGCGTAGAGAATGGGCAGGGCTGCATCCTGGGAGATAAGCCACAGTGGGAGAACAGGCTGCAGGAAGACTTTTTAATTTCTGCACTATGTCCTTCCCAATCGGCTTGGGACAATTGTTGCCTCCCCTTCATACATAAACAGGCTGCAACAGGCCAGGCTACTTGTATCTTCAAGGTAAATCAGTAGGGAACAGATGAAACTAGGGGTGAGCTTTTGGGTATTCTCTTCTCCACTACTCACGACCACTGCCCCAACTCCCAGCGCTGGTGAATCCCAACGTGGAGCACCTGCCTACTCCCAACTGTGCTTTTCCTAGGAGTTGCCTGAAAGAGTAGTGGCAAATGGGGAGATCCACAGTGTTTCTGGGCTCTCTACCAGGGCTGGATCTGGAGGGACACAGACCAGTATTTGACTTTATCTCTTCCCCATTACACATTACCCCACAGACTAGCTGGTGCCCTCCTGGAGACGTGAGCTCACAGATCAACATAATGATATGGCTAAGGAACAAAAAAATTGCAAAACATAGACAACAAATTAACACCATATACTATCTAATGCAGAATTGTGAAGAAGATGAACCAAGAACTTGAAACAAAATGGCAAATATACTTAAGATAATAGAAGATACCAGCAACATAAAGCAAAACCAGTAACTCACAAAAACAAAGACAGAATATTAGATGTTAAAACTATAACAGTAGAAGTTGTAAATACTATAGATTAGACAAGTACCAGGATAAATATAGCTGAAGAATAATTTGTGAGGTAAAAGATAAGATGAAAGATAATCCCAGAAGACAGTAGGAAAGAATAAAGACATCAAAAATATAAAAGAAAGTTCAGCAAAATGTATGCTAGAAATAGAAGTATCAACATCTGAATCATAAGAGAACTCACAGTGAGAGGAAAAAAATATATACGTGAGAAAATAATGACTAATAAATTTACAATTTTTTTTTAATTATGAAAGACCTCAGAGAAAAGGGTTCAAAGGATACTTAACAGGAGCTTCAGAAAAATCCACACCTATGCTCGTTATATTGAGACAAATAAATATTTTTAAAACTTAGAAAGAAGAGTTTATCAACTGGGCACAGTGGCTCACGCCTATAATCCCAGCACTTTGGGACTTTGGGAGGTAGAGGCGGGTGGATCACTTGCGGACAGGAGTTCGAGACCAGCCTGGCCAATATGGTGAAACCCTGTGTCTACTAAAAATACAAAAATTAGCCCCGCCTGGTGGCGTGTGCCTGTAGTCCCAGCTACTCGGGAGGCTGAGGCAAACCCGGGAGGTGGAGGTTCCAGTGGGTGACAGAGTGATACCCTATCAGAAAAAAAAAAAAAAAAAAGAACAGTTTACAAAGGAGTAAGATCAGATTGATGTCAGACTTTTCAACAGCAATGAATGCAAGAATAAAATAAAATAATATTTTTATAGTAGTGAAGGAAAATAAACTGGAGTTTAGAACTTTATATGTATCAAAATTGCTATTCAAGTGAGATGGCATAACAAATTTATTATCATGCAAAGAATCCAAAGGCTCATATTTAAAACACTCTTGGACGTGGTAAAAAAAAAAAAAAAAAAACACTCTTAGAGGAAGTACACAAAAAGAGAATCAAATCAAGAAATTTACAACAAATATAAGGGTGATTTGTCAACAAATCCAGGACCATATTTTTAAAAGAGGGTAAATGAATGTGTGTGTGTGTAATATCTACTTGGTAGGAGAATTGGCATTAGAGGGAGGGAAGTAGAAAATCAAAAGAACATAAGAGTATGCTAAAGAACTTAGGAGGCAAGATATAAATATTAAGGTAGTTAAGACATTTTAAAAGGTAAATGCTCACTGTGTTAAATTAAAGGCAACCACCATAAGAACAGAATCAGTATGTATAACTTTTAATACAGCAGAAAAAAATCAGTCTATCAAATGGAAAGCAAGAAAAGGGAAGAAACATTGTACAATAAAAACAGAATGTGAAATGAGTTGCAAAAGTAAATCTTTACTTCAGCAGTTACCAATAAAAGAACAAAGGCTCTAATAATGGAGGAAAAAGGGAACCAAATCATGTGTGATTTATAACAAATACTCTTTTTTAACTTTTAAGTTCAGGGGTAAATGTGCAGGTTTGTTTCATAGGTAAACTTGTGTCAGGGAGGTTTGTTGTACAGATTATTTCATTACCCAGGTATTAAGCCTAGTATACATTAGTTATTTTTCCTGATCCTCTCCCTCCTCCCACCTCCACCCTCCAATAGGCCCATGTGTGCAGTTCCCCTCTGTGTGTCCATGTGTTTTCACAATTTACCTCCCACTTATAAGTCAAAACATCTGGCATTTGATTTTCTCTTCCTACATTATTTTGCCAAGGATAATGGCCTCCAGCTCCATCCATGTCCCTGCAGAGGACATGATCTCATTCTTATTTATATCTGCATAGTATTCCATGGTGTATGTGTATCACGTTTTCTTTATCCAGTCTATCATTAGTGGGCATTTAGGTTGATTCCAAGTCTTTGATATTGTGAATAGTGCTACAGTGAACATATGTGTTCATGTGTCTTTATAATAGAATGATTTATATTCCTTTGTGTATGTTCCCAGTAATGGGATTGCTGGGTCAAATGGTATTTCTGTCTTTGGGTCTTTGAGGAATTGCCACACTGTCTTCCACAATGGTTGAACTAATTTACACTCCCACCAACGGTGTAAAAACGTTCATTTTTCTCCATAACCTAGCCAGCATCTGTTATTTTTTGACTTTGTAATAGTAGCCATTCTGACTGATGTGAGATGGTATCTCATTGTGGTTTTGACTTTCATTTCTCTAATGATCAGTGATGTTGAGCTTTTTTTCATATACGTGTTGGCTGCATGTATGTCTTCTTCTGAAAAGTGTTCATGTCCTTTGCCCACTTTTTAATGGTTTTTTTTTCTTGTAAATTTATTTAAGATCCTTATAGATGCTGGATATTATACCTTTGTTGGATGCATAGTTTGCAAAATTTTCTCCCATTCTGTAGGTTGTCTGTCCACTCTGTTGATAGTTTCCTTTTTAGTGCAGAAGCTCTTTAGTTTAACTAGATCCTGTTGGTCAGTTTTGCTTTTGTTGCAATTGTTTTTGGCATCTTTGTCATGAAATCTTTGCCAGTATATCCTGAATGGTATTGCCTAGGTTGTCTTCCAGGATTTTTATAATTTTGAGTTTTATATTTAAGTCTTTAATCCATCTTGAGTTAAGGTGGATGGTGTAAGGAAGGGATGCAGTTTCAATCTTCTGCATATGGCTACCCAGTTTTCCCAGCACCATTTATTGAATAGAAAATACTTTCCCCATTGCTTGTTTTTGTCAGATTTGTTGAAGATCAGACAGTCATAGGTGTAGTTTTATTTCTGTGTTCTTTATTCTGTTCCATTGGTCTATGTGTCTGTTCTTGTACCAGTGCCATGTTGTTTTGGTTACTATAGCCCTGTATAGTTTGAAGTTGGGTAGTGTGATACTGCTAACGTTGTTCTTTTTGCTTCAGATTGCCTTGGCTATTCTGGCCCTTTTTTGTTTCACATGCATTTTTAAATAGTTTTTCTAGCTCTGGCCGGGCACGGTGCCTCAGGCCTGTAATCCCACCACTTTGGGAGGCCGAGGCAGGGGGAATCACTTGAGGCCAGGAGTTTGAGACCAGCCTGGCCAACATGGCGAAACCATGTCTCTACTAAAAATACAAAATTAGCTGGGCATGGTGGCGCATGCCTGTAATATCCCAGCTACTCGGGAGACTGAGGCAGGAGAATCGCTTGAACCTGGGAGACAGAGGTTGTGGTAAGCCGAGATCGCACCATTGCACACTAGCCTGGGCAACAAGAGCAAAAACTCCGTCTCAAAAAAATAATAATAATAATAATAGTTTTTCTAGCTCTGTGAAGTATCTCAATGGTAGTTTAATAAGAAGAGTATTGAATCTATAAATTGTTTTGGGCAGTATGGCCATTTTAATGATATTGATTCCTCTTATCCATGAGCATGAGATGTTTTTCCATTTGTTTGTGTCATCTCTGATTTCTTTGAACGGTGGTTTGTAGTTCTCCTTGTAGATATCTTTCACCTCCCCAGTTAGCTATATTCCTAGGTATTTTATTTTTTTTGTGACAATTGTGAACGGGAGTTCATTCCTGATTTGGCTCTCAGCTTGACTGTTGTTTGGTGTATAGGAATACTAGTAATTTTTGCACATTCATTTTGTATTCTGATATTTTGCTGAAGTTGTTTATCAGCTTAAGAAGCTTTTGGGCTGAGACAATGGGGTTTTCTAGATATAGGATCATGTCATCTACAAACAGGGATAGTTTATCTTTCTCTCTTCCTATTTGGACGTCTTTATTTGTTTCTTTTGCCCAATTGCCCCAGCCAGGACTTCCAACGCTATGTTGAGTAGGAGTGGTGAGAGAGGGCATCCTTGTCTTGTGCTGGTTTTTAAGGGGAATGCTTCCACCTTTTGCTCATTCAGCAAGATGTTGGCTGTGGGTTTGTCATATATGGCTCTTATTATTTTTGAGGTATATTCCTTCAATACCTAGTTTATTGAAAGTTTTTAATATGAATGCATATGGCAAATCCTCTTAAAGCAGAAAGATATGTAAAGATTGAAATTTAAAAACAGGGAAAAAAGATTTACCTGGTGGCAAATATGACACAAAAGAAAGTTGGGCAACAGTCTCAATATGTAACAAAATAGAATTGATTTTTTTTTGGGAGGGGGACAGAGTCTTCCTCTGTCTCCCAGGCTGGAGTGCAATGGCACAATCTCGGCTCACTGCAACCTCTGCCTCCTGGGTTCAAGTGATTCGCCTGTCTCAGCCTCCCGAGTAGCTGGGATTACAGGTGTGCCACCATGCCCAGCTAATTTTTTGTATTTTTAGTAGAAACAGGGTTTCACCATGCTAGCCAGGCTGGTCTTGAACTTCTGACCTCAGGTGATATACCCGCCTCAGCCTCCCAAAGTGCTAGGATTACAGGCATGAGCTACCGTGCCCGGCCTATGCACTTTATTTATTTATTTATTTATTTATTTATTTATTTATTTTTGAGACAGAGTTTCACTCTTGTTGCCCAGGCTGGAGTGCAATGGTGCGATCCCGGTACACTGCAGCCTCTGCCTCCTGGATTCAACCGATTCTCCCTACTCAGCCTCCCGAGTAGCTGGGATTACAGGCATGTGCCACCATGCTCGGCTACTTTTGTATTTTTAGTAGAGTTGGGGTTTCATCATGTTGGTTAGGCTGGTCTTGAACTCCTGACCTCAGGTGATCCACCTGCCTCAGCCTCCCAAAGTGCTAAGATTACAAGCGTGAGCCACGACGTCCAGCCTGCACTTTATTTTTAACCTTAAATTCTATTTTGGGCCAGGTGCAGTGGTTCATGCCTGTAATCCCAGCATTTCGGGAGGCTGAGGAGGACGGATTACCTGAGGTCAGGAGTTCGAGATCAGCCTGGCTAACATGGTGAAACGCCATCTCTACTAAAAATACAAAAAGATTAGCCGGTCATGGTGGCACGCACCTGTAATCCCAGCTACTCGGGAGGCTGAGGCAGAAGAATCGCTTGAACCTGGGAGATGGAGGTTGCAGTGAGCCAAGACTGTGCCACTGCACTCCAGCCTGGGCAATAAGAACGAAACTCCATCTCAAAAAAAAATAAAAATAAAAAAAATAAAGTGCATAAAGGACAAAAGAAAAGATGTTCATATAACTTTTAAAGAAACAAGAAGATATAGTAATCATAAATATATATAAACTCAACAATACAGCCTCACAATTTATAAAGCAACAAGTGAAAGAACTACAGTTAGAAGTTGAGTTTTTTAAAAATACATTTGATGATTTTTACAAACCCTCTCTCAAAAACTGGTAGATAAACTAGACCAAAAAGAAAAAAAAAAAAAAAGCAGAGTTCTTGAAGGGCAAAATAATAAAATTATATAAGTTCAAGCTAATTAATAAAACCTGAATAAATAAGAAACTGATAGACTCTCTCACATTAAAAATGACCAAAGAGACATGAAAACTTACTGAAATGCTTGATTCTGGATTGCAGGACAAGAGACTGGGAGTGGCTGGAGTTATAAGGTTCTTTATTGGGAAAACTGGTAAAATTTGAATATGTACTGTGGA
Source organism: Homo sapiens (assembly GCF_000001405.40). Taxonomy (NCBI): domain Eukaryota; kingdom Metazoa; phylum Chordata; class Mammalia; order Primates; family Hominidae; genus Homo; species Homo sapiens. The sequence continues at coordinate 32,920,192 of NC_000006.12, forward strand.
TTAGCTAATATTATATCCAAGTTAAATTTTCTTAATATGACTGTTTTTCTGTGTTTATGTAAGAGAACAGCCTTGTTCTTAGGAAATACATTGAAATATTTAGCAGGAAAGGGGCATGTGTGTATGTAACTCCAGACTTCCTAACCATTTTAGAGTAAACCATTTTTTCTCTCTAATGTTTTTTCATAACCATTTTAGAGTAAGTCCCTAAAATGGACTTAGGAATATTAATGTTTTTTAGGAAAAAAACAGAGAGGGAAGCAGAGACAGAGAGAAAAAGAAAGCAAATATGACAAAATGTTGCAAATCATTGAATTTGGACAAGTGTACGTAAGAATTCTTTGTACTACTCTTCTAAAATTACTTCAAAATAAAAAGTTTTTAAATGTCACAAGTAACCTGTGAGTTAAAAGAAAAATATAAAGAATATGTAGAATTAAATAAAAATTAAAACACTGCATATCAAAATGTGTTAGATATGATTAAAGCAGAACTTAGAAGGAAATTTTTTACCTTTAAATACACTTACTAGGAAACACAAAAAAAGACCAAAATCAATAAGCTGAGTGTTCAACTCAAACGCTAGGTAAAGAGGAAGAGAATACACCCAAAGGAGGAAGGAAATAGTAAAGATAGTCATAAATGAAATAGAGAACTAAAAACAATAAAATAGATGAACAAAAACAAAAGCTGCCCTTTGAAAAGACATTTCTATTTATTATTCCAGGAAACAGAATGAAGAACAAAATCTGCCTAGGTTATTGTTTAGAGAAATTTTTATTACAAAAACAAACAAGGAAATACAAGAAAGGCAAGTTTTACGTCCATGCTTTATAAAAGTAAATACAACAACCCAAGTAAAATATTAACTAAATAACACCAACAGTAAATGAGTAACTATAGGATGAACAAATAGGGTTTATCCCAGGAATGCAAAGATGTTTCACATTTTAAAAATCTCTCAATATAATTCACTATATTAGGAGATTAAGAAGGAAAATACAATGAAATGAGTCAATTCTGATAAACTATTTTTTAAATGTAAAAAACCATTTATGTTTAAAAAATAAACTTTTAGAAAACCAGGAATAAAAGGAAACCTACTAATTTAGTAAAGGTTGACAGCAAAGACTTCTGGAAAAATTGAGTAGACATACTTTTTCCTATTCATCTCACTAAGTACAACTAAAAACTCTGGACATTATATATATATAAAACAAACATAAGAAGACTCTAAAAGGTGGAAATGAGAAGGCAGAACAGCTAGAATCTCAGGATCTGAGGAATGACATACTAGTGAGTTCCCTGGGCTTTCTTTTTGCCACATATATGCTGGGCTTGGAGCTGAAGAAAGTGACAATTTGGAAAGACCAACTGGCACAAACAAACAAACAAACAGAAAAAGCCCCAACAACACTTACAACAAAAGCCCTGATATCACTAGCCAAAAGACCAAGACAGAGGCAGGCAAGCCTGTCAAGCCTTAGAAAGTAACTGTTCAGTTCTAGGCAAATACCATAGCAATAACTGTGACTCTACTGCCATTCACACCAGAAAGACCAAGTGGGAGACCTAAACTTTCACCCTCTTGAAGCTGTAACAAGGTGCTCCAACATCACTCTGCAGTGGTATCCAAGAAGACCAATTAGGAAGCTAAGAATTTCATTTCTGCAAGCCAGTAATGGGGCCCCCTCTCTAAGATGTCAATGGAGATGGGGGCGGGGGGAGAACACCTGCCCAGAAATAATGAAAATGGCTAAAAGAAGTTATCTAAACAGAATGGAAATGATAAAATAGGAACCTTGGAACATCAAGGAAGAAGATAGAACAAGGTAAGCAAATAGATGGGTAAATACAATAAATTTTTCTTCTCCTCTTAAGTTTTCTAAAGTATGTTTGATGGTTGAAGCCAAAATTATAACACTGATGTGGTTCTAAATGTATGTAGAGGAAACATTTAAGACAATCGTATTTTCAGTGAGGAGGATAAAGGGATGGGACATAAATTAGGAAGGTAAGATTTTTATTATTTACTCAAAATGGTAAATGATGACTCCAGCAGACTGTGACAAGTTACATGTATATGTAATACTTAAAGCAACCACTTAAAAGTTATGCATCAATACACTCAAAAACACTGTAGATAAATAAAACTGGCGTTCTAAAAAATGCCCAAGTAAGCCACAGAAAGTCAGAAAAGAGTAAACAGAGATGAAAACTGGAGAGAACAAACAAAATAAATGAAAAACAATTAAGCCCTTCATGTTACTACAGGTTGGATTGTGTCCCACAGAATCCCATGTTGAAGCCCTAACCACCAATGGGACTATATTTGGAGATAGGGCCTTTTACAGAAGTAATTCAGGTTAAATGAATTCATAAGGGTAGGGCCATGATTCAATAGGATTAATTCAATAGGAAGAGAAACCAGGGTATGCTCTCTTGCTCTTTCTCCCTCCCAGCCTTCCTCTCTCTTTCTCTCTCACTCTGCCCCCAGAAGATGGCAACTCTCTCTATAAGCCAGGAAGAGCCCTTACCAGAAGCTGACCATGCTGGCGCCTTGATCTCAGACTTCCAACCTCCAGAACTGTGAGAGAATATATTTCTGTTGTTTAAGCCACCTAGTTTTATTTTGTTATGGCACCCCAAGCTAATACATATATCAATAATTACATTATTCCTAATACAAAGAAATGATAAATTCTTGAGGTGGTAGATGCCCCAATTACTCTGATTTGGTCATTGCACATTGTATGCCTGTAACTAACATCACATGTACCTCACTAATATATACAACGGTTGTGTACCCATAATAATTAAACATAAAAATTAAGAAAAAAAATTACACTAAATGCAAATGATCTAAATACCTCAATTAAGAAACCCAGTTCAGGCCAGGCATGGTGGCTTACACCTGTAAACCCAGCACTCTACAAAAAAAAACAAACAAACAAAAAACAAAAACAAAAACAAAAAAAAACCCAGTTCAAATATAACAATATAGGCCAGGCTCAGTGGCTCTCAGCACTTTGGGAGGCTAAGCCAGGTGGATAATTTGAGGTAGGTCAGGAGTTCGAGACCAGCCTGGCCTACATGGTGAAACCCCGTCTCTACTAAAATACAAAAATTAGCCAGGCATGGTGGTGTGCACCTGTGGTCCCAGCTACTCAGGAGGCTGAGGCAGGAGAATCGCTTGACCCTGGAAGACAGAGGTTGCCGTGAGCAGAGATTGTGCCGCTGCACTCCAGCCTAGGTGACAAGATGAGACTTTGTCTCAAAAAAAACACAAAACAAACAAAAACAACAATAAAACCACACAAATATAACAACATAGGCAGGTTAAAAGTAAAAGGATGGAAAAAGACACAACATGTTTTCCTTAATTAGAGGAATACAGGAGTGAGTGTACTACTCTCAGATAAGGTAAACTTCAGAGCCAAAACAAAAAAAATTACCAGAGAAAGATAAGGACGTTTTATAATAATAGAAGGGTCAGTCTATCAAGAAGACATTGCAGTCAGAAATGTTTATGCCCAAAACACCAGAGCTGTAAAATATGTGAAGCAAAAACTGACGGAACTGAAAGAAAAAATAGAAAATCCACAATTATAATTGGAGACATCAACACAACTCTCACAACTATTAATAAAACTAGAAAGAAGGCAGGGAGTGGTGGCTCAGGCCTGTAATCCCAGCACTTTGGGAGGCCGAGGGGGGTGGATCACGAGGTCAGGAGATCGAGACCATCCTGGCTAACACGGTGAAACCCCGACTCTACTAAAAATACAAAAAATTAGCTGGGCGTGGTGGCGGGCGCCTGTAGTCCCAGATACTCGGGAGGCTGAGGCAGGAGAATGGCGTGAACCTGGGGACGGAGCTTTCAGTGAGCTGAGATCCTGCCACTGCACTCCAGCAGCCTGGGGGACAGAGCAAGACTCTGTCTCAAAAAAAATAAAAATAAAAAAATAAAAACTAGAAAGAAAATCAGCAAAGATGTAGAAGAGCTCAATAACACCATCAACCAACAGGATCAAATCCACATTTACAGGACACTCCACCCATCAATAGCAGAATACACATTGGCTCTTTTTTGTTGTTTTTCTTTTCCGGTTTTACTAGGTGCAAGGGGTACATATGCAGGTTTGTTACATGGGTAAATTGCGTGTCACAAGGGTTTGGTGTACAGATAATTTTAAAAGAATTTAAATTATACAAACTTTTCTCTGACTACAATGGAATCAAATTAGAAATCAATAACGGAAAGACAGCAGAGGAAAAATCATCAGCATAATACCCGATAGGTGCTTTTTCAATCATCACTGTCCTCCCACCCTCCACCCTCAAATAGGCCCCAGTGTCTATTTTTCCCATCTTTGTGTCCATGTGTATGCAATTAGCTGGTTTTTTGCTCCTGCGGTAATTTGTTTAGGATTATGGCCTCCAGTTCCATCTATGTTGCTGCAAAGGCCATGATCCCATTTTTTATAGCTGTGTAGTATTTCATGGTGTATATGTACCACATCTTCTTTATCCAGTGCACTGTTGATGAGCACTGGATAAAGAAATCTAGGTTCATTCCATGTCTTTGCTAACGTGAATAGCAGTGTGATGAACATGCATGTGCATGTGTCTTTATGACAGAACAATTTATATTCTTTTAGGTATATACCCAACAATGGAATTGCTGGGTTGTATGGGAATTTTGCTTTAAGTTCTTTGAGAAATCTCCAGACTGCTTTCCACAGTGCCTGAACTAATTTACATTACCCCCAATAGTGTACAAGTGTTCCTTTTTCTCCACAACCTTGTTAGCACCTGTTGTTTTTGACTTTTTAACAATAGCCATTCTGACTGGGGTGAGATGGTGTCTCATCATTGTTTTGATTTGCATTTCCCTAATGATTAGTTATACTGAGCATTTTTTTCACATGCTTGTTGGCCGCACAGAATATACATTCTTTTGAAGTGTCCATGCAACATATACCAAGTTGGACTATATCCAGGGCCATAAAACAAATATTGATAAATTTAAAAGAATATAAATTATACAGAATGTGTTCTCTGACTACATTGGAATCAAACTAGAAATAAATAACAGAAAGATGACAGAGGAAAGTCAAGAAACTAAGCGAAAACTTTTAAATACTCTACGAGTCAAAAAATAAATCTCAAAGGAAATTTAAAAATACACTGAATTGAAAGAAAATAAGAATACAACATATCAAAAATTTCTAGGAGAGACAACCCACAGAATGAGAGAAGATATTTGCAAACTACCCCTCTAACAAAGGATTAATAACTAGAATATATAAGGAGTTCAGACAACTCTATAGGAAAAAAGAGTTCAATAGTCCAAACAAAAAATGAGCTGATCTGAATAGACATTTCTCAAAAGAAGACATACAAATGGCAATCAGGCTTATGAAAGGTGCTCAACATTATGAATCATCAGAGAAATGCAAATCAGAAGTTCAATGAGATATTATCTCACTTCAGTTAAAATAGCTTGTATGCAGGCTGGACACGGTGGCTCACACCTGTAATCCCAGCACTGAGGGAGGCCGAGGCGGGCAGATCACCTGAGGTCAGGAGTTCAAGACCAGCCTGGCCAATATGGTGAAACCCTGTCTCTACTAAAAATACAAAAATTAGCTGGGCATGGTGGGCCATGCCTGTAGTCCCAACTACTTGGGAGGCTGAGGCAGAAGAATCGCTTGAACCTGGGAGATGGAGGTTGCAGTGAGCAGAGATTGGGCCACTGCACTCCAGCCTGGGCAACTGAGTAAGACTCCATCTCAAAAAAAAATGGCTTGTATCCAAAAGACAGGCAATAACAAGTACTGGTGAGTATGTGGAGAAGGCTTTGTACACTGTTGGCAGGAATATAAATTAGTACAACCACCATGGAGAACAGCTTGGAAGTTCCTCCAAAAAAATTAAAATTGAGCTACCATATGATCCAGCAATCCCACTGCTGGGAATATACCCGAAAGAAAGAAAATTAGTATTTCAAAGAGATATCTGCACTCCTATGTTAATTGCAGCATTGTTTACAATAGCTAAGACTTCGGAGCAACCTAAGTGTCTATCGACAGATGAATGGATAAAGAAAATGTGGTACATACATACAATGGAGTACTATTTAGCTAGAAAAAAGAATGATATCCAGTTATTTGCAACAACATAGATGGAACTGGAGATCATTATGTTAAGTGAAATAAGCCAGGTACAGAAAGACAAACATGACATGTTCTCATTTATTTGTGGGATCTAAAAATCAAAACAATTGAACTAATGGACATAGTGAGTAGAAGGATGGTTACCAGAGCCTGAGAAAAGTAGTGGATAGCTGAGCGGGGAGGTGGGGATGGTTAATGGGTACAAAAAAAGTAGAAAGAATGAATATGACCTACTATTTGATAGCACAATAGAGTGACTATAGTCAAAAATAACTTAATTGTATATTTTTAAGTTACTTAAAGAATGTAATTGAATTGTTTGTAACTCAAAGGATAAATGCTTGAGGGAATGGCTACCCCATTCTCCATGATTTGGTTATTTCACATTCCAGGCGTGTATCAAAACATCTCATGTACCCCATAAACATATACACCTACCATGAACCCACGAAATATTTTCAAAATAATAAAAAAAATTATAGGACACAGCTAAACCAGTGCTGAAAGGGAAATTTATAGCATTAAATGCATACATTAAAAAGAAGAAAAACTGGGTGCTACTTGGGAGGCTGAGGCAGGAAAGGATCACTTGAGCCCAGTAGTTCGAGGCCAGCCTGGGCAACATAAGGAGACCTTGTCTCTTTAAAAAAAAAAAAAAGTACACAAATTAATAATTCAAACTCTCATCTCAAGAGCCCAGAAAAAGAAGATCAAAATACATCCAAAGAAGAAAGGAAGGCCGAGCACTGTGGCTCACGCCTGTAATCCCAATAGTTTGGGAGGCCAAGGCAGGTGGATCACTTGAGCTCAGGAGTTAGAGACCAGCCTGCCCAACATGGTGAATCTCTGCTTCTACTAAAATTACAAAAAATTAGCCAAATGTGGTGGCAGGCGCTTGTAGTCCCAGCTACCTGGAAGGTTGAGGCAGGAGAATCACTTGAGCCCAGGAGGCGGAGGTTGTAGTGAGGTGAGATTGCACCACTGCACTCCAGCCTGGGCCACAGAGTGAGACACAAAAAGTTGCTTCTTTGAAAAGATCAGTCAACTGATGAACCTCTAGCAGACTACACTGACAAAGAAGAAAGAAAGAATATAGAAATGTCCACAGGGAATATCCCTACACACCCTGCAGACATCGGAAAAACATAAATGGTGCTGGAACAATTGAACATTCAAGGGCCATAGGAGGAGAGAAAGACAACAAGGAGGAAAAGAAGGAGGAGCAGCAGTTTAATCTAAGACTCATACCTTCTGCAAAAATTGACTCAATATGGATTACAAACTTCTATGCAAAATGTAAAACTATAAAACTTTTAGAATAAGATAGGGGAAAATCTTCTGAATCTAGATCTGGGCAACAAGTTCTTAGATTTGACACCAAAAACATGATCTGTAAAATGAAAAAATGGATATATTAGACCTGATTAAAACTAAAAACTGTTGCTCTGTGAAAGACTTGTAAAGGAATGAAAAGGCAAGCTACATAATGGAAGAAAATATTTGCAAATCATGTATCCAACAAAGGACTAGTATCTAGAATATATAACAACTTATCAAAACTCAGGCCAGGCCCCCTGGCTCATGCCTGTAATCCCAGCACTTTGGGAGGCTGAGGCGAGTGGATGACTTGAGGTCAGGAGTTTGAGACCAGCCTAGCCAACATGGTGAAACTCTGTCTCTACTAAAAATACTAAAAATTAGCTGGGCGTTGTGGCACACGCCTGTAATCCCAGGAGGTAGAGGTTGGGGTGAGCCGAGGTCATGCCACTGCACTCTAGCCTGAGTGACAGAGTAAGACTCCATCTCAGAAAAAAAAAGAAAAAAAATCAACAGTTTGAAAAAAATTAATTAGAAAATGGGAAAAATTCATGAAGAGACATTTCATTAAAAGGATATACAGATGGCAAATAAGCACATGAAAAGATGTTCGATATCATTAGCCATTAAGGAAACGCAAATTAAAACCACAATAAGATCTCACTACACACATATTAGAATGGCTGAAATAAAAAATAGTGACAATAAGCCAGGCGCAGTGGCTCATGCCTGTAATCCCAGAACTTTGGGAGGCTGAGGCAGGCGGATCATGAGGACAGGAGATTGAGACCATCCTGGCTAACATGGTGAAACCCCATCTCTACTAAAAATACAAAAAATTAGCCGGGCGTGGTGGCGGGCGCCTATAGTCCCAGCTACTTGGGAGGCTGAGGCAGGAGAATGGCGCGAACCCGGGAGGTGGAGCTTGCAGTGAGCCAAGATCGCACCACTGCACTCCAGCCTGGGCAACAGTGCAAGACTCCATCTCAAAAAAAATAAAAAAAATAGTGACAATACCAAATGCCTGTGAGGATGCAGTAAAACAATCACTCGCACATTGCTGGTGCAACCACTCTGGAAAACACTTTGACAGTTTATTTAAAAAACTAAAAATGCAACCACCATACAATTCAGCAGGTACACTCCTGGGCATTTGCTCCAGAGACATTAAGACTTATGTCCACACAAAAACTTATATTCATATCAGCCAAATCTGGAAACAACCCAGATGTGATGGACAGATGGCTAAACTAACTGTGCTATACCCATACCATATAATACAACTAGGCAATAATAAATTATTGATATATGCAACAACCTTGTATGATCTCCAGAGAAATACATTGAGAGAAAAAAAAGTCAATCCCAAAAGTGTATATACTATATGTTTCCATTTATTAATCATTTGTTTTAAAATGACAAAAAAAAATTTGTCTTGAAGTGACAAAGTCATAGAAATGGATAAGAGATTAGTGATTGCTAGACATTAAGGAGGGTATGGGATGGTAGGGAAGTGGGTGTGTCTAGAAAAGGGCAAGGTGAAGAATCCTTGTGATCATAGAAGTGTTCTGTATTGTGGCTGTATCCATGTATCCTAATTGTGATATTGTACCATAGTTTTGCAAAATGTTACCATCAAGGGAAACTGGGTAAAGGATACACAGGATTGTTTTTATTATTTCTTACCACTGCATGTGAATCTACAATATACAGCAAAATTTATACTTAATGGAGAATATTTAGGTTTATTTCCTTTAAGAGTAATGCTCATTATCACCCTACTGTTTGACACAGCATTGAAGATCCTAGTCAACAACATGAAAAATAAAACACTAAGGATTAAGAGGGAAAACACAAAACAATGCTCGCAGATGATACTATTATCTACCTGGAAAAAGAGAGAGACAGAGAGAATATCAATAACAACAATGACAACAACAACAACAAAAACCCCACTAAAACCAATAAGAGGATCGAGCAAGGTTGTCCCATATAAGATCAACTTACAAAAATTATTAATTTCTAATATTTGAAAATCATATATCAGTATTTGAATATCATATATCCAATAAAGGGTTAATATTCAGAATATGTAAAGAACTCATAAAACCCAACAATAATTGTTTATACAAACAGTTAAAAAGGGGGCAACAAACTTCAACAGACATTTTTCCAAAGATGATATACAAGTGGCAAACACACATATGAAAAGATGCTCAGCATTACTTATTATTAGAGAAGTGCAAATTAAAACCATAACATCATCTAATTCTCATTAGCATGGCTACTATAAAAATGAAAGGAAAAAGGAAAGAAGGGAGGGAATGAAGGAGGGAGCAAATGAAGGAGGAAAGGAAAGAAGGAAGGAAGGAAGGAAGGGAGAGAGGGAGGGAAGAAATAAGTGTTGGTGAGGATGTAGAGACATTAGAACCTTTATATGCAATGTTCGTGGGATTGTAAAATGTGTAACTGCTATGGGAAACAGTACGGCAGTTCCTCAAAAAATCAGTAGTAAAACTACTATATGACCCAAGAGTCCACTTCTGGGTATAAATGCAAAAGAATTGAAAGCAGGGACTTAAGCAGATATTTTCCCCCATATTCATAGCAGCACTATTCTCGATAGCCAAGAGGTGGAAGCAACAAAGATGTCCATAGACAGATGAATGGGCAAACAAAATATGGCATATACATACAGTAGCTTATTATTCAGCCTAAAAAGGAAGAAAGCACTCTTACATGCTGCAACAAGTATGAATTTTAAGGACATTAAGCTAAGTGAAATAAGCCAATCGCCAAAAGACAAAAACTCCATGATTGCACTTGTACAGGGTATCTGAAGTAGTCAGATTCATAGAAACAGAATGTAGAGTGATAGTAGCCAGGGGCTAGAGGAAGAGAGAAATGAGGAGTTGTTGTTTAATGGGTGTAGAGTTCTGGTTTTGCAAGGTGAAAAGGAGTTCTGGAGATTGGTTGCACAAAAATGTGAATATACTTAACACTGCTGAGCTGTACACTTCAAAGTGGTTAAGACGGTAAATGTTATTTTTTTAACCACAATTTTTTAAATTAGATACATTCTTCTACATCAGAAATTACTGATTCAAAAGTAGAATTGCAATAAGATACCAATCACAATAGCAGCAAAAGCTACAACATGCCTAAGAATTAACTGAGCATACTCAGGACTACTATGAAAAAGTAAAGTTTAAAAACCATAATAAAGAGCAAACAAAATGATTTCAATAAATGAGAAAACATCCTGTTTTTGCATGGTATGATTTAGTAATAAAAACAAGTCAGTTAACCCCAAATTTCTATAAATTCAGTATAACCACAATCAAAATTCAAGTGGGGAAGACAGAACTAGAAGTGAGTGTCCTCCCAAACTCCCCAGTAGGAAACTACAAACTTAGTTTCTGTTGCTACTATGCGCTTGTCATTGTCCAAGGCCAAAAGAAGCCCAGATTTTGCACCTCTCTCTCCACCCCACAACATTGACGTTTTTCCTTCTTGTTGTGAATGTACTTCCTGTCCTCCATCTGTCCTTCTGGACCCACTCTCAATACTTCTGCACCTGGGGTCTGCCTCAGGTGCTGACCTGCATGACATTGAATGGCTCCCATGCTCCCTGGCTTCTTCTTGCTTCCAGCATCAGCCTAAGAGCAGAGGGAAGAGGGGAGTGAGGTCAGTGTTTCTAATCCCTTGGCTTCCTCCCTACAAGGTCACCTTAAGCTGTTGTGTCCCTTGACTGAAGGGCACTGCCCTTGGCAAGGTGGTGACTGTACAGGGCTTGCTGTCCTTCTGAGTCCTGATAACCCCTTCTGTCCCCGGCCTCTTTGGACCTTGGGGTAGTAACAGCTATCCTCCACCCAGTTCTTTGTAAATACTTTGCTAATAAATAAACTTTCCTTGAAATGTCCTATTTCGAGTATGCCATCTGTTTTCTGTTGAGACTCTGATACAATAAAAGCCATTTCTTTATTCCCTGCCCCAGACCAGCACGGCCAGGGGCCTCTTAGAAGCCTCATATGAAATGGAAGAGGAAGGGTCTGGAGAAACAAGGAGCCCCCCATCTGGGAGTAGTCTCTATAGGTTTGGGGCCTCTCCACTCTCTGAAACCCCTGGAGACTGGTCTGGCCAAGTAGTGGCAGGAAGCACCACGGAGAAATCCCCCATGCCTTGCTTCAAGGCAGTTGGAGGGCTCTTGGGAATGACAGACACTCAAGCCAAAAAAAAAAAAGGATTTGAGGATGGGGTTGAACTCCACCCTCGTTTTTCATCTGATTTGCCCAATTTTACTTTGGAAAGAGAAAAACTTGAGAAAATGGCCTAAAGATAATTTTCATAAATAGACATTGGGATTAAATGTCAATCTTGTCTGTTTCTTTCACATGCATGTGTTCGTGGGTAGGGAGGCAAAGAGAACCTGGAACCTAGGAACATGCTCTCCCTCAGGGAAAAAAAAAATGCCAAGGATACCACCTCCCGTGGTGTATTTGAGATTTATTCTCATTGTCTTTAATGGTCAAAAGAAGAAGCTCAAATGTGGGCTCAACGCGTTTCTCTAAAATATTGTTATCTGCCCCAAGTGTTGAAGGAACTCCCTGCACTGTGTGTGCCCTTGTTAACACAGGCCCAGTTCTTTCATGGGAGGGGAGGTGGACTAGATGACCTTTAAAACCAATTCTAGCTCCAAGTTCAGCTTTTAAAACAACAAGACATTGAAGGGCGAAAACAATTCTTTGTGCAGCTTGGATTATGTATAACCCGAAAGTCCAGCTCTCTCTCTCTTCCCCCGCTCCCCTCCCTCCCTCTCTCTATGTCCCTCTCCTTCTTTCTCCCACTCCACTTCTCTCCTCTCACCCTTTTGCTCCCTCTCTCTTACTCTCTTCCACTCCTTCTCTTTTTTTCCTCTCTTTCTCTCACATGTGCTCAAGTGCACACACACACACACACACACGCACTCCTTTTTTGGCAATCCATTATGTTTACATTCCATTCTCCTCATGCAGCATCCATTCTCTTCTCCTCATCCTCCTACAATTGGTGCACCATCACCCTTCTTCCACCTTCCTTTCAAGTACCACTCATTCCCCTGTGTAAGAACTCCCCTTTCTACCTATAGTATTCTGATTTTCTGGATCCTAGGAGACCTACATATACTTTTCCCTATTCCTTACCTGAAAGGGGACAGCCTTTCCTATAAAACAAAAAACCTACAAAGTTAGGGCAGAGAAAAGCCTGCACTGGGAATCTCTAGAAAAGGAACTGGAAGCCGTCCCATTAGCTAACTCTCTACTTCCTTTCTCTGGGATCCTGCCACTTTGATTCCCACTGCTGTGACTAGAACTAGACCCTTCAGATCTGCAGCTTCTCCTTTAAAACTGTCCAGATAGGCCTAGTGCGGTGGCTCACGCCTGTAATCCCAGCACTTTGGGAGGCTGAGGCAGGTGGATCACTTGAGGTCAGGAGATCGAGACCAGCCTGACCAACATGGTGAAACCCCATCCCTACTAAGAAAATACAAAATTAGCCAGGCATGGTGGTGCACGCCTGTAATCTCAGCTACTTGGGAGGCTGAGGCAGGAGAATCGCTTGAACATGGGAGGCAGAAGTTGCAATAAGCCGAGATCACGCCATTGCACTCCAGCCTGGGCAACAAGAGCAAAACTCTGTCTCGAAAAAAAATAAATAAATAAAATAAAAATAATAAATAAAACTGCCCAGATATAGACAAGGCCCAAAGCCCCCCATTCCTAGACTAAACTAGAATTTCAAAAGGAATTTGCTTTGTCAAACAAACAAAAATAAAAACAAAAACAGTGAATAGAAAAAAATGAAAATGAAACATAAAAATGGTAAAATGTAGAGATTAAGTTCCTTCCACTGACTTCTTCTGTTAACCCCTTCCAGAAGAGATGCTCTAATTCCAAGGATGCTTCTGAAGAAATTATGGAGGTGTTCCAAATCAACTCATTTCTTGGTTTCTTTTTCTTACCCATATTCTAGTATCTAGCTCTAATTCCAAAAACAATTCCACACCCTAGGTTTCTGTGTCCAGCAGGTGTCGCCCTTCGTGGGACAACAAACCACCAGCCAGCATCCTCTCTTCCTTAGGGTGGAGTCCATTCCCCCAAAGGGCTCTCCTTGGTCTTGGGGTAGAAGGGAATGGAACGGTGGCTCTGAAGAGATGTGTGCTCACCAGCATGAGGGTCTTCAGAATAAAGTAATCTGCTACTTCCAGCTCAGGTAGACAAACATCCTACAGAAATCTGTTCTTTGACCTTGGACAAGTCACTTAAATGTCTCTGAGCCTCACATCTTTTGTCTGTAACATAGAGGGAAACAATCTGTCCCTTGTGTGGTTATTGTGAGAAGAGAATGAGCTACAAATATAAAGGTCTGAGACCAGTGCCTAAGACATAATAATCACTCAAGCTATGTTCCCTTCTGCATTCAGGGTATGGAAGAAATAACTGTCTAGAACTCAATCTGGAGTTAAGCTCTGTCCCCTGAATCCTGAGGGGTATGAGGGGTCTGCCTTACGGTTGTGATGAGGATCAAAGCACCTGGTACAATGCCTGGCCAGAAAGTTGAATAATCGAATATAGCTAACGTCACTATTGCAGGCTGGCTATGTGCCTGGCGGTGTTCTTAGCCATTTACAAGTATGAACTCATTTAATCCTCATAAGATCCTGTATGAGGTGAGTAAGCTGTTAATTCCCTTCCTTGCCCATACTCTGTGACTCCAACCCACCACAGTTGAATTTCTCCTTATGAATTATAAATCAGAAAACGGCCCCAAATTCTGTCATGTCTAAGTGGGAAAATGGAAGAAGGCATTGATTTCTCCCCTACTCAAGCAGAAGAGAATTAACCTCAGTCCCTGCTTTGCCCATATTCCTTCCCCAGGGCCCCAGGAAGAAGACATGGAAAAACAATATTTCCACCAAAGTTTATTTCTCTGAAACAATCACCAGTTGCTGTCCTCTATGGCACACTGAGAGCCCCAGGAGGGTCTTTAACTCCCTTCCTCAGATTATATTCATCCCAGAAATATAGCCTTGGACAATAATTTGGTTACAGCATAGTCCCAGGAATGAGGTCCCCCAAGTTGCTAAGTTTTACATAGGGGAGACTGGGAAATTCAAAGAATTGGATGGAGAAACCATAGGATCCAAGATAATGTCAGGGGGTTGAAGATGTTGGAGAGGCATGGTAGCATCATTGAGTTTGAATCTCCTTCTCACTTGGAGTGGAAGTTGTAGGATTCTGCCTCTAGGAAATGTGCCATCCTACAGAATAAATAAAAGGGAGATAATGAGGCTTCAACCCAACTTGCCCCCATCGTTTGTCACTGTAACCATCCCATGCCTTAATACAGTGATACTGAAAACTCCAGGGCACCAACAACTAATACAAAGGAAGCACCTTCAGCCTCCTCTCCACAGACATCCCACTTGGTAGAAGAGGAGGATGCTCCTTCCTGCTCTTAATCCTAGCAATGGCAGCTTAAATCATGCCCTTGCCTAGATCCTCATGGAAGCTCACCCATATAATAATCAAGATTAGTTGAACCCAACACTGACCCCTCTAACCCGCACCCCTACCAAAGGGCAAGTAGGGAAACAGACCAACAGAGATGTTACCTTCTGAATAATTGGACCCAGGAAGAGGAGTGTAACCTAAGAGAGGAAGATACTTGATTATACCAGTCTTTGTGGATGAAAATATCTAGCAGTATTCATAGCAAATGCAGTAGGAAGGAGAGAGTTAATCACAAACAGAAAGTAAGCAGAGAGTGGGACCAAGAGTGGGGATGGGAGTTCAGCGAGTCACTCACTAGAGTGGCCAGCTCTCCGCCAGCTGATCACACCAAGAGAGAAGATGATGAGGCCCAGGCCCAGAGTCACTGCAGACACAGAAACCTTCAGGGTCTGCATGGGGGACAGCCCAGGTGCTGCAAAAAATAGAAACTTACTTGACCCAGTTTCTGTTGCTCACCCCCAGGGCAATTCCATTTATTGCAGCCACCTCTCAGTGGGTTAAAAGGTCCTTTATCCCAGCTCCAAGGGTCTAGCTCACACCACCCACTCCCAAGAAAATGATCTTTCTCAAATCAAACCCTCGTCCCATGGACCTCTACTCCTAGAGTAAGCCTGGGGAACCCATCTCCCCAGAATTAGCATCCTGGCTTCCAGGTCCTCTCTAATACAGTGGGGCCTCTCAAGGCATCCTCTTTCCTTCCTTTACCCCAAAGCCACCCTTATCAGGATAAAGGGCTCCTCACTGTCCTCTCCATTGCCCCCACGGTAACAATGTTTGCTTCCTTACTTTCTCCAACTGAGCAGCTTCCTATTACACTGTCTTACCACATGTCTTAACCTCCAGTGGATCCATCCTGTGAGTTATCCTACTACTTGTGTACCTCCTACATCTAGATCTCCCATGTGTCCTTTCAGAGCTTGTCTCCATCCCACTCCACAGCCCCTGCACTTCCTTGGGCCGGTCCTGTTCTGAATCATGTCCCACTCAGATTCTTTTCCCATGATAAAATGAACACTCCATTTCTAAAGGGAGGCTCTTGTGCACGCTGTGAGGAGACGTTCCCCAGGAAAGTTCAAGTGAGCATGTGATTTCCACTCTCTTCTCTGTTCTCCATTCCCTTCCCAACTGCCCAGCAAGAAACAACACTTCCCACAAGGGGAAACCTGGTTACAGCAGCTGATCTGAGATCCTGTTCTCTGGCCCTTTGTAGACACCCTTCCTCTTCCTCATTTCTTCCTCTTTCTTTTCCAAGAGTCCCCAAAGCTGTGTGCAACTTCTCACGATACCTTTAACTACTCCCGACACTGAGTTCAAACAGTGTTTGAACTGTAAGTAATTCTTTATCCACTGGCCCCTGAGCATGCATGCCAAATGGTCTGCCAGCCGTGGCTTTACTACTCCCGTATGCTTGGTAGAGCAGGCCAAATGCAGTACTGCCCCACACCAAGAAAAGCCCCCCTTCTTCAACCTTCATCATTCCTTCAGCTCCCATCTGCTTCTGGCACCAGAATAGTTGAAATCTAAGGAGGCTAGAATAGTGTATTACAATTTGGGGTTCTGAAAATATGATTGCCAAATTTACAGCCTCATTTCAAAGCAAGCACGCTCCCCTCTCACCCTCAAACATAGACGCAGCAACATCAGCCACACCACCAGAGCAGCAATAGCACAGACTAAATATTAAACTGGTGCAAAAGTAATTGCGGTTTTTGCCACTGAAAGTAATGGCAAAAACTGCAATTACTTTTGCACCAACCTAAATATTTCCATTTCTTTATCCCATTTCCCCATTCTGGTCCTAAGCCCCCCGTAAGTTCCTCCAGACTCAGTCCCCATTTTCAGCACTTCGCTGTCTACCATGTACCATGTATCGATCCACATCTCATTTTCTCTGCTTTGACCCTAATTCCATCCATCTGCCATACACTTACTCCAGTCCCGAAGGATGGGCTCAGGAGCCCCAGTGTGCTCTACCACACAGGTGTAAGTGTCCCCGTAAGAGGGGGTTAAGGCTAAATGGGAGAGGGTCTGGTATGTCCAGTCTCCATTGGGCTGGGCAGTCTTGTGCGCACTGCTGTGAGGCATGACAAGCTTCCCGTTCTTCCTCCACGTGATAGTCACTTCTGCTGGATAGAAGCCCCACACATAGCAGGCCAGCATCACAGGCTCCCTCGTGTTAAAAGGAGTGGTTTTGGCTACTTGCACAGATGGTGGCCCTGCATAGGAGAAAAAAACATGTTTAGGAAGGAGGGTGACATTCTGGCTGCTTCCTCAACCTGGTTTCTTCCCTATCGCAACTCTTCGTAGATTTTGCAACCCACTTTCCACCCCAGCCCCCTCTGCCATGCTGCCCCTTGAAGGGGAACCGTTAGAATGTATTCCTGCATTACTCTTTCTTCTCTCCCATTCCTTCATTGCCCCTTTCTTTCTTTCCTCCTCCAGAATTATGTTTGATTACAATTAGTAAAAGCCAGATCTGAACTGCAAGCTGTTCTAGAAGTTGTTGTATTTATTTCAAGTACATAAACTGGAAAGTATTTGAAATAAGGAAGCTAAGAGTAATCCAGAGTTGTACATTGGGTTTTTTTAAGGTGGAAAAGGAATTTTTCTCCAAATCTTGTTTAATACGTTCTTTTGCTAGTTAAAGCTTTTTCTCCTCACATAGTTCAAGGAAACAAGCCTAACTTAGGACTCACTCTTAAATTTGGAATGAATGTAGTCAAACTAATGAGATTGCTAATACTGCCATCTTTTACTAATTTACTCTCCTAGGTGATCCTCTTGCTTGCCTCTATCTTGACATTTTTCAAACACAATCTTAAATAAAAATCCAAGGAATTATGTTAAAATGCAGATTTCCTAGGCTGTATCCCCAGATACTTTCTTTCAACAGATCTGGAGTGGTACTAAGGGGCTTGCATCTTTAACAAGCACCTCCTCCAGGCAATTCTGAGAAAGGTGGTTCAGAAACCACCCTTGAGACACACTGTTCTGTACTGTGGAGATCTTCAAGTTTACTTTCACAAACTTCAAGCCATTGTCAATGCAAGAGTTTAAGGGTGAGAAAAAGCATGTGTCAGAATCCCCTGGGATTCCAAATATTCCCATGCCTGGGCCCACATCAGATCTGGAACATCAAAATCTGGGATAACAAGGCAAGAACATCTTGGGTATGCATCCTGAGATGCCCCAGCCTCTGCATAAGCTCCCCACATGGCACCTCGCGGTTCAAGCCTCACCTCCCCTTCTTTACTCCTGTTCCACTCACGTCAGCCACCTTGTTCCCCTTGAGGTTCAATCCTCCGTCTTTCTACATTTCAGATCCACACATTTTCTCTTATTTGCTGCTCAAATCTCAAACCCCTGGGCCACTGTGGGATCCTCCCTGGCCTGCCCTCCTAACTGCACTTCCTGGTAGCCCCTCTGCACCCCTCTCTCCTCACGTGTCCTGTTGGTCAGTGATCCCCAGAAGGGCTGGGTGTGTGTGGCACAATTCTGAAGCCCATTGCGCAAGCGCTGCATCAGGGTGTCTTTTTGGTTGAGGTGCTGTGAGAGGACATTCGCCAAGCTATTCAGCACCCCAAATTCGCAAGGGGCCATCTTATTCTCCTCTGGATCCCAGCAGGTCAGCAGATCCTTGTTGAAGGAGATGCAGTATGTGAAATCCTTTGGAGTCCCAGCATCATCCAACAGACAGGTGCTTTCCACATGGGCCACGAAGCCACCTAGAGGAGCCAGGGAAGGGAGAACAGGTCAATGTCTTCTACTGGCCTGGCAATAAATAAATAAATATATAAATAATAAATATACACAAATAATAAATATATAAAACATACAGACGTATATTTAGGAGCTCTGCACAGAGCTTTGTCTTTGACCCTGGTTCCTGACATAGAGTGCCTAATCGCTTAGAATTTCCTAGATAACAGGAGTGTCTTTTGTTCTAATGAGGTACTCTTGGTGGGCTCCTGCAGGAGGGGCTGGTCACCAGAAAGACCAAGTCATGATTAGAAGTCTGGAACTTTTAGTCCCATCCCCCATACTCCCTGA
Organism: Homo sapiens; assembly: GCF_000001405.40. Classification (NCBI taxonomy): domain Eukaryota; kingdom Metazoa; phylum Chordata; class Mammalia; order Primates; family Hominidae; genus Homo; species Homo sapiens. The sequence continues at coordinate 32,939,291 of NC_000006.12, forward strand.
AGGGGAAGGGGCTGGAGATTGAGTTAATAATCAGTCATGCCTACATGATGAAGCCTCCATAAAAATCCCGGAACTATGGAGTTCAGAGAACTTCTCAGTTGGTAAACACATCCACATGCCAGGAGGTGAAGTACCCCAATTCTGTGGGGACAGAGCTCCTGTGATTGGGACCCTTCCAGATCTGGTATCTCTTCATCTGGATGTTCCTTTGTATGCTTTAAAATATCCTTTGTTAAAGGATGCAAAATTATGATCTAGTGTTCTATACCACTGTGGGATGACTGTCATTAACAATAATACTTTATATCATTTCAAATCGCTAGAAGAAGGATATGGAATGTTTCCAACACAAAGAAATGATAAATGAGATGATGATCTGATCTGATCACTGTACATTACATGTACTAAAACATCATTATCCACCCCATGAATATTTATAATTATTATTATCAATTAAAATATCCTTTGTAAAAAATCTACAATAATAAGTAAACTTTTCCTGAGTTCCATAAGCCACTTTAGCAAATTACCAACCCCAAGGAGGGGGTCATGGGAACCTCTGATTTGTAGGCAAGTTGGACAGAAGATGTGGGTAATTTGGGAACCTACTACTTGTGATTGGTGTCTGAAATGGAGGCAGTCTTATGGGACTGAGTCTTTAACCTTTGGTGTCTATGTTAACTCTAGTTAATGTCACAATGGAATTGAATTATAGGATATCCAGCTAATATAGGAGAATTGGTTGGTATGAGTAAAAAAAAAAAAAAAACCTCACACAGTTGGTCAAAGAAGTGTTGAGTGTGAGCATATAGAAGAAAAAAAGTTGATTTTTCCTATATTCAGCTCAGAACCTAAGCCTTGGTGACATCCAGCTAGTCTGGCACAGATTTCCTGCTCAGGGAACATCTACTGACCAAGCTCATACACTGAAGTTTCTGAAAGTCTGATTTGAGGGAGTCAGTAGAAGTAGTAGATAAGTTTTTAGATCCAGTCTCCTCTTTATGCAAGACTAAGCACAGGGATAGGAGTAGCCCCCCGAGATTATTTGCATGTTTAAACATGACAATTTGCCCAGAACACAGACCTTCAGTAAGGCAAATTATTGAGAGAGAAAAAGGGTCAAGAGAAAGAGTCAGCCTTGTATTGTGCTGGAAATATTAAATATTCACTTCGCACATATTTATGAAGCACTTGCTGCATGCAAGGCACTGTGCTAGGAGCTGAGGAGGCAGCAATAAATAAGATGAACATTGTCCTTGCCTATATTCCAGCAGGGAATATACACTGCACAGATAATTATACAGATTAATTACATTAAAATTGCTACAAAGTACAAAGTGCTATAGGAATGTATACCAGGGAGACAAACTATCTGGGGTGTCAAATGCAATTACAAAACGGAACACCCTTACCCTGAAACAGGAGCAGGGGAAGGGAGAGTCCCCAGAAGAAGTGTCCTTACCTGCTCCTGTGCAGCCCAGGCTGAGCCCCAGCAGCAGCGGCAGGAATGTGATCATGCTCTGCTCTGTAAAGATGCCGGGAGTTCAGTCCCCTGGACCAGCTCTTCCAGGGTCCGTGGGTCCTCGCCTGTCCCAGAAGCCCCAGCCTGGGTAGATGATCTCCAGACACTGAGCAGAATACTATATTGCCCGGGTCCCTTGACCCCCCAAATGAGTGATGTGGGGATACCCAGCCCCTAGATATTAAATCTGTTCCTTCCAGCTCACGGGAGTCCAGTGTCCCAAACAGGGACAGATTGGCTAGGTAGGCAGGGACAAATGTAGAGACAAATCACTGAGTGCCTCAGCCTAGCATCATCAGTTACTAGGTAAACGTCATCCTGCCTTAGTCTTAGACAACAGGTCTCCTTGTCTCTCTTAATTCTTTTTCTGCAGAACAACCAGTAGATTTCCGTAGATTACTGGAGAGAATAATCGCAATATTCCCAGGATGTATGCAGCCTGGGCTGCCCACTGGTTTAACTTTTTCTTCTCAATGCTCTCCCAAAAGACCAGGACCAGATAACCTCTCCTATTCCTTACAGGGAGGTTACCCAAGAAGATAATTACAAAAACCCTTGTCTGTCCTGAGATGAGAGGACCCAGAGCCCTTCTGGGGCAGGTGGCAGAGGCAGGGCTGCTGAGAAGGAAGAAGGCACAGACAGAGTACAGAATTGTCTGGTCTCAAAGCAAGACTGCAGAATAAGGGAAGCAGCGCCACCATGGAGATCAGGAATAGGGGCCTGGAAAATCCCTCCATGGGCCTCCATTGTTGCTTCTGTTCTAGCCAGTCAAGCTTCATTTCCTCCTCAGTTATAATAGCTGCTTTCCGGAGCTAGTAAACCATATCCTCCTACACTCTGAGCAATCTCACGGGGTAGACCGCAGGTTAACACCTCTCAGACTCCTTGAAAAATAGCTGGTGACGGGTCAGTGCCCAGAGCTCACCTGCCTTTCGCCAAACTCTAAACACCCCTGTGTGTTTCCCCTACTATACCCTGTTCCCTGGGGGCAGGTCCCTGCATTATGAAGCCACTAGGAAAATGAGATAAAGCTTTCCTACTTTTCTTCCCCTGAAAAGACAGATTTTGTTTTTTATTTTTTGAGAATACCAAGTAAGATTTTATTTTTTATTTATTTTAAATTATTTTAACCTTTGTTTTAGGTTCAAGGGTACACATGCAGGTTTGTTATATAGGTAAATTGTGTGTCATCGGGATTTGGCGTAAAAATTTATTTCATCACCCAGGTAATAAGTATAGTATCTGATAGGTAGTGTTTTGATCCTCTCCCTCCTCCCATCCTCCACCCTCAAGTAGGGCCCAGTGTCTATTATTCCCTTTTTTGTGTCCATGTGTACTCAATGTTTAGCTCCCACTTATAAAAGTGAGAACATGCAGTATTTCATTTTCTGCTCCTGTGTTAGTTTGCCTAGGATAACAGCCCCCAGCTCCATCCATGATGCTGCAAAAGACGTGATCTCGTCCTTTTTTGTCTGTGGAGTATTCCATGGTGTATATGTACCACATTTTCTTTATACAGTCTACTGTTGGTGGGCATTTAGGCTGATTCCATGTCTTTGCTATTATGAATACTGCTGCAGTGAGCATTCATGTGCATGTGTCCTTATGGTAGAACAATGTATACTCCTTTGGGTATATGCCTAATAATGGGATTCCTGGGACGAATGGTAGCTCTGTTTTAAGGTTCTTGAGAAATTGCCAAACTGCTTTCCTCAATGGCTGAACTAATTTATGTTCCCACCAGCAGTGTATAAGCCTTCCGTTTTCTCTGCAACCTCTCCAACATTTGTTATTTTTTGACTTTTTAATAATAGCCATTCTGACTGGTGTGAGACGGTATCTCATTATGATTTTGATTTGCATTTTTCTAATCATTAGTAATGTTGAACATTTTTTCATATGCTTCTTGGTCACGTGTGTGTCTTGAAAAGGCAGATTTTATGTATTTGCGTATTTATTTTTTTCACAGGTTTTTTTTTTGAAAGTCTCACTCTGTCGCCTAGGCTGGAGTACAGTGGGATAATCTCGGCTCACTGCAATCTTCGCCTCCTGGGTTCAAATGACTCTCATGCCTCAGCCACTTGAGTAGCTGGGGTTACAGTCATGTGCCACCACTCCTGGTTAGTTTTTGTCTTTTTTTTTTTTTTGGTAGAGACAGGGTTTCATCATGTTGGCCAGGCTGTTCTTGAACTCCTGACCTCAAGTGATCCACCCACCTCAGCCTCCTAAAGTGCTAGGATTACAGGCATGAGCCATCGTGCCTGGCCTGAAAAAGCAGATTTTAAACGGCAATTCATTCTTCTATCCCATTGTGAACTATACAGTTGATGGATTTTCCATCACTAACTTGAAACTCTAAATTGGCTTCCTTCTGCTCCCCAGTAGGTTTCAGGGCTGCCTCTTCACATCTTAGTTTCTGAGAACTCTTGGATTTTATTAAATAGTGAGCTAAACAAAAGAGGATTGTGGAAGGGGCCCCTTGACACCACACTTACCTGCCCTCCCTCAAAGTCCCTGATCTCAGGAAAATCTAACACCTATGAAGAAAATGGGGATAAAAAATGCATACAAAGATTATTACCAAAAACGAAAGATTCGTTGTGTAACTAATTGAGATTAACTGAAGCTCTGCCATAGCTCCCAGCCACTGCCCCCACTCACCTTGCTTATATACTCTAACTCTGCTAACGAACTGTCAAGTGTGTTGGAATGGGCAGAATATGGGGTGGGGAGTGCATAATCTGTAGAGCTTCTACAGATACAGTGCTAGGTAGGTCCTTTCTATAATATCTCATCTCATCTTAAAAGACTTGTTGGCCGGGCATGGTGGCTCACGCTTGTAATCCCAGCACTTTGGGAGGCTGAGGAAGGCATATCACCTGAGGTCAGGAGTTTGAGACCAGCCTGGCAAACATGGTGAAACCCCGTCTCTACAAAAAATACAAAAATTAGCTGGGTGTGGTGGCGCGTGCCTGTAATCCCAGCTACTCTGGAGGCTGAGGCAGGAGAATCGATTGAACCTGGGAGGTGGAGGTTGCAGTGAGCCGAGATCGTGCCACTGCACTCCAGCCTGGGTGACAGAATGAGACTGTCTCAAAAAAAAAAAAAAAAAAAAAAAACTTGTTAATTGTCCTCATTTCCCAGGTTGGAAAACAGGTCCAAAGATTCACACCCAAGGTCTAAAGGCTGTAACTCCTCTTCTTATACAGCTGTTACACATGCACATGTGTACACACACACACACATACACACTCTCTTGAGCATGCCCACACACTCACTACATCTTGGAACTGGGATGGCTCAAATAAAGGGAGTTAGTGAGGCCTCCGCTGAGAAAGAGAGAAAGAGAAGAGTCACAATCCATAACCCAATTCACCCAAGTCTTATCTTTCCTGTCCTCAGAGTTCCTTCTGCTCTGAGAACCACCGTCCCTTCCACTTTCTCTTTTGACAAGTTTCAAAACTGAATTTTCCCCCACACCCCCCCAATACATTTCCCCCTCACATTCCTCCCCATCCTGCCCAGGTAAGCTGTTAGCCTAACCTTATAGGAACCAAGTCCTGGGATCCTTTTCAATGTCTACAAAGCCTAGCCCTGGCAAGGGAGCACTGGCTGTGTGGTCCTGTGCCAGCACTGAACATGGCCCTAGCCAGTAACAGTGGGGCTGAATGTAGTTCCCTCTTATGTCTAGATCTCTGCTCCGGCAGTCAAAGGAGATGTGAAACCTTCTGTGAGGCCACAACAGGAAATGGTAGGAGAGGATTTCACTTCTCTATTAATTCAAACACTGAGGGAGCTTTTTAGAATAAAGAAGGACAGAAAACCCAGACACCTGTGCTCAGCAGTGTTTTCCTTCCTCTCCTCCTCCCAACCCTTCCATTTTTACAGATATAGCTCTGTCTTTCCACCTCTAGCCAATTCAAAATAACATTTCAGTTGCTCTGTCCATTGTTACTTATTTGTTAATTATTGATATAGCACCGGGACCGAAGAGGTATGGAGCCCCAACCAGGTTCCCACATGTTGCCTTTCTTTTATTGCCTCTACACAACCACCCAAAGAGTGAGTCCTCTCCTTTCCCATTGCCTCTGCCCTTAGCCTGACCACCACATGCCTGCAGTAAACTAGTCCCAGGGTTTGTGTGCAAAGCATTACTGGGAAAATACAGAGTGAGAAGATATGGATTCTGCCCCCATATCGCTTTGCTTGTACGTCAATTGGGGAGTGAGAACAAACACTTTAAATAGTTTATATTAAAGTAAGTAAGCAATAAGGCCAGTGGTCTTAAAAGAGAAGAGAGAAATCACCATGGACATGGTAGACAGGGAGTACTCTCAGTCGAGAGGGCCTGGAATGAGCCTTGAATACTGGGCTGGATTTGTGTTGGAGAGGAGGAAGGCAGTTGGCATTGTAGGTCTGGTGTATAGCTCCACAAGCTTGACAATGCTGTGAGGTGCCATCAGGGAGGAGGTGTCCTACGAGAGCCTGGGTTAGCTAAAACAAAGACAAGCTACAATAACGTCACTGGCACTGCACGTTGGAGGAAGTCACAAATGTGATTTCTTGTTTTTTTCTGAGAGTATGGCCATAATAATAAATCTCTTCTAGGCACTTCCTAAAGTTGCTCCATGTCAGTTCGCAGGTTCTTGGGGCAGACGGTTTTAACTGAAGTCTCCATTTTATAAACACAAAATTGCTCAACCAGTTAATCACGCCTCATAGCATAAGACCACATTCGTGACTTCAGTGTCTTTTCAAAACTACACACACCTACATCCTGCCAAGATTATATTACTTGCCCAATCTGTCCAATCCCCACCCCACCCCTGCCATCTACCCCTTACCTCACCTCCGCCCACACACACACCCTCCTACCCTGTCAGGATTCACTGCTCTAGACCCTGACCTTTGGATTATAGTTTCTGTAGTCAGTTCACCATCCTTCCAACCTACAGTCAAATTATTTGAACTACTAGGGATAGTCTATCTGATTTGCCACAACTATTTTTCCTTTTTTAATTTTATTTTTTGCCACCACAACTATTGAAGAATGCTATCTTCATCTTACCCACGAGAAAATGGAGGCAGAGGGAGGTTAAGTGGTTGCCCAGATTTACCCAGATACTAAGTAATAAAACCATTACTTGAACTCAGGATTTATTACTTTAAATCCTGTATTGCCAATAATCAATTGGAAAATAACTGAAAATTGCCTACTATTTATAATAACAATAAAAACCATAGCATATTTATGAATTAACATATCAAATATAAGAATTTTAAGAAAAAAGAAAACTTTATTGAAGTGCACAAAGACCTGAGAGGTGTAGAGATATACCATATTCATGGATAGGCCATGCTAACATAATGACAACCTCTCCCCACATCTCTAACCTAAATGCTACCCCAATTAAAGTAACAGTAGGATTTCAGGAGAATTTAACAAACTGATTATAGAATGTACATGGAAATAAAGTCCAAGAGTATCTTAGAATATTTTGATAAAGAAAAGGAAAATAAATTTTTTGGGAAGGTGGTGAAGGAATGGAGACTAGTTCTACTAAATAGTAACACATATTAAAAAGCCAAAATAATCAAACAATATGATACTGATTAGTAATGAGAGAAAAGCAAATTAAAACAACAAAATACCACTCTACACCCACCATGTTGCCAACATTTGAAAGTCAAATAATTACAAGCATTAGTGAGCATAAAGGGAAATGTGAACTATCTTGCTCTGTTGATGGGAGTGTAAACTGTTTATGATCCCTGAATTATAGAAATTATAAACTAGTTGGGCGAAAAAATTAACATAGGAAATAAAGCGGCATATCCCAATCCTTAGGTTGAGTGCTTTAAGTCTTGGAAGATTTCAATAAAGAGAAATTAGGGGCAGGTTCATGGAATAAGTTGAACTGGAGTTGGACCTATGGAGTGGGTTAAGACAGGAACAAGATGAGCAGAATAAAGAAAGCATTCTTGTGAGAGGAAAGAGCCTGGGCAAATGCCCTAAACCAAAACCAGATATAATACCTCAAGGAAGAGTGAGGAAAAAAGATTTATTCAAGAATAGCATTCCTGCTGGGAATAGTGAGTAATATTTTTTATTAGAAAAGGGGCACCAGACTAGAGAGGATACTGAGTGCTTCTAGAGTACTTAAGTAACAGTATCATAGAAGGTTTCATCAGAGAGCATCTAATCTAAGCCCATCATTTTACAGATGAAGACTTTGAGGCCCAGAGAGGGGAAGTGACTTGTCTAAAGTCACACAGCATAATAAAGCACTTTTAAGTCTTGCCTGACAGGAAATATCTAGATAAGTTGGAAAACAGAGAGACAGAGAAATTAGGAAGAACTAGAAAGCACCACATCTAGAATTACTAACATGAGAATAAAAAGAAAAACATCTAAAATGGAGAAAATACAATACTTGAAGCTAGTATTGAGGTATATTTCAGAAAAGAGAAAGAAGTCTACGAGGCAACTAAGTTCTCCTCTGAAGATCAAGACCAATAATGATAAGGTTAGGTTATTCAGCACATTTTCTATGTGCCAAACACTATTTTAAGCATTCTGTAGGTATTAACTTATTTAAGCTTCACAGCATGAGGATATGCTGCCTTATTTCCTATATTAACTTTTTCACTCAACTAGTTCATAATTTCTGTAATTCGGGCATCATAAACAGTTTACATTCCCACCAACAGACCAAGATATTACAGTTCACATTTTCCTTTATCCTCGCTAATACTTATTTGACTTTCAAATGTTGGCAACATGGTGGGTGTAGAGTGGTAAGGGGGACACCATTGTTATCATCATCCTTTTACAGAAAATGACACCAAAGCACAAGTTAAGTAACTTGCCCAAGGGCTCACAGCTAAACGCTGACAGTTACGATTGAATCCCCAGCAGTCAGGTTCCAGAGCCCATGCTTCTTAACCGGTACACATGATGCTGTTAGAAATGAGATGGTTCAGAGACAGTGCAACTTCTCTTAGGGAGAATTTAATATTTTCTTTTAGATTAGACTCTAGTACAATGCCAAGAACAGAAACTCCCTCACCAAATAATTGCCCTCTCAACTTTATTGCCACCCTGTCATCCAAAGCAACTCCCAGACCCTAAGGAATGCAAGAAAGAAAGCATATGCAAAGCAATTTACCACCAGTGGTCATGTGCTGCCACCTTTCGTTATCTTCCCAGGACAGCACCTGTGCAGTTCTCCTTGGACAGTTCACTCAGGCCAAGGAACAGATTGTCAGGAAAGACATGTGAATTCTTTGCCCTTCCAGGCTGTTTTCACTTCATGTTAGGGGCTTCATGATACTGTTTTCCCAGAACTGACATAACTGATTGGTATAGCACTTGGGAGCTTATTCTTCCCATCCCTGAGCTTCTGTTTCTCAGTTACGGTGAGGGTTGAAGGGAGTTATATGTTCCTCAGGGCAGCCTATACGAGACATAAACATTTTCACAAACAGTAAAATACACAACACACACACACACGCACAAAACACACAAGCAGCTTCCTTAACCATTTTGTAAGCAGATTATTAGAAAATAACTCTGCCTTCGTTTCTCACATATTTTGCACAAACCGATAGATGGAAAAACATCATGTACCGCCAAGACCAGGGAATAAGAGCTCAGCTGGCAAATTAGGGGTTTTCCCTATTTCCCTCCCTAACGAGGTCAAGCTGTGTTCAGGTTAAGGCATGCTGAATTTGAAACGACAACCCACTCAAGTTGAGATATCCAGAAACAAATACCATGAGTTAAGAAAGAAGCCACACTGATATAAAGAAATGAGATTTATTGCCTTGTGGGGGGAAGGGATGTGGTTGTGATAGGCAGGCCACTCTGGGATCCCTGGGATGCAAGCCCAGGGACAGCAGAGTCCCCAGGTGGGAAATCTACACACACACCCCAGGGATGTCCCAGAGACTTCTACCCTAAGAGGAGATCCTGGGCAGGATGTGAGAAATCTGAGCATCCTCTGTTTGGATGGCCGAAGCTGCTGGCATCAAACTCTGGTCTGGAAGAATCAGTCTGGGGGAGAGACAGGGATGGAGGAAAGGCATCAGGGGATCCATCCTCCTCCTCCTTCTCCTCCTCCTCCTCCCCCACAAAGGCCTTGCTCGCCCTGCCTGCACCACACCCTGCAGAAGTTGATCTCTCCTTGTTCCCAAATCATCTCCAAGCACCCTTCCTACAGCACCCCATGATTCCTTTTTTCACTCAAAGCAATTCTTGTGACCCATAACTGTGTGTGTGTAACTGGGTCCCCAACTGGGAAGATGTGCCCCCATGGTGCTGGATACAGGCCCCCACACCCAAGGGCCTGAGGATCGCTATATGTCCCCCCATGCCACAAAATAATCCTGACACATGCACGCATGCACCACTGTATCTGGCTCCCACAGGCTCACCCGCCCCCTCCAGATGACATACCACCTGAGCAAGGCTTCCGGAAGTAGATGATGAGAACAATGCCCACGATGATGCCCAGCACACCCAGGCCAAAGGCCACGCCACACAGCACATTCTCCAGCAGATCTGAGGGCAGTGCGTTCCGGGGTACTGGAGGAAATGAGTGGCTCAGCCTGGGGACCTAGTTAGGGAGCCTCCCACCCAGGGAAATGACGTGGGTGTCTGGGATGACATGGGAGACTGGGATGGGCTTAGGGTAGGAATGGACTAAACAAGGTACCAGTGGAGAAAGAAGCCTCCTCCCATGGATCTATCCCTTTTTGCCCCCAAAAGGACCAGAATTCCAGGGAGAAAGCCTCACCCCAATAGGCAATTGCTGTGTAGCGGTCAATTTCGTGAGTCACAATGCAGGAGAAAATGTCAGAAGGTTCTGGTGTGAAGTTTAAGTAAGAAAAGGCCTGGAAGCTGAGTCCATCGACAGCTGAGACAAAAGTAGGCCCAAATCCTTCCACAGGGACGGAATGATGCTGCCAGTTCACTGTCAGCATGGGTGGGAAGAGATTACTGACAAAACAGACCAAAGTGTTGGGCTTGCCAAACTCCAGGGGCTTCAGCGTGAACACTTCAGCGATAGGAAACCCTGGTGGGGGGATTGAAGTGTAGGGGGAAAAAGAGACTAGTTTAGATGGTATCTCTGTGTTTGGAGGGGCCATGGCATATGGAGGGGAGGGCAGAGAAGAACACAGTGGGTCAGGCTTTGGGAGACAGAGATGAGCGAGGAGCTGGGCTCTGAAGGGAGGTCTTCTTCCAGGCAAGGACTGCAGCTAGACATAGAAGCAGAGCCAGATCCAGGCTACTCTGGACCCCTCCACCATGACTTCCTTCAGCACTTCCTGTCTAGAGCTCACATTGATGTCTAACCATGCACTGTCTTCTCACTAAGACATAGTCACGTCATCAGATATTTCCACTCTTCCCATCCATCTTGCTGGGCATAGTAGCACAAGTGTTAATATTCAGTAGGTATCAGTTGGTACCTGTTGAATTCATCACATTCAATACATAGTTCTGAATGCCTACTACATGCTAGGTACTTCGGCCCACCAAAAGAACACAGGGTGCAGACCAAGGCTGGTGGAAAAATTAAGGTGATGAAGAGAACCAGAAAGTATTTGAGATGGGGAGCTGGTATCAAGGGGAATTATTCAGTGTACAGATCAATGAGGTTAATGCAGCCCTCCTCCCTTCACTCCCCAGAAAACTCCTGACCTCTGGACACCGGGATTTTCCCATCAAGTTTTGGCCCTATTTGCTGGATCATCCACTCGCAGAACTCTTTGTCAAATAAAATGGCAGGAGCATCTCCCTGTTCCTGAGCCCAGTCAGCAAATTCGGGCAGGCGAGGCACCCGAGTGTTCTGGGAAAAGTCGAAGAAGAAAAGCTGGTCCTCGTCGTAGGCCTCAGAGAGTCCCACACTGGGACTCCCATCCTGGCAGTACACTGTGTGCAGGAATGTGTGGTTTTGCAGGTCATCTGGCCACATTGGAGTAGGAGCTGCAAAGGACACAGGGTGAGGTTCAGGGAGGTGGGAGCCTTCTCCTCCAACTTAAAAAACAGCAAGGTGGGGCTAGGCGCAGTGGCTCATGCCTGTAATCCCAGCACTTTGGGAGGCCAAGGTGGGTGGATCATGAGGTCAGGAGTTTGAGACCAGCCTGGCCAGCATGGTGAAACTCCGTCTCTACTAAAAATACAAAAAAGTAGCTGGGCATGTTGGCATGCGCCTGTAGCTACTCGGGAGGCTGAGGGAGGAGAATTGCTTGAACCAGGGAGGCAGAGGTTGCCGGGAGCTAAGATTAAGCCACTGCACTCCAGCCTGGGTGACAGAGTGAGACTCTGTCTCAAAACAAAACAACAAAAACAAGCAAGGCCTGCTTAAGGAGCGTGGGCTGAGGTGAGACCCTTTCCTGTGTCTGTTATTTAGACTCCCCCTCCCAAAGGGGGTGAAGAACAAATTATGGCATCTCTCCAAGCTTCCCCTGCCTATAAAAAGGCCAGTTGGCAAAAGTAAAGAGTTCTACTTTCTAAAGTGACAGATTCAGGCCAGGCATGGTGGCTCATGCCTGTAATCCCAGCACTTTGGGAGGCTGAGGCAGGCAGATTGCTTGAGCCCAGGAGTTCAAGACCAACCTGGGCAACACAGCGAGACCCTGTCTCTACAAAAAATACAAAAACTTAGCCAGGTGTGGTGGCAAACACCTGTGGTCTCAGCTACTCTGGAGGCTGAGGCAGGAGGATTGCTTGTGCCTAGGAAGTTGGGGCTGCAGTGAGCCATGATTGTGCCACTGGACTCCAGCCCAGGTGACAGAATGAGCCCGTCTCAAAAAATATATATATAAAGGCCGGGCGCGGTGGCTCAAGCTTGTAATCCCAGCACTTTGGGAGGCCAAGGCGGGTGGATCACCTGAGGTCAGGAGTTTGAGACCAGCCTGGCAAACATGATGAAACCCCATCTCTACTAAAAATACAAAAATCAGCTGGGTGTGGTGGCATGCGCCTGTAATCCCAGCTACTTGGGAGGCTGAGGCAGGAGAGTCTCTTGAACCCCAGAGGCAGGGGTTGCAGGGAGCCGAGATCACGTCACTGCACTCTACCCTGGGTGACAGAGCGAGATGCCGTGTCAAAAAAAATAAATTAAATCAAATAAAAAATTTAAAAATGTATATATATAAAATAAAGTGACAGATTCAGAGTCACTGTTCATTGTGTGTTTGGGGGCTGCACAAAGACACCTAGCCAAAGAAGCAAGTGAAAGCCTGCATTCTGCTCACCATGCCATACATCCTGGCATAGGGCTGTATCCTCCCAAAGGGGATTCCTTTGTCTAATTCATACCAGGCCACTGTATTGACTAGAGAAGGCCATGGATGGGTTTCTCACTCTTAGAAGGGAAAGAGGAGGAATGGCTACAGCCTCCCCAAGCCATAGATGGGACTGCCTCCCACTATCCCCAGACACAAATGGTAAATTGGAAAACCTGTATCCAGACATTTCTTCAGCCACTTCATTGGCACCAAGCGTCTCTCAAAATGTCTTCTGTTCCTTAACCTACCAGGCCTCCCAAAGACAGCAATGGGAGAAGTGACCCCATAACTGCATAAAATAATCCCTCTTCTTTGAAGCTCTTGGCAGGAATCGCTCAGCCAGCAGGAAACCTTTAACCCAATACCCAGAAAAACAGACATTTGGAGGAAGAGGGATCTTCCAGATTATTCTTCCATTCTGCCCCATCCTCTACAGAGAAGGAAACTAAGACACTTTTCAAGAATCACAAGATAAGTTAATGATAGAAAGCAGAGTAGAATCTTGAGTGGAGGAGTGAAAATAACATTCACTTTGTTCAAATCCCAGCTCTACCACTTTCCAATGGTGTGAACTTGCACAAATAACTCTGAGTCTCATTTTCTTCATTTGTAAAATGGAGAGAACAATCTCCGCTTCAAGAGATTGTCTTAAATGGAACATGCAAAGCATCACTGATATCGTTTACCAACCACACATAGCAGCTGTCTTTCCCCACTCCCCTGTTGTTTCCACTGCCTCATAAGACTTCCCACCACTCACAAAGCACAGCGCTTTTCCTCACAAAGCTGAGTGGGCTCCCTAGGTTCAGGATGGAAGTAAATAGGAGTACCATCTTACCTTCAGGGACGGCCCAGGAGTGGGGTAGCAGCCACAGAAGTGGTAACATCTGTAGCAGCGCAGCTCCTTGGTTCTGTTCATGACCCATACCTTCTTGCCACACAGTAGGTAGGAGCTACCAACCCAGCCAACCCAGCTTCCCCAACTCCCTCCCCGAGAGGGTGGCCTTAGATCATGTTTTGCCAGATCATTTCCAATAGGTGCCCTTGTCATTTTGTCTAAACCAATCAGAGAAGCGTAGGGTTTAACATCATCAGTCACTGGGGAGACGCCTGGGGCCAGTAACCTCCTGAAGACTTGGCTGTTTGACCAGGGCAGAGTATGGCATGTAACTGGGCTGGGAAGCCCAGTGGAGGAATGTTGCTTCCTGGTGGAGTTCCCTCTTTGGTTTCAAGCTGTCAGCCTCAGTCTGTAAGCGACCAGCTGGCTCTTCAGAGCAGTGCCACCTCCTGGCAGAATGCTGCAATGGGGAACCGCATCTTCCCCAAGTAAACCCCCAGGGCTCTTCGGACCCTGCCTTCTCCTCCCTCCTGGCTCTTCCTCTTTCTCAAAAAAACTTATTCTCCTTCAGGCATTAGCTCTAATTCATTTGGCAGACATATATTGAAAATACAAGAAATTCTGGGTGTTGGGCCCAGGGCTAGAAATACAAAGATGAATAGGCATAGTCTGCCTTCAAAGAGCTTAGAGTCTAGTGCTGGGGGAGGGGGCCAAGGGATAATTACACAACAATGTAATGTATTCAAATAAGAATGTGCCAAGTGTTTTGGAAGTCGCAGTAATTTTATGAGGATGCGGAATAGGAGGAACATAATCAGGCAGGCTCCTAAGACTTGAAGGAAAAACAATTTGGCCAGCAGAACATGAAGGAAGAGAAAAACACGCCAGGGCAAAGGGTAGGCAGAAGTACAAAGATCACAGGCATCCAGAGGTCCTCTTTGGAGACCCTGTGTACTAGTTGATATGAATGTTGTGAAGGTCGCTTGGGTGTTCCTGTATAATAGGAGGTAATGGGGGGTAGAAGGATGTTGTGATAAGCTACAAATTCTGGCAAGGGCCAGATCACGTGGGCCCTGCTACGCCACAAGGAGGAGCTTGCTTTTACTTAGCAGATGATAGAGATATTAAAACTGGGGAATGACAATCATTTTAGCATTTTGGAAAAAATGTTCTGATTGATATTTCAAACAATGAACTGGAGCTTTTAAAGAATTGAGGCAAAACTGCTGGGCAAGAGTCTATAGCATACCAAGATGAACAGTTGCACATATACACACCACTCCTGTAGCAATACAGCAATAATTTAAATGACAGATAATAAGAGCCTGAATTAAGTCATAATAAGAGGAGGCGGAGGAGATAGAATATCAAGATAATTAGGAAGTAGAATCTAAAGGGTTTGGCTACTGATTAGCTGTGGGAGTGGGAAGGTGGAGGAGTCAAAGATATCTCAGATTTCCAGCATGGGTGGCTGGGTGGGTGGTCAGGGATGGACTGAATTGAAGCAGAAAAGAATGCCATGGGAGCAGGTTTACAGAGAGAAAGAGCTTGATTTTGTACATGTTGAATTTGAAATGCCAGTGGAACAGCCAGCTGAAACTGCATGGGAGCGCAGTGAGGCGTGTGGGTATGGACCCCAGGTATGGTCTGAAGACCCTGATTTGAGAGTCATCAGCACAAATGTCGAAGCAGAGGCCATGAATAAGATCACCCAAGTAAACTGTGCAGAAGGAGTGGGAAGTGAAACAAGGACAAAAGCATGCATGGGCTCAAACCCCAAACCTCATACCAGTTATCCAGGATCCAGTCAGGAGCATTTAACTACTTTATGTGCTTCAGACTGAAAGAATTTAATATAGAGAATTGGTTACAAAGGTGTTAAAAGGGCAAGAAGTACAAAAAAAAAAAAAAAAGGAGAGTCCTAGAAATGTACATTTTAAAAAAAGATTGCTATCTGGAAATCAGAAGCTGCCATCATCCCTGAGCTGGAATCTGTAAATCTACTCATTGCCTTGTGAGAGACACTGTCATAGTCAGTTCCAATCTACTAGAAAGGTGCCACCTCCTTCAAGGCTAGAATCCTTGAGAAGGTACTTCTGCTCAGGAGGCTGGAGTCCTGAGTCTCCCATTCTTCCTGCTGCTACAGCTACAGCCAATAGCTACCAGCTATTGCCAGCCACCGACACTGTTTAGAGGCTGAAGCAGGATGCTTCTCAGTTTCTCTTGCCTTCTGATCTCCCATCAGTGCCTCCTACTGGCAGAATCAAAAAGGAAGCCAGATGTCCAGGAAGGCTGGGAAATACACACCTGGCTGACTCCTAAGCTAAGCAGTTCAAAACACAGTAGAGGAGGGTGTGTGTGTCACTGAGACAAAGATAATAACGAGTACACTGAAATACCCTGGTTTGTAAGAATCTGGTGGCACGAGGACCATCCAGAGCACTAAGAAAAGACCAAGGTAGAAGCAGATCAGAGAAATAAAAAAGAGGTGTGCCATGAAGGAGGGCAAGGTCAGCATTTTTAAATGCTACTCAAAAGTCAAGAAAGGATTGAAAAGTGTCCTTAGATTTGGTGATTATGAGATGGCTGACAAATTTATTGAGAGCAGTTTCAGTGTTGTAGTGGGAGTCAACTCCAGATTGTGGTGGGCTGAGAAGTAAGTGGGAGGTGAGGAAGAAACTGTCAGTGTACATGCTTCAAGTTTGTTAGACAAAAGAAAGAGAAAGACAGAAGGGGTGGGGGAAGAGGCAGTGAGAAAGCTCTAATGTGGCAATCAAGTAATCTGAGAAATTAATATATGTGAATATTGTCCAACAGTGTTTCTGAGGCTTTCAAAATTCATACCTTCCACCTTTTTTTTTTTTTTTTTTAAGACAAAGTTTCCCCTGTTGCCCAGACTGGAGTGCAGTGGCTACTTACAGGTGCAATCATAACTCACTCCAGTCTTGAACCCCCGAGTTCAAGCGATCCTCCCGCCTCAGTAGCTGGGGACTATAGGCACATGCCACTGTGCCTGGCTTCATATCCTCTTTTGATAAACAAGTAATAGCAGCAGTAATAGCCAAAAACAAAAACAACTCTATGACCTCCTAGATATTCTGGAACAGCAATGTGTATATATGTGTGTGTGTCTGTGTGGTGGAGGCAGGGTGCCAGGGAAGGACTAGGGTTTGGAAATCATGGTAACCCTCCAGAAAACAAAAGAACATTTCCCAGTATCCCAACATTTATGCACTAACCCATCAGCGGTTCTGGCAGTGGGGAGATTCAGGCCCCTGGACAGTAGAAAAGAAGTTTATGAGACTACCAGTGGGGAGACATATGGGACACAGCCACCTAGAGTCCTAAACCAGGGGTTAGCAAACTTTTTCTGTAAAGGGCCAGATGGCAAATATTTTAGACATTGTGGGCTATCAGATCTCTGTCATGAGTACTCAACTGTGGCACGAAAGCCTCCATGCACAATATGTAAATGAAGGAGAGTGGCTGTGTTCCTAGTTTCCTCCTAGCTTTTCCTCCCACTTCTTGAGCATCTCCTTCTCAGTCTCCTTCATAGACTCCTTCCTTTCAGCTACTCTTTAAATACTGGTGTTCCCTGGAGTTTTTGTCCTCAACCCTCTTTTTATTTATGGACACTAAAATTCAAATTTCATGTAATTTTCATGTGTCACGAAATATTCTTCATTTGCTTTTTTTTTCCCTAACCATTTAAAAATGTGAAGACCATTCTTAGCTTTTAGGCCATTTAAAAACAGGTGGTAGGCAAGATTGTGCTCACAGCCCATAGTGTGCTGAATGATGCTCTACACGTGGTCAGAATTGGTACGAAAGCCCCAAATTAAACCCACCCTTCAAAGAAGAACCTCAGTCCCCTTATTATTGGATTGGCAATCAGTTAACAAACACTTTGTGCCAGTTACACCAGTCTATTTGGAAGGAGATCTGGGGAAGAACAGGAGAAACTAGACTGGGTGGAAGGGCATAGGAATAGGTACAGCAGACACTGCAATTTCTCTGGGTGAGAGGAACAAGGCAGAGGGGTCCAAGTTCTCCATAGGGAGCACAGTGTAGACAAGACCAAGGTGAGGACAAACATAACCATCCCTCACCAAGACTGTGGTGAGGGGTGGTTAACTCCATTCTCCCCTTCTATAATCTCAGTTTAAATGGTAACAAGTTCAAACACTTATAACTACTCTTCCCTCCATGTAATCCTTCCCCACCAGGACCTCCCAACTACCTCCATCATAAGTATCTCAGGAATAGTCTCTCATCAGTTTGGAAAGTAATAATTGTGGGCAAGAGATGAGCAAGGCAGCCAGTTCTGCTTTGCAGTAGTTCACTGTCTACTTTGTCATTAGCTATGAATGCCTCTGAAAATAATGGCACAGCACCGGTAAATCCAGGAGGCTCTGGCTTTCTAACACTCAGCTCTGCCATCCCTTTCTAGCATTTAAAAATGGACTCTATTTGGCCAGGCGCAGTGATTCACGCCTGTAATCCCAGCACTTTGGGAGGCCGAGGGGGGTGGATCACGAGGTCAGGAGATCAAGGCCATCCTGGTTAATGGTGAATCTCTACTAAAAATACAAAAAAAAAAAAAATTAGCCAGGCGTGATGGCGGGTGCCTGTAATCCAAGCTACTCAGGAGGCTGAGGCAGGAGAATCACTTGAATTCGGGAGGTGGAGGTTGCAGTGAGCTGAGATCGTGCCATTGCACTCCAGCCTGGGTGACAGAGCAAGACTCCATCTCAAAAAATAAATAAATAAATATATAAAAAGGACTCTATTTTTTTTCCCCTAGCAGAGTCAGATTTCTTGGAAAAGTCATGGGCAACTGTGGCCCCGCTCCCATTCTTGCCATTTAATCTTTTAACTCTCAACAATGCAATTGTTCACCAATACTTTTGTGTTGCCAAATCAAATGAACTAGTCTCTGCAACATCTGACACTGTTGGCCATACCCCATCTCCTAAATTGGTCAAATTTCTGGCATCCCTGATGGCACTCTCTCCTAGTTTTCCCTCCTACTTTTCTGGCGTCCCCTTTTCAGTCCCTTTGGGACTCCTTTCTTTCAGCAACCCTTTAAGTATTGGTGTTCCCTGGAGTTTTGTCCTCAACCTTTACTCTTCTTAGACTATACACTTGCCCTGGATGGTCCTCTCATTTACTCCCACATGCCTTCTGTTACCACCCATTTGCTAATGTCTTCCAAGCTTACCTCTTCAGCTCAGATCTTGCTCTGAGTTCCACACTACCCATATCTGAACCACTTCTGGTCAAATCCACTTGGATGCTATGCAATAGCAGTTTTTTGTTTTTGTTTTTTTTTTAAATATGGAACGCTTCATGAATTTGCATGTTCTTAAACTGTATTCTTCACAATAGCGTTCCTCAAGAAATAAAAAAAGTAAGTTTGATGATAGCAATCATTTATTTTTGAATTTATTTCCACATAGACATAATGCAACATCAAACACATTTATATAATATTTTTTATTATGTAACAATTTATTATATTTAATAAGTCTATTTATTGCAAGCAATAGAAACCAATTCTGGCTAACTTACATTTTAAAAATGAGGATTTATTGGAAAGATACTGATCTAACTCATGAAATGAAAGTAATAGTTGAATAAGCTAGCCTCAGGTAGAATAGCCACAGGGACCTTAGAAGCAGGGGTTGAGTTGCCATTAATATGCTCACCTGCAAAGGCCTCCTGCCTCTTTATCTTTCAAGTTTTGCTTTGCTGGGAGAGCCTCTCTCACTGGCTCAGCTTGTATTAGGTGTGTACCACTGGATTCATTGGTTGTGGCCAGGTACAGTATTACCTCTATGGATTAGAGCTATTCCTAGAGAAGGGAGAATCATATGAAAAGTAACCACCTCAATACAGCTATTTTCAACATATGGCATCTCAGACAATTGTATGAGATCATCTGAGGCATAAACATAAGGTTAAATCTGTGTATTAATGCTCAAACAGCATTTCCTAACTACTCAGGTGACATATGTCATCTGCTTGATGATCTCTGGTCGGTCACTTGTCTTATCACATATTCAAATTACATTTATCATGTGATTCAATATTGATTTATTAATTTAAAATTATATATTCCACGAATTTCCTTTGAATCTCTGACTAAAAAGGTTTTTTTAATTTTACTTTGAAAAGCTCCAAGCACACACAGAAGAGAAGAATCTAATAAACTCCAATGTACTCTCATGAATGTCAACAATTTTCAACATTTAACATTCTTCCATTCTTGTTTCATCTATTGTTCTGCATTTTTTGGAGTATTTTAAACAAATTCTGTCATTACATTTCACCAGTAAATACTTTTAGGCATATCTATAATAGATAATAACCTTTCCCTTAACATAACTATAATGCCATCACCACAACCAACAAAATTAAAAATTACTTAACTTCATTTGACCCAATCTGTTCATTTCTCCTAGTTATCTCAAAAATGTGTAAGAGAATGAAGTTTTAAATGAAAAGCAGTGTCTTATAATTTTCAAACCGTGCCATTAGTTTAAAAAAATTGGTGAGTTTTCTATTTTATGTTTCATAAGCTATTGATGGTTCAATAATGAATTCTAATTAGGTATTCCATAGGCAAATAAAGTTAGCAATTGTTACTCTGAATGTATCTCCATCTCAAGATTACAAGAGTACACTCATCACTTTCCCTTCCCAATATATTCCAACTCCTCTCTTATATTTAAGACTTCAGTGAATAACAAGATGTCCACCCGAGCTACAAATGTGGGTCATCGTTGATGACCCCATCTTCCTCAAACCTTCCCATTCAATTGTCCTAACAATTCTACCTTTCTAATAGCTCTTGAATCTTCCTTTCTTTTCCTTCCATTCCTACTGGTCCAGGCCTTCAATGGTTGGTTTTCACTGATTATTGCAACTTTCTTTATAATTGGTCTCTCTCTCTCCAATCTTATTATTTTCCACAGTGCTGCCAGAAGGATATTTTTATTATGCTTAGTTGATCATATTATACTTCTGCATGAAAACCTTCCATGATTGTTAATGATCTACTTTCCTTGTCATGACCCATAATGACCTGAAGTCTACTTACCTACTTCTATATGTCTTTTCAGGTGAAATCTCACTCCTCTCAGGAAGCCTTCCTTGAACCCAGAGTTGAGATTAATAGCCTCTTCAGTACGTTTCCAAAGCACCCTGTGTTGGCCATTATCACTGTTTTAATTGTATTATTATCTTCCATTTATATGTCTGTTTCATAGTCACCTCATCTCTACTGCAAGGTCCTTAGGGGAGGGTGTACTATATATATATATATCTCCACCAAGAGGCCCACTAAGTGACCTTTCACTCGATGAACAAATGGGCTACCAGTCTCTGAAGGTGCTGAACTGAGAATGGAAGAGCCTTCAGGTATTAGATGATGATGGATTGTCCCTTCTAACAGATGTTTCAAAGGTAAATCTTATCAGGTTTATCTATAAGCCATTCTTTTTTTTTTTTTTTTGAGATGGAGTTTCACTCTGTTGCCAAGGCTGGAGTGCAGTGGTACGGTGTCCGCTCACTGCAACCTCCGCCTCCCAGGTTCAAGTGATTCTCCTGCCTCAGCCTCTGGAGTATCTGGGACTACGGGCACGTGCCACCATACCCGGCTAATTTTTTTTTTTTTTTTGTATTTTTAGTAGAGATGGGGTTTCACTGTGTTAGCCAGGATAATCTTGATCTCCTGACCTCGTGATCCACCTGGCTCGGCCTCCCTAAGTGCTTTGATTACAGGCATGAGCAACCACACCCAGTCTCTATGAGCCATTTTACACCTCCACAGCCTTCCCTATATACTCTACTACCCTTCCAATTCCATTCTAGGCCCTTCCCAAGCTCCTTGCCAACTACCATTTTCTTCCTACTCCCTGCCACCTCCTGTTTCAGAGAGCAAACCTAGCCATCCAGCTCCCACATTTACTCTTATTTCTACCTCAGTACATTTCTCCATACCCATATTCATCCTCCCTTTTAGTGACATTACTATGATGCAGCAATCCTTACAACTACTCTACAAGGTTATAATTTATTATCCCCATTATATAAACAAGAAAACTGGGACTCAGAAAGGTTCATTTATTTAGCAAATATTTATTGGCCACCTTCTGTGTCTAGCAGTATGCTCTGTATCAGATACCTGCCATCATCACACTTAAAGTCTAATGAAAATAAAGAGACATTAAACAAGAAAACATACAAATTTATAAACTAAAAGGTCCACACACACACACACACAAAATCTCTTAGAATTGATAAATTCAGTACAGTTGCAGGATACAAAATTATCATATAAAAATTAATGGTGCTTCTGGATACAAACAGTAAACTAGTGGGAAAAGAAATCAAAGAAAGTAATCCCATTTACAATAGCTACAACCCCTCCCCCCACCAAAAAAACAAAATAGAATACCTAGAATAAACCAAGGAGGTGAAAGATCTCTACAAGGAAAACTATGAGACACTGAGGAAAAAAACTGAAGAGGTCACAAAAAAATAGAAAGACATCCTATGTCTTCGGAAGAATTCGTATCGTGAAAATGACTGTACTACCAAAAGCAATCTACAGATTTGTTGCAATTCCTATCAAAATACAAAGATATTCCTTGCAGAAACAGAAAAAACAAACCTAAAATTAATATGGAACCACAGAAAACACAAATAGTCAAGGTAATTCTGAACAAAAAGAACAAAGCTGTAGACATCATACCACCCAACTTCAAAATATACTACAAAGCTACAGTAACTAAAAGAGCACGGTACTGGCATAAAAACAGATACACAGACCAATAGAACCGAATAAAGGACCCAGAAATAATAGATCCACATCTTAACAGCCAACTGATTTTCAACAAAGGTACCAAGATATTCAATGGGAAAAGGACACACTCTTCATTAAATGGTGCTGGGAACACTGAATAACAATATGCAGAAAAATACAACTACACCCCCATCTCTCATCAAATACAAAAATTAAATCAAAATGGATTAAAAACTTAAATGTAAGACCTGAAACTATAAAAGTTACTGTAAGAAAATACTGGGGAAATGCTCAAGACTTTGAGCAAACATTTTTTGGTTTAAGACTTCAAAAGGAGAGGCAATGAAAGCAAAAATACACAAATGGGATTACATCAAGCTAAAAGGCTTCTGCCACAGCAAAGGAAACAATCAACAGAGTGAAGAGACAACCTTCAGAATGGGAAAAAATATGTGCAAACTATCCATCTGATAAGGGTTTAATAACCAGAATATATAAGGAACTCAAACTCAACAGCAAAAATCCTCCAAATAATCCCATTTGAAAATGGGCAAATGATCTGAATAGACATTTCTCAAAAGACATACAAATGGCCAACAGGCATATGAAAAAATTCTCAACGTTACTAACCATCAGGGATATGCAAATCAAAACCACAATGAGATATCATCTGAATCTAATTAAAATGGCTATTATCAAAAAGACACAGATAAGAGATACTGGTGAGGATGCAAAGAAAGGGGAATGCTCATATACTGATGGTAGAAATGTAAATTAACATAGCCACTATGGAAAACAGCATAAAGGTTCCTCAAACAACTAAAAATAGATCTACTAGATGATTCAGCAATCCCACTGCTGGGTATATATCCAAAAGAAAGGAAATCAGTGTATCAAAGAGATGTGTACATGCCCATGTTTATTTCAGCACTACCCACAGTAGCCAAGACATGGAATCAATCTAAGTGTCTATCAAGTGACTGGATAAAGAAAATGTGGTGTATATATATACAATGGATACTAGTCAGCCATAAAAAAGAATGAAATCCTGTCATTTCCAGCAACATGGATGGAACTGGAAGTCATTATGTTAATGAAATAAGTCAGACACAGAAAAAAAAATATCACGTTCTCATAAGTGGGAGCTAAAAAAGTTGATCTTATGGAGGTAGAGGGTAGAATGATGGTTACCAGAGACTGGGAAAGGGAGGGGGTGGAGGGGGGATGAAGAGAGATTCATTAATGGTTACAAAAATATAGTTAAATTGAAGGAATAAATTCTATAGTGTTTGATAGCACAGCTGGGTGACTACAGTTAACATTAATTTACTGTATATTCCAAAATAGCTAGTAGATTTGAAGTGCTCCCAACAGAAGGAAATAATAAATGTTTGAGGTGATGGATATCCTAATTATCCTGATTTGATCATTACACATCGTATGCATGTATCAAAATATCATATGTACCCCATAAATATGTACAATTATTATGTATCAATAAAAAATAAAAAAAAACAATTCAGAAGTCCATAAACTTGGATGGAATAAAAAAAAGTCAACTTTATTTTCAAAAAACTCTCACTGAAATCTAATTTTATGAATGTAGAAAATAAATCTTTGTAGTACCAGCCAGCAGCTGTAACACTGTCATCAATAGAAAACACCATCAATTAATATTTTCATATCACATTATAGTTGTTACAGACATCTTAAAATATCACTTACAATTATGGGAGCTGTTAAACTTGCCAAAAAATCATGCTTTTTAATGTATTAGTAAAGAAACACTGTATTGTATTAATACAGAAACACATACTACTAGATCATCACACGTTTCTTTGAATATAGTAGTGTCCCCCACACAGCACCAAATGTGATTATACAGTTTATTCCTATCCATAGATATACCTATGATAAAGTTTAATTTATAAATTTGCACAGGAAGAGATTAACAACAAAATAGGACAATTATATTGTAATAAAAGTTATGTGAATATGGTCTTTCTGTCTCATACACAAAGTATCTTATTGTACTTATTTTCAGACCAGGTTGACCTTGGGTAACTGAAATCACAGAAATTGAAACTGCAGTTAAGGGGGGACCACTGTATTTTGATAACTATAGTTTATATTTTATT
The DNA here is from genome assembly GCF_000001405.40 of Homo sapiens. Lineage (NCBI taxonomy): Eukaryota > Metazoa > Chordata > Mammalia > Primates > Hominidae > Homo > Homo sapiens. The sequence goes on from NC_000006.12 coordinate 32,963,896, forward strand.
TTATGCATTTACAAATATTATCAGACAAGATCCAAAGGCTTCACCAAACTGCCAAAAAAGCTAATGGCACATAAAAAGCTTAAGGAGTCCTGATTTAATCAGTCATTCAATGAACATGACATCCTTCCTGGAACCATCTCCTGTTCTAGCTTCCTCACATTATGTTGCTCTGCTTCTCCTTGAGATCTTCCATTGGTTCCACTTCCTATTCTTGCTTCCTGTATGAAGATGTAACCCAAAGCTCAATCCTTCACCCTAAATTGTTTTTATACCCCCTCTTTTACAAACCTCAGCTACCTTCGTGGCTGATTCAAACATCACCTCAAAGGTGACTCTCAAATCTGCTTTTCCTAATCTTTTTTCTCTAACTTCAATCTTGGATCTTAAACTCCCTGCTGTGCCTAGTAAACAGAATAATATGCCACCCAGAGTCAGCTGGGTTCAAATCCCAGTTCTGCTACTTACTAAAGGTGTGACCTTAGGTAAATATTACCTGCTATGGTTTGAATCTCTCCTCCAAAACTCTTGTTGAAAATAATTGCCATTTTGACAGTTTTAAGAAGTGGGACCTTTAAGAGTTAATTAGGTCATGAGGGCTCTGCTCTCATGAATGGATTAATGCTACTAATGTAGGTATGGGTTCCCATTTAAAAGGGGACATTCTGAGGCCGGGCACAGTGGCTCACACCTGTAATCCCAGCACTTTGGGAGGCCGAGGCAGGTGGATCATGAGGTCAGGAGATGGAGACCATCCTGGCTAACACGGTGAAACCCCGTCCCTACTAAAAATACAAAAAATTAGCCAGGCTTGGTGGCGGGCACCTGTAGTCCTAGCTACTTGGGAGGCTGAGGCAGGAGAATGGTGTGAACCCGGGAGGAGGAGCTTGCAGTGAGCCAAGATTGCACTACTGCACTCCAGTCTGGGCGACAGAGCGAGACTCCGCCTCAAAACAAACAAACAAACAAAGGGTACATTCTGGCCTCTATTCTCTCTCCATCTCATGTGCTTGTTTGCCTTTCTGCCGTGGGATGATGCAGCACAAGGCTCTCACCAGATGCCAATGCCATGCTCTTGGACTTCCAAGCAACTGGAACTGAGCCAAATAAACTACTGTTTATAAATTACCCAGTCTGTGGTATTCTGTGATAGCATCAGAAAACAGACTAAGACGTCCTTTGCTTCTGTTGTTTCATTTGAAAACTGAGGGTGATAATATTAGTATTGACTTTATAGGGTTATAAGGATTAAAAGAGTTACTACATGTACTCATTGCAGTACCTGACACATTTTAACTACTCAATAAATGTTTTGTATCACCAATCACATCTCCTTCCAACCCCGACATTTTAATTTGATGTTTATTAACATGGACGGTGCCAGCCACTGGAAGACAGAGTTTCTATCTAACAACATAATTCTGATCAAGTCATTAGTCAAAAAATTTCAGTGGTTCCCCACTGATTCCAAACTTAACAGCACTGGAAACCTTCTATAATGTGTTCTCTAATATAAATTTACCTCCCATTTTCTCTTCTCCTGCTCTACTTCTTGTAGCTTATGTTCTGGCCAGACTGGACTAGACTACTCTCTGTGACAATAACCTGTGCTGTTCTATGTCTGTCTTTCCTCACATAATTCTAATGTCTCAGGTTTGAAGGCAATAATTTTGTCTATGATTATTCCCCTATACATGGCACCCCATAAAACATACACATTTCAATCTTACCTAAGTCACATACTTACTTACACATCAATTCACCTCCATATTTGCTCAATTTGTGAGAACCTAATATTGGCCAGATACTGTGCTAGGACCTAGGGATATTAAAAAAAAAAAAAAAAGCAAAGCAAGAAAAAGAATGCATAATGGCCCTGCTCTCAAAATCAAGGTCTAGTACTAGAGAGAAACATGTAATCACATAAATGCCATTCACTGTGGAAAGTAAAATCATAAGGGGAAGGGACACCAAAGAATGAGCAGTTAGCTCAACTTGAACAGTAACATTAAGCTTTTCAGAGATGTTATTTGGGCGTACATAGATTGGGGAAAAGTCTACTCCATATAGAAAGTGCACATGTGTAAAACACAGAGGCATGAAACAAAATGATGTGTCTGGGAAACAGTTCAATACAGCTGGAATATAGGGCCCAAGAGGAAGTGGTTAGACATGAGGCTGGAAAGCTAGGCAGACTGTTTTGGCAAACATAGGAATTTGGACTTTATCACATAGCCAATAAGGAATAACACAGAGTTTTAAAAAGAGCTATGGCCAGGGCTATATTTTGGAAAGCTCTCTCCTGGCAGTATTGTGGCAGAGGCAGAGAGGAAAGTCTAAAGCAGCACTGTCCAACAGAACTTCTTGTAATGAGGCCGCGCGCAGTGGCTCACGCCTGTAATCCCAGCACTTTGGGAGGCTGAGGCGGGCGGATCACGAGGTCAGGAATTCGAGACTAATTTGGCCAACATGGTGAAACCCCGTGTCTACTAAAAATACAGACACTAGCCGGGTGTGGTGGCAGGCGCCTGTAATCCCAGCTACTCGGGAGGCTGAGGCAGAATTGCTTGAACCCGGGAGGCAGAGGTTGCAGTAAGCCAAGACTGCGCCACTGCACTCCATCCTAGGCCACAGAGCAAGACTCCGTATCAGGGAAAGAAAAAAACAACTTCTTGCAATGACACAAATGTTCAATAATCTGTGCTTTCCCATATGACAGCCACTAGTCACATGTGGCTATTGAGAACTTAAAATGTGGCTAGTGTATTGAGACACTAAATTTAAAATTGTATTAATTTAAATCCAAATAGCCATGTGTCTAGCAAATAATTTAGGAGACTGTTGGTATAGCTCAGGTGATAGAATTAGGACAGAAGGGTGAGTTGATGGATAGTTAAGAGGCAAAATTATGAGTCTGTAAGGGTGTGAGAAAAGGAAATCAAGAACAGGCTCCCAGATTACAGACTTTGTGGTTAAACAGCCACCATTACTCAGGACAACAGAAGAGAAAGAGCAGGTCTAGAGTGTATAGTGATTTCATCAATTTTGAACATACTGGTGTCTGAGAGTTATCCCAGTGGGAATATTTAGTAGAAAGTTTAGCTTAGAGAGCTGTCTGAACTAAAGATTCAGACTTCAGAGGCTTTGAGCCATGGAGTCAGATTACCTAGAGAAGTTGAACAAAATTAGAAGCAAACAAGAATCACAGCAAATATCAACACATAAAAAGGGGCTAAGGAAGAAAAATCTACTGAGACTGGAGAGGAACAGTTACACAAATAGGAAAAGAAACAAGTGAGAGTGGTATAGAAGTCAAGGGTAGAGAGAATGTCAGGAAGGAAACATGATCAAATGTCGAATGCCTCAGAGGTCAAATAAAGTGAGAACTGTAAAGTGCTTCCTGACTTTGCCAGTTAGGAGGTTCTTGGTGACATCTGCCAGAAAAGTTTTGGTGGTAGCAGCCTGACAGAGGTAGCTTGAAGAGTGGGGATGGGGAAAGAGAATGTGACAAAGAATTGAGATAGTAAGGATAATTTCAATTTCAGGTCTTGGCTGTGCAAGGAAGCCGAGAGACATGAGTCTCTAAGAGGGCACGATATTGAGAGGGTTGTTATCTTTCTGTCAGCGGGGAAACCAAGAGAAAAGTTTAAAAAGGTCAAAAGGGGGAGAAGGGAAGACAGCTTCCGGGTAACAGAGAAGGTTGACCAGGTCAATAGTAAAGGATTTCCTCAAACCGAAGGGAGGACCTCTAGTGAAATGAGAAAGGAATACACAATTGACCCAGTTTGCAGGTGGGAAATGGGAAGCCAGTTCTGCAAATTGGCCTTTCTGTTCTGTGAAGTGCCATCTGTCGGTGAGGAGAGATTAGGGTCTGCAGCGTGAAAATCTGGACCATACTCTGGGTAATCAAGGGAGAGGTTATCGGCTAATGACAAATTAAAGGCTTACTTTTTAGCTGGCAACTGAATCACCATAACATTTTATGTTACCAGTTCCAAAATTTTGGGGGGAATTCACTCAAGCTTGGGAGAGGAGAGATCATAACTTTAAGAGTATAAGAGGTTTAAACGGTCCACTACGAAATAAATAGAGAAGGAAAAGTTATCAGCTGGTAAATATCGTAGAAGGTAGAGCGGTCCAGGGACTCACAGGTCTCACTAAAGAAAAGTCTAGCGTAGGTTCACGGCACGGAGAGATTTTAAGGCTGCCTAAGACTAAAGCCAAATACGAAGTCCACATCTGCGGTCCGCACCTTATCTCTCCGCGCGGCAGGCGCGACGAGGGCGAGAAACTCCCTCTCCAGTGGTCGCACCACACGACACCAGGGAAGGGGCCCCTCTCTCCAGACCCTCATATCTCCAGGTCCAGGCCCCATTTTCCTCCGCTGACAGCTCAGCAGCGTGCGCTTCCGCTGGATTCAGGCCAGGACCAGCGAAGCCGCACCTTACACCCACCGAGGAGGAAACAAGCCTGGCCACCCGAGGCTACCCCGCTAGGCCGCGGGTAGTGGGGGAGGGGGCGCTGAGGCAGGAGGTCAGCACCCGGGCGCGGGCTCCCGCCCCACGAAAAGCGCGCGCTCCAAGCCCCGCCGCCGGAGATGCGGTTCCGGTCCGGACGCCTGCGCACTACGGCTCTCCCCGCAGCCTCTGGCCCTCCTTCCCCCTCCCCCAGTCAGGGCGCACCCTTGCGCCTGCGCTGTGTGTGTTCCTGGTCTGCGGCAGCCATGCTGAACTCGTATGGAGAGGCGAGTGGGGGGGACAGAGTCCAGGACTGCGGGATAGGAAGCTGGGGATATGGACAAGCAGCAGCGTTATAGCGCTCTGGGTTTCGGGACATAGGCCTGGGCCATGCGGCCCCCTTGGCCCCTTGGCGCGACCCCCAGGAACGTTCGGAAAGCTGGTCCTCGTGGCTGGGGGAAAGGCGGGGGGTGGGGGGGAAGCGGGCACGTGACCCCGGTCAGCCAATCTGGGTGCTGCTGACGTGGCCGCGCGGCCCCGATGCTCTCCCCACCCCCCCAGCCCGTTCGGGAAGGGAGGGGCTGGGGGCTACGCCCCCTCCCCCAGCACGGCTTCGTTTTCTGGGGGGGGGTTGACACCCCGGATTACATACCCCGTACCAAGCCGAGGGCAACTTTGGAGGCCCCCTGGAAGGCTTTAGGATCCAGGTGAGAAGGGGCCCTTGTGGGGCGGAGATGTCAGTCAAGTGCTTAACCAATGGTGGGGAGTCCGGGAGGGGGATTCTTGGGGTTCAGGAAAGAATCCTGAGAGTGGGAAGATTTGTCCTTCAAACCTTTTACAGCCAATGGGAGCGTGGAGGGGGGGCGAGCGGGAGAGGGCCATGGGGGGGGAGGGGAATGGCCAGCCTCATGCCTCCGTACCCATTGGAGGGCAAAGGGGTTAGGGGGCGGTGTGGCCCCCCCTATTCCATTCGTCCCCTGGGGGTACAGCAGCCGGGAGCCAGGTGAGAAGGGATCCATCGGCGGCCGAGGGAGGGGTGACCTGGCGGTGGGCTGAGGAGTGGTGGCTGTGGCCCCTACCCGTGGATGTGAATGCTTTAGGAGTTGGCCACCCATGTTGTGAACTGAGGTTGTTCCCAGGCGCCAACTTCCTTTCTCCCCAGAGCCTCTGGAGGGAGCATTGCTGTGCGCCCTTTGTGTCCGCGGTAGGGGAGCTCCAGTCGTCACACCGCAGGCTGGAGGTTACGCTTCGAGTCGCTTACCGAATTTGTGTGCATTCACGTGGACACGGCCTGTGGGGCCTTTTGCCCCTGTAGGGTCTTTACTGAGCACGTGTCTACTCCAGGCTGGGGTGCTTACAAGCTGAAAGCTTGAGGTCTGCTTAGGAACAGAAACCAGGCCCAAGGTGGGTGCTGGCAGTAGGGGGTCTAGACAGCATGGTCTGAGATGCGAGGGAGGCTCGGGACCTGGAATGATTTCACAGCTCCCAAGGTTTCGGGTTTCTCCAGGGTGGCCTCTTCCATCGCCTCCCTCATCCCCTCCCCCAGTCCTGAACAGTTCTCTCCTTGTGTACTGCGGGGGAGGGAACGGAAAGGAGGAAAGAGTTACTTTCCCAAATTACTGAGTAGCAGTAGCCTCCCTGGTGACTCATGTGGGGGAAGGGAGGATAGAGGATCGGGAGGCAGTGATTTTCCGGAATGCAGGGAATAAACGAGAGCAATGTCTGGCTGCCCTTTTCCTAAGGCCTAGTATTTTCTCAGCCTCCTAAGTTTTTATTCCATGGCCGGCCCCCTGATGGGCCTCTGTCCTGGCCTGCAGAGCCCCGGTGGAGAAAAGCAGATTTGGGAGGTTGGGCCGCTAGGGGGAGGGGAAAAGGCCTCTGCAAAGTTGCTGTGTCATTGCCCTCCATGCTGCAGCCACCCAAACGGGGCCGCTTGTACTTTTGGGGGCCAGGGCCTGATCCCTGGCTGGGGGAAGGGGACTCTGCTCTCCTGACGCTCATTTTCCCCCGCCCTCCCGGGGTTTGCCCTACTCGGGGGGTCAGAAGACAGGAGATTGGCGGCCATTTTAGACGCAGTAACCGAGGTTGGAGTTGAAGGGCTACTGCAGAGGAGGGAGGGTGGCGTGGTTGCAGCTCAAGGACCTAGGCCCTTACGAGCCCTTCCGGGGCGAGGGGGAATCTTACCGTATATTTGTTCACCTACGTTGATTATTTTTCCCAGATACGTACACAAGTTTGTTTTCTCCCTGGTAGCGAAGAAAGGGGAAACGGGGGAGGGGACGCCCCACCAAAGCCCAGGTTTTCTCGGGTGGGGGAGATCCTTTCACTCTCTTGTAAGGGGGCGGGGACGGCCCCAGAGATGCTCTGGAGATCCTGACTCTGGGCTCTGGTTGATTCACAGAGTCTGCACCCTTATTTAGATAACCAAGTTAGGAGGAAGACTTAAGAGTAAGTTGGGGGGAGGGGGCGAAACTGAGCTCCCAAAATGGCTCCTGCCCCTCCTCGGAGGCGGACGGCCGGGGGGAGGGGAGGAGGGGAGGAGGGGGAGGGCTAGTCTGAGCCGCAGCCGCCGCCTCCTCCGCTCGCCCTCCTCCCTGGCGCTGACCGATGGACCAGCCGCTCCGTGGGGAGGACTCCGGACCCTGGTGGGGGGGCGGGGGGGTTCTTTCGCCCCCGTGGCGGAGGGCCCCTGAGAGGCGGATACGGGTGTGCCTTTGGGGGTGATGTGGCGTGTGGGGGGAAAGGTCCGAGCTCGCCTGGAGGGGGAGGGTTTTTCCCTTAAGTCATCCCTCCCAGGACTTGCTTTTTCTGCTCTGAGCCGGACGCCGGAATGGAGTTTGAGGAAGAGGTGAGGTGTGTTGCATTGTATAGGGTAGATGGATGCGTTTGGAGATTTTAATCCCACTTTTAGGGTTGCCGAGGATTTTTCGAACGAGCAGAAATGTATTGGTAACTGTAGGTGTGAGTGGGGAGGGATTAGAAAGGTGCTTGGACGTGCAAATTTGGGAGACGTATTTTAGCTTTTGTGGTCTTTGGGACTAAACAGTAGTAAATAATGTTTTGCTCGTCTTTCCATCGTTTGGCTTGAGGGAGGGAGTGGAGTATTATAAGACTCTGGCAACACTGTTTTAGACTGTGGGGCATGGGAACGTTAGATCCCCTCATCGCCGTTCTGAAGCCCGTAGCTGTTCGCCATAGAGGAGCAGGCCGCGGCTTCTAAGATGGCGTCTTTTTCCTCGTTTCAGATTCTTCGCTGCTGCTGCCTTACCGCCGAGAACCACCACCCGCCAGGCGTCTTGCGGCCACACCCCTGGCGGGTTCAGGCAGGCTACGCCCACGCGACCCCTCCCGTTTCCCTGCTTTGGCCAATGGAGGAGCTACGAATGGCACGACCTGCTCGAGCTTGGCAGTCTCCAGTTGGGCTGTGCATGGAAGCTTGGGAAGACTTTGTTGGAAGGGGAGGCGGGGAGAGAGTGCTGGAGGCTCTGGGGCGATGGCTTCCGCACCTCTTCCAACCACCCTCTTTCCCTGGAGTCGGCGGACCACAGCTCAGCCAATTGGCTTGGAGATGTGGCGGGTTGCCACTTCCCTGTGGGTCTCTGCGGCACTCTTCTGCCTGGTGACTGACACCTTGGAAATGAAGTTTATGACGTCATCGTTGCGGCTGGCCAATAGAAAAAGCTCCCGCGGAGAGGTGTTCCTTCCCCTTCGACTCAGCTTCTTCACCCGCGTGAGCGAGCGCGCGCGCGCGGAGGGGGTGGGGAAAAGCTCAAGCAGGGTGGCGCGCATGAGCGGCGAAGCTCCTCCTCCCCGCCTATATATAAAGGGCTGGCGCGGGGCTCGGCGGCGCCATTTCGTGCTGGAGTGGAGCAGCCTCTAGAACGAGCTGGAGGATTCTGCCTACCGATACAGAGCCTTCGAGTCGTCCGGGGCCGCCATTACAATCCACCTCCATCCGCTTGGAAATGGCCTTCGTCCCGGCCTATGACTGGTCCCAGCGGGCAGTACAGACCCCCTAGAAGCCCCTGGAGCTCCCCTTTTTCGGGCCCCGCCCAATCCTCGGAGTCTGTCCACCCCCTCTACTCCGCCCTCAAGAGGATTTCAAAGATGGAGGCGGCGGCTCCCTAAACCACTTTTCGTGTTCATCCGCCTCCATCCGAGATCGAAACGGGACCTCGTCGGCCCCGTAGGGGCCCGACAAGAAGAGGGAATCCCTGCAGACCAACAGCGGGCTATATTGACGACGGTGTCTGAGATCGGGGACCGTCTTTTGAAGAGTCAGTCCCTCCTTAGTTGCCCGCCTCAGCTGAGGCCGCCGCCATTTTCTTGCTGTCCGCCGTCTGCAGAGCGCGCCAAGCTGCCCGGAGCTCTCCGAGAGGCCCCAAAGAGACTGCTTTCGTGCCGGCCAGGCAGGGGGTTTGTCGCCTGGAGGCCCAAGAGGAACGGCCTCCCCCCAACTTAGCGGGTTATGCTGGACCGGGCGGTGAGGGGAACCGAGGCCACCCGGACTTTCCGCGGCTGAGGGCAGCGCCGGTTCCTTGCGGTCAAGATGCTGCAAAACGTGACTCCCCACAATAAGTACGTTTCCGCGAGCCGCGTGTGGGAAGGGGATGTTGCAGGGCGGCGGCACAGGGGTGTGGGGCGCCGTGTTGGGAGTACTGAGCGGCCCCGGCGCGCTGCTGTTGCGGCGCAGCTGTCGACTCGGTCGCGCGGAGGGAATTGAGCGACGGTTTTGGAACGGTGGTGGCGGCTCGGCTACTGCTCGTGGAGGGGAATACAGGTTGTCAATTTATACGCTATTAATGCCGCCGTGGCCCAGTCTTAACCGAGTCAGGCAGAGCTAGTTTGACGGTGGAGTGGAGTGAGGTTGAACAGCAGGTTTGGCGTTTGGTGGGTCTGGTATCTAGCGGCGGTCTGTTAGCCTTTTAGGGGGGATTCACGGACACCTCTAGCGCCCTGTAGGGTTGCCATGGTGACGGAGCGCTTAAGGGACTGGCAACGGGGATTCCCAGAGAAGGGTAAAGGGATCACTCTCCCGTGTGTGCAGGTTCCTAATGCCCAGGGTATGTCATTAAATCTTTTGCTTTCTTTGGGTGGGTGGGTTGTGTGTGGTGTTTGTTGGTGCAGGGATTGTTTTTTCCTAACATTAAAAGTTTGATTCAGGGCAGGAGGGTAGAGCTAAGGTTCCTAGTTCAGCTCTGCGATGTAAACAATGAGATTCCCATATGATGTTTTAATTCTTAGGTGGTAGGAAAGACTGATCGGAGGAGCACCAGAGGGACTGTAAATGAACCACTGTTAGCGTTTGGTGTCCGGAGTTGGTGCTACAGGGGGAACTGGTAGTGGAATCGTGTTGTGTAGTGGGTGGGTGGAAGGGGGCTATCACTTGGTGACCTTGACTGTTTTGTACGGCTTTTTGACTTCCTTGGAGTGAGGAGACTCTGATTTGGTGCGAATAATTTTGAGGGCCTGGAAGTTACGGGCTGTGAAGTCTGACAAATTCTTCCTTGTCTGAATTTGTTTTTAAGTTGATATGGTTCTTCCTCTGGGTTTCTAGTCTATGTTCTGTTGTGGCGTGAACTACCCAGACCTTGTGGAAGATGGTGCTCTCTCTTCTATCTAGGTGGATTATTCTGTGTCTTATCAGCATTTTATGGAATTTTTTATAGCCATAATTTGTTCTTTTCCTCCTTACCGGCGCTCAACCACCATGGCAACCACCAAACCCCTAGTGAGGAGGAAGCTTGGGGTTTGAGTTTCTTAACTCCACCCATTTTGCTTAAGCCCCATCCCCATAGGGCTGTAGTTCTGAGATGTCGTGCCTTGTCAGAAACAATTTGGGAGTTTTTTAAAATATGAAAAAGAACAGATAGAGCCTATCAGACTTAAGAAGGTGGGATCTAGATAGTATACTAAAAATATTAATAAAAGGAAGGCGGGGCCAGCAATAAAAGCTCCACAGATTGTTTGGATATTGTTTCTGCTTAAGAAGCACTTGGCATAAGCTTAACCACCTCACTAGGGCCAGCACCTGGATTCATCAGACTATTGTGCAGATGCACTTTTTCCTCATTTGGACGATATTGCCCTAATTTTGTTCCCATCTTTACAGGCTCCCTGGGGAAGGGAATGCAGGGTTGCTGGGGCTGGGCCCAGAAGCAGCAGCACCAGGGAAGAGGATTCGAAAACCCTCTCTCTTGTATGAGGGCTTTGAGAGCCCCACAATGGCTTCGGTGCCTGCTTTGCAACTTACCCCTGCCAACCCACCACCCCCGGAGGTGTCCAATCCCAAAAAGCCAGGACGAGTTACCAACCAGCTGCAATACCTACACAAGGTAGTGATGAAGGCTCTGTGGAAACATCAGTTCGCATGGCCATTCCGGCAGCCTGTGGATGCTGTCAAACTGGGTCTACCGGTGAGTAGAGACATTGGAGCCGGGGAGGTGTGGGATGAGCAAGAATGCGTGTGAATGGGGGTGGTCTGCCTAGTGTAGATGCTGCGGCCCCTAGGGAGTTCCCATTTCTCCCCTGTAGGGCAGTTAGCTACCAGATTTCTGGGTATCTTGGTCCTTTGTGATTGATCCGACCGCTTGCTGTAACTATCTTGGCATCTTTCCTTGTGCCCTCCATGTGTCCTTCCTTAACTTTTGTGCCCTGGCTCCATTTTACAGATTCCCACCTCGGGTTGGGAGAGGACCACGGTGGCCAAAATTCTTAGCTTCTTCCTTTCCCTCATGCAGCCCATGGATAGCCAGCCCCAGAGGTAATGTCACAGGATGGGAAGTTTCCAGAGTGGGTGGGAGGTGGGTGGTTAGAGAAAGGCAGCAGGGGCCTCCCTGTGGATGTCAAGAATCTTTTTTATTTATTTATTTATTTTGTCCCACAGTTTAATTGGGGCCGCAGTTTAAGTAACTGTTCCTTTGATGCATAGGGGGGGTGTGTGTGTGTGTGTGTGTGTGTGAGAGTCGGGGATCGGTAGTCTCCCTATAAGCATTTATTTTTCTGTGGTTCTGACCTAACATTTTTTTATTTAGGATTATCACAAAATTATAAAACAGCCTATGGACATGGGTACTATTAAGAGGAGACTTGAAAACAATTATTATTGGGCTGCTTCAGAGTGTATGCAAGATTTTAATACCATGTTCACCAACTGTTACATTTACAACAAGGTGAGTTTTTCTGTGTGTTCATTTAGTAGGTGGGGAGAAACAGTAACTTCTATTATTGCTGGATATGTTGTCTACATAAAGTTTAAATCCTTTGCTACTGAAGGTGTTATCCAGGTAGGGTAGTCGGAGTCTTAAAAACCTGACTCTAGATGGTACTATTGAACACAGTGATGTGACTTCAGAGCTCTAGTTGAAGGTTATTTAGAACACTTCATACTTGGGGGTGGTGGTCCTGTTTCTTAGAAATCACCAGAGACCTGAGTAGACCAGGGATCTGTTTTCTTGTCAGCTCTCAAGTTTTTTCTTCTTTCGAATTTTGGGAGACAGTTAGGAGAAAGTGGAAATTAGTAGTGGCCTGGAGTAGGAAATTTTCTTTAAGATTTGATGACAAGATGACTGGTGGGGGTATGGTAATGGCCTAGGGCCTGAATGCCTCTGAGAAAGATGGTGTGTATCTATCTTCTGTTGGCATTTTTTAACTTTCTTTATTGCTGTCTGTGTTCTCATAGCCCACTGATGATATTGTCCTAATGGCACAAACGCTGGAAAAGATATTCCTACAGAAGGTTGCATCAATGCCACAAGAAGAACAAGAGCTGGTAGTGACCATCCCTAAGAACAGCCACAAGAAGGGGGCCAAGTTGGCAGGTAGGAAGAGTGGGAGTTTTGCAAATGGACAACTAAAGATGGGGAAGAGAATCAAACTACACTTTTTTCCTTTTTTCTAGCGCTCCAGGGCAGTGTTACCAGTGCCCATCAGGTGCCTGCCGTCTCTTCTGTGTCACACACAGCCCTGTATACTCCTCCACCTGAGATACCTACCACTGTCCTCAACATTCCCCACCCATCAGTCATTTCCTCTCCACTTCTCAAGTCCTTGCACTCTGCTGGACCCCCGCTCCTTGCTGTTACTGCAGCTCCTCCAGCCCAGCCCCTTGCCAAGGTATGATCTGTGGATTTCCTCTGGGCAGCAGGGAGGCAAGGGTCTTAAGTAAAGTGGGCTTGGAGTGACAGGTTCCCTATCTTGTTTCTTTCTGCAGAAAAAAGGCGTAAAGCGGAAAGCAGATACTACCACCCCTACACCTACAGCCATCTTGGCTCCTGGTTCTCCAGCTAGCCCTCCTGGGAGTCTTGAGCCTAAGGCAGCACGGCTTCCCCCTATGCGTAGAGAGAGTGGTCGCCCCATCAAGCCCCCACGCAAAGACTTGCCTGACTCTCAGCAACAACACCAGAGCTCTAAGAAAGGAAAGCTTTCAGAACAGTTAAAACATTGCAATGGCATTTTGAAGGAGTTACTCTCTAAGAAGCATGCTGCCTATGCTTGGCCTTTCTATAAACCAGTGGATGCTTCTGCACTTGGCCTGCATGACTACCATGACATCATTAAGCACCCCATGGACCTCAGCACTGTCAAGGTACCCACTGCATGGGGCAGATGGGATGCTCAGGCAGTGATGGGAGCCTAGGTGCAAAACAATAAGTCTCCTTATGTGGGCACACAGCAGTCTTTGGTTCTTGGCATTTTACTTTTATAAAATAATAGTGGAACAGAAGGTCTGGTGTTTTGAGAATTTGTATTTCTTGGAGTTTGAAACAGTAGGGTGGGGTTTCTTTGTCTTGAGAAAAATACTGTCTATAATTAAGTACTAATGTGGCAGTGTTGGGTTAAGGAAGTTATAGGGTGGAAAAACAGGCATAGGCCACCTCTCTGTCACTTAGAAATGATTTCTTTTTCTAGACATAAATATTTCTTCAACCCACCCAAATTCCTTTGACTTCAAACTTGAACCCCAGGGCACAGATCCTTAAGGTCATCCCCACTGTGCTCTCAAGAGAGGGCTCTTCTTGTGGTGTCTGGGGTTGGCAGGGAAAGGTGAGTCTTCCTGCCTGTGCAGCTTCTGATGCTGCCTCCTTCTGCAGCGGAAGATGGAGAACCGTGATTACCGGGATGCACAGGAGTTTGCTGCTGATGTACGGCTTATGTTCTCCAACTGCTATAAGTACAATCCCCCAGATCACGATGTTGTGGCAATGGCACGAAAGCTACAGGTGAGTGGAAAGGTTGGAGTTTGAAAAATAAATGGTATGGGGAGTTATTTTGTCATGTGTGCTGCATAGCCTCAACGTGAGGGTCTCACTGTTCTGTACAGTTGTAAATTGGAGCTATATCACTTGGTGGCTGGGTATGTAGGGCACTGTTTATCAGCATAGTTTTGAGTTTGTGCCTCTTTGTAGGATGTATTTGAGTTCCGTTATGCCAAGATGCCAGATGAACCACTAGAACCAGGGCCTTTACCAGTCTCTACTGCCATGCCCCCTGGCTTGGCCAAATCGTCTTCAGAGTCCTCCAGTGAGGAAAGTAGCAGTGAGAGCTCCTCTGAGGAAGAGGAGGAGGAAGATGAGGAGGACGAGGAGGAAGAAGAGAGTGAAAGCTCAGACTCAGAGGAAGAAAGGGCTCATCGCTTAGCAGAACTACAGGAACAGGTATTTTGTCACTCTTGAAAGTTTTTATTGGGTAAGAGGTTCATGCCCTTTGTCCTCATTTTTTCTTCTTGTTATTTTATCTTTATTTACTTTTTCCACTTCATGTTTTTTTTCCTTTAGCTTCGGGCAGTACATGAACAACTGGCTGCTCTGTCCCAGGGTCCAATATCCAAGCCCAAGAGGAAAAGAGAGAAAAAAGAGAAAAAGAAGAAACGGAAGGCAGAGAAGCATCGAGGCCGAGCTGGGGCCGATGAAGATGACAAGGGGCCTAGGGCACCCCGCCCACCTCAACCTAAGAAGTCCAAGAAAGCAAGTGGCAGTGGGGGTGGCAGTGCTGCTTTAGGCCCTTCTGGCTTTGGACCTTCTGGAGGAAGTGGCACCAAGTGAGTTAGAGTAGGAAGCAGAGACTAGTTTGGCTATTTCTGTCTCTCTGGGGGATGCCATCTCTCTTTGCAAAGATAATTCTAAATGGCCAGTTAACAGATACAATAGGCTTTGAGCAGTGGTCCCCAACCTTTTTGGCACCAGGGACCAGTTTCGTGGAAGACAGATTTTACCACAGACAGGGTTTGAGGGGATGGTTTTTGGGATGAAACTGTTCCACCTCAGATCATTGGGCCATTGGATTCCCATAAGGAGCATGCAGCCTGGATATGTACCATGCGCACTTCACAGTAGGGTTCATGCTTCTATGAGAATCTAATGCTTCTGCTGATGTGACAGGCAGTGATGCCCACATGCCGGCTGTTCACCTCCTGCGTAGCCCAGTAACAGGCCACGGACTGGTACTGGTCTGGGGGTTGGGACCCCTGGCTTTGGGAGTCAGGGTGTTTCACAGCTACTCTGACAGTGAACTCAAAGTAGCCATAAACTAGAAACATGAAGATGGCTGTGTTCCAAAAAGACTTTATTTGCAAAGACACGTGGCGATCAGATTTGTTCTCTGGGCCATATAGTTTGCCTGTTGCTCTAAATCAATGAGTCTAGACTTGTTTTTCATGGCGTAGTAGTTTTTGGTTTTTTGGTGTGGTTTTGTGTTTTGTTTTTTTTTGTTAGTTTGTTTTTTGTTTTGTTTTTTTTAAAGACTCCAGGCTGGAGTGCAGTGGCGTGATCTCGGCTTACTGCAACCTCCACTTCTCGGGTTCAAGCGATTCTCCTGCCTCAGCCTCCCAAGTAGCCAGGATTACAGGCATGCGCCACCACGCCCAGCTAATTTTTGTATTTTTAGTGCGCAGCTAGTTTATGTAGTTTTAGTGGAGACGGGGTTTCGCCATGTTGGGCAGGCTGGTCTTGAACTCCTGACCTCAAGTGATCTGCCCGCCTTGGCCTCCCAAAGTGCTGGGATTACAAATCTGAGCCACTGCAGCTGGCCCATGGTGTAGTTTGGTAGTGTTTAAGGGAGCAGAAAGACCCATGTCAGTATACCTAAACAGGTATACCTTGTTTTATTGTGCTTCACTTTACGGAGTTTTTTTTAGATACTACTTTTTTTTTTAGTTGAAGATTTGTGACAACCCTGTGTGGAGCAAGTCTTTCAACAGTTTTTCCAACATGTTTGTGTGTCACATTTTTAGTAATATTTTTTCATTAAGGTATGTACGTACATTGTCTTTTTAAAGACATGTTATTGCCTACTTACAGTCGAGCAAAATGCTCTGTTTCACTATACAGTGTCCCAGTAGCCCACCTCTTACTTGGCCATTGAATGGAAAAACAGAAGCTCCACTCTGGGCAGGAAATAGGATCACTGAATTATAACAGTGGGAACATACTGGAAGAGGTTAATGAAGCTTCTTTTGCTGACAACTCTTTTTGCCCTTAGGCTCCCCAAAAAGGCCACAAAGACAGCCCCACCTGCCCTGCCTACAGGTTATGATTCAGAGGAGGAGGAAGAGAGCAGGCCCATGAGTTACGATGAGAAGCGGCAGCTGAGCCTGGACATCAACAAATTACCTGGGGAGAAGCTGGGCCGAGTTGTGCATATAATCCAAGCCAGGGAGCCCTCTTTACGTGATTCAAACCCAGAAGAGATTGAGATTGATTTTGAAACACTCAAGCCATCCACACTTAGAGAGCTTGAGCGCTATGTCCTTTCCTGCCTACGTAAGAAACCCCGGAAGCCCTACAGTACGTATGAAATGAGGTTCATCTCATGGTTCTGAGGACAGTTGAGGAAAGATGGTGGGGTCTGTTTGCATTCAGGATTGTCAGCTCCCAGGATAATGGGATGTGTTGGTTGGCAGCTGACGTTCAAGAAGGGAACTTGGGAACCTTAGGGGCCCATAATAAGATGCTTGGGGCAATCTTAATGTATCCTGATAAATTTCTTTCATTAGCCATTAAGAAGCCTGTGGGAAAGACAAAGGAGGAACTGGCTTTGGAGAAAAAGCGGGAATTAGAAAAGCGGTTACAAGATGTCAGCGGACAGCTCAATTCTACTAAAAAGCCCCCCAAGAAAGGTGAGTATATACTTTCATGCCACTACAGATTGACTCCATCCTGCCTTCTTGACTGTCTTTTATTGACAAATGAAGATTCAGACTTGAACGTCTTTAACTTTCGAATTTGTTCTGCAGCGAATGAGAAAACAGAGTCATCCTCTGCACAGCAAGTAGCAGTGTCACGCCTTAGCGCTTCCAGCTCCAGCTCAGATTCCAGCTCCTCCTCTTCCTCGTCGTCGTCTTCAGACACCAGTGATTCAGACTCAGGCTAAGGGGTCAGGCCAGATGGGGCAGGAAGGCTCCGCAGGACCGGACCCCTAGACCACCCTGCCCCACCTGCCCCTTCCCCCTTTGCTGTGACACTTCTTCATCTCACCCCCCCCCGCCCCCCTCTAGGAGAGCTGGCTCTGCAGTGGGGGAGGGATGCAGGGACATTTACTGAAGGAGGGACATGGACAAAACAACATTGAATTCCCAGCCCCATTGGGGAGTGATCTCTTGGACACAGAGCCCCCATTCAAAATGGGGCAGGGCAAGGGTGGGAGTGTGCAAAGCCCTGATCTGGAGTTACCTGAGGCCACAGCTGCCCTATTCACTTCTAAGGGCCCTGTTTTGAGATTGTTTGTTCTAATTTATTTTAAGCTAGGTAAGGCTGGGGGGAGGGTGGGGCCGTGGTCCCCTCAGCCTCCATGGGGAGGGAAGAAGGGGGAGCTCTTTTTTTACGTTGATTTTTTTTTTTCTACTCTGTTTTCCCTTTTTCCTTCCGCTCCATTTGGGGCCCTGGGGGTTTCAGTCATCTCCCCATTTGGTCCCCTGGACTGTCTTTGTTGATTCTAACTTGTAAATAAAGAAAATATTATTCAAGTTTTGAGTTACCTTAATATTTGCTTTTGTAGTGTTTCAAAAGGAACATCATAAGAATTGTCTTGATAATTTTGAGGGAAATATTACTGCAGTGAGAAAAGGCAATAGCTAACCTATAATTGGATTGTCTTAATTTTTAAACCAGTAGGCTTTTGCTGTGTTTTTAATAAAGTAAATATGACTTTTGTAAATTGAGTCCTTAGAAGTAATCTTTAGGTCTACAATTTGCTCTTGTTTAAATGAAAAATAGTACTGTGGCTCATTCATGCTTTAACCAAGAACTCAAAATTTTGAGGTAGGCTTTAGGTTTTTCCCTGTGGCACTGGATGTGTGAATTTTCTCCTGAGCAGACTTAAAATATGAGAAAAGGGTGGGAGGTAGCCGAACATAAGTACTTTATGCATTGAGTTTATTGCCTTTTAAAAGGAAATTGGCCTGTAATCCCAGCACTTTGGGAGGCCGAGGCGGGCAGATCACGAGGTCAGGAGATCGAGACCATGGTGAAACCCTGTCTACTAAAAAAAAATTAGCTGGGCGAGGTGGCGGGTACCTGTAGTCCCAGCTACTCGGGAGGCTGAGGCAGCAGAATGGCGTGAACTCGGGAGGCGGGGTTCAGTGAGCCGAGATCGCGCCACTGCACTCCAGCCTGGGTGGTAGACACTCCGTCTCAAAAAAAAAAGTAATTGGGCCTACTACATTGTTAAACATTGTTAAATTTTGCTGCCATGGTCACACACAAATTTACAGATAGTTTATTAGTAGAATACTAAAGAGTATTCCAACGATTAAATCACAAAACTGTGCTTTCTGCATACCCCCTTGTCTTGCTAAGGGGAGAGAAGGGTTGTATAAAAAGTTTAGGGGGTTGGGATGTGTGCATTCTGGAATTTGGGGCTTTAATACTGGAAAAGTGAGACATTTGCTTAGTATAGTGTACCATAGTAGGAAACCTGGATAGAGACGTGGAAATTAGAATCAGGAATGTAGTAAAGCAAATGGTTTATTTTGCTGTAAATGACACCACAAACTAAGTGTAGGGCAACACCACAAACTAAATGTAGGAAGCAATAAATTTTACTAGTGATGCTCAGCCCTCTTTAGGAATTCCGGCTAAACTGGGGCTTGAGCAACAATTTTCAAAAGCTCGGGAGATGGTAATAAAAAATTAGGTTTGTGAACCACCTGCTACTGTTTGCCAAGCACTTAGAGGGAAACAAACCCTTGTTTGGGCTTTCTTGCTAACTTGTGTGCACCAGTGAAAGCTCTTGAGCTCCCTTTGAGCTCTGGTTCCCTTTTGAGAATAACAGATGTTGAGGATTCGTAAGTACTTAATAGACACGCGTTGGGCAATAGGTGATGAGATACAAATTAAAGTTCTGAAAATCGGAGTAAATAGATTTAAGCTAAGTGCATGTCTATGTCAAGGATTACATCTCATTTCAGAGGGAATTGAAGGATTTAGTTGGATTAGTTTTGGGACAAAATATAGAATATTTTGTCTGACTGCAGCCCCTTCTGCTCATGTACTTTTAAGGTTTGTTTTCTGTAGTTCGGAAAAATAAAAGTTTCAACCTGACATTGGAGGCCCCTGAGTACTTAATTCCCTGTAAATGGAACCCAGACCGCCCTAAATGCTTTAAGAGAGAGAAGGGCTGGCTGACACAGGGGCTTCAGACCTGCCTTAAACCAATTGGACTAGTCTCTTAATTGACTTTAGTTTGAACTTATTTCAAGCCTGTCTCACTTAGGGATTGTAATTGTTTCAGGAGTTTGGTTGAGTTCCATCTTGGTTGCCAAAGGACTTTATTCCAAAATAGCAGTCTCCAGCACAACTCAAAGGACTAGTGGAGTCCTGTGGGCATTATTTCCCCCTATGCTCCTCTCAGCTCTTGGAATCATGGGTTCTATTGCTGCTGCTTTTTCCCTCTCCCCTCATGCTGCCATTTACTGCCTTTTATTGCGTCCATAGGAAGCCTTTTGTTGGGTTGTGGGGGAAGGTGAGAGTCGGTCTTATTTACTCAGTCACACATTTATTGAGTTCCCTTGATTGCCTTTTCAGCAAACTGTTAGGCCTGTAGACCTGGACGTTGCCAAGCCAGAGGGTATAAGGTGAAGATAAGACAAGGTCTTATCATGGAGTTTGCTTAGCACGAATAGGGTGCAATTATTAACCATCATGGTGTGGTAATTATACTGATTGAATCCAAGATATAGGCATGACTTGGTCTTCACAGACCATCCTTATTGTGCACCCATATGTGGACCCCAGTTCCAGCCTGCCTGTAACCTTCCCCAAAGTCCTGCTCTTAGGTTCACTCGGGACTACCTTGATTGGAAGGCCCTGCTTCCATGAGTGACCAGCATGAAGGACTCCCAGGACAAGGACCAGAGGTGACTGGTGTTACTCTGGGGCTTAGTGCAAGACTGGAGGAAGATTTTCCTGAGCAATTAGAGAGTGGCTGTAATGGAGAGCTGGGAAGGAGATGTGGGAATGGTAGCATGGAACTAATGTGTTGTCACCATGATTTCATTTTTTCCTGGGTCATCACCCTAAAGATACTCACAAAATCCCACTAGCTGGTCTCCAGCACTGAATGAGACGACAGCTTCTTGCTCTCAATTTATATTCTAGGATCGGGGAAAGGGGCAGCATTAGACAACTAGTCACACGATTTTTAACAAAAATAAGTAATTCTAACAGGACAATGTGCAGAGGTCTAGCAAGAATTTAGAAAAGAGGGTTCTCTGGTCTAAGCTGAGAGCTATTCAGATATCTCAGAACGATGAGTTCCTTCCTGTTTGTAAGGGGTGGATGGGTGGGAGCAGGGAGTAGTGAACATTGCCAGCAGAAGAAACAGCAACTGAGAAGGTAACTAGGTGATGCTGAAGCAGCAAGGATGAAGGTGAGTGCTTTGAGATGCTTTGAATTTACATCTCAAAGACTAATAGCTAACATTTATTGAGCACTTACTGTGTCCCATGCACTGTGCTAAATAAAAACTTACCCTGTAAACTCATTTGGTCCTCACTATAATCCTGTGAGGTACATCTTGTCTGCATTTAACAGATAAAGAAATGAGGCACAGAGAGATTAGTCAATTTGCCCAACATCACCACATTGTCAGTGAGCACTGGAGGTGGGTTTTGAAACCAGGCGATCTGGCTTCAGGGTCCACATTTATAACTACTGCACTAGACTTCCAGTGCTGTGGGCCAGTAGGGAGCTAGGAGATAGACATGCTTTAAGGAAATTGCACTAGGGACAATCATGTTAGGGTTGGTGGGGTGTTGAGAGTGGATAGTTTAGAAAGCAATTGCAGCAGTTAATCCCAGCCAGTGAGAATAGTGGTGTAGAAGAGAAAGGCAGCAATGTAGATGAAGAAATGTAGATAGATTTGAGAGCTATGTAGGAGTTAAAATAGATGGGACTTATTCTCAAAAGGTTCTTGTCTCCACACGTTAAAGGAACAGCAGAGCACACGTGCACTTGCAGACATACAGCTCTCAGAGTCCCTAGCACAGAGCTTTCCAATAGTGGAAGCTTGATATTTTGTTGACTAAAGGAGTGCCACCTGGCTGACTGGCAGATTTGAATGGAGCTCCCTCCAGCATGGCTTGCCGAAGGGGCAGGGGTTCTGAGGCTCTTGTAGACTGCCACTGAAGGTATTTGGCGCCACCTGTTGGGCGTGTTACCCACGATTGCCTCCTGAATCTATTGTCATTTTTGTGTCCTGCCCCCGAGGTTAGGTGGTTCTTCCCTTCTTACTTTCCTAAACTTCAACTCTTAAAATGTGAGCCTTCATTTTTATGACCCAGAGGGTCACAAAAGAAGGAGATTAGGCCTTTTTAGTCCTTATCTCCCTTTACCTCTGAAGCATCCCATGGGGCTTCCCTAGCATTTTATTTTATATTGATTTATTTATTTATTTTTAAGAAAGAGGATTTCTGTCACCCAGGCTGGAGTGCAGTGGTGTGATCATAGCTCACTGTAGCTTCGACCTTCTGGGCTCAAGTAATGCTCTTGCCTCAGCCTCCTGAGTAGCTGGGATTACAGGCATGAGCCACCGCACCCTGCATCTCCTGACTTCTTTGACTTGACACCACTTGTTCCTAGCTCTCATACTTTTCAGACAGCCATTTCTTAGTCTGCTTCTTTAAAGTCTCTGCCTCTGCCTCCCATAATATATTGTCCGTTATGACACCTTTCTTTGTCCTCTTTTTATTTGCACAGTATTTTTAAGCAAGTTTACCCATTCCTCTGGAGGCACCTCCCACCCATAAAATCTGTGTCTCTGTTTAGACCTTGTATTAGTCCATTCTCACATGGCTATGAGGAAATACCTGAGACTAGGTGATTTATAAAGGAAAGAGGTTTAATTGACTCACAGTTCTGCATGGCTGGGGAGGCCTCAGGAAACTTACAATCATGGCGGAAGACACCTCTTCACAGGGTGGCAGGAGAATGAGTGCCAAAGTGAAGTGGGGAAGCCCCTTATAAAACCATAAGATCTCGTGAGAACTCACTATCACGAGAACAGCATGGGGGAAACTGCCCCCATATCAAACCTTGAGTCAAAGTTCCAAGTGCCTAATGCAATGCCTAATGGCAAGGTCCCATAAGCTTGTGCACACATTTTTAGAAAAGATTCTACCTTTTTCCCCAAACATGTCCCTCGCAGTGAGTTCTCTAAGTCAGCAGTCCCCAGCTTTTTTGGCACCAAGGACTGGTTTTGTGGAAGACAACTTTTCTATGGATGGAGGCGGGGAGAATGGTTTCCAGATCAAACTGTTCTACTTCAGATCACCAGGCATTAGATTCTCAAAAGGAGTTTGCAACCTTCCCTCGCATGCTCAGTTCACAATAGGGTTTGCAGTCCTGTGAGAATCTAATGCCGCTGCTGATCTGACAAGAGGCAGAGCTTGCTCGCTGCTCACCTCCTGCTGTGCACCCCAGTTCCTACCAGGCCACGGACTGGTAGTGTTCAGTGGCCCAGAGGTTGGGGGACCCCTGCTATAAGGAACAAGCACTTATATAGAGTTTACTATGTACCAGACACTTATGAGCACTTTTGCAATTTAGTCTTCATAATAATCCTAAGAGGTAGGTACTCATCACCATTTTATACATGAGGAAACAGACATTTAGTAACAGTTCTATAGCTGCCTAGTTTCTTCCCCTTATTCTCCCCCAACTCCCTGTTCAGCCATTGAGGTCTGTTGAGCCTTCCTCTGTCCCTTCTCTCAGTGCCCCTCATCAGCCTGGACTCTCACACGACTCTGTCACTAGTCCATGTCTTTCAGCTATACTGTGTTGTTTCAGGGCCCATCACTCACCTCTCCCTTCATGCCCTGCCCTATCCCCACCACACCAGTGAAGACCTCCCTTCCTGGGTTATCATCAGACCTGTCACTTGCAGTGAGGCCTCACCTCAACTAAGGAGGTCAAAATAAGAATAACCTCTCATGTGAGTAAGAGGAACTCATCATCCTTGCCAAGCTTTCCAACCAACCCCAAACTTCAAGTATTTTTGTGTCCTTGTACAGTAAGTGAATATTTCTACATAATAAAATATTTCTTTCATCTCTTTGCCAAATGAGGACATTGCTCATTTTGTCAGACAAGCTAATGTTTGATTTGAGATTGAAGGAGAAAAGGGATTTATTCTCCAGCGATAAGCATTTTTGCTGGTGTTTGACAAACAAAAAAAGAGCAGTTCTTCTATTAGCTGCCACTGTCAGACCTCATGGAGTCAGTTGCTATTCTAATTGCTGAGACTATGAGAAGGTAACACTGGTTAATTGATGAATACTTTCCCCTCTTCTGCCCCTGCAGAAGATGTGTTGGAACTGGCTTCTCTATGAAGGCAGGTTGTAGAGACAATGACAGTTCTTCCAAGAAAGACAGTTATTACCTTGTCTTCCTGCATGGTTTTGTTTCTCACCCAGAGTTCCTGCAAAAAAAAAAAAAAAAAGAGACATTTTGCAGTTTCATCTACCGATTTTCTCCTCTCTCTCAAAAATAATGTTTTTAAAGACAGAGTCTTGCTCTGTAGCCCAGGCTTGAGTACAGTGGCACAATCTTGGCTCATTGCAACCTCTGCCTCCCAGGTTCAAGCAGTTCTCGTGCCTCAGCCTCCCAAGTAGCTGGAGACTACAGGTGTGCACCACCGCACCCAGATAATTTTTGTATGTTTAGTAGAGATGGGGTTTCCCCATGTTGGCCAGTCTGGTCTCGAACTTCTGATCTCAAGTGATCCGATCCACCCGCAACTGCCTCCCCAAATGCTGGGATTACAGGCATGAGCCACCATGCCCCACCCAAAAATAATTGTTTTAAAGCAGTTCTCAAGGTTTTCTAAGTTTACTTATACTCTTTTAACTCTTAAGTAACCCCAGGTAAGTGGAAGCTGAAAAGTTACAAAATGATAGTTACAAGGGCCAAGCAGTCCTGCATCCCTGTCAGAGTGAAACTTCATTCTCTCTGATGCAAAATAAAATGATGCTTGTTCTTCCAGATCCATGGTTACCATGACATATTATTCTGTATTCTTGATTTAAGAAAGCACTGGCACTGCCCAATCTCTGTGCCCTTTGATTGCTATGTCAAGCTTCAGGTTGCACACCCTGCCTTCTGTAAGGAACTTTCCTTACTTGGCCCCCAATTCCCTGATGTCTGGTCTGTGACCTGGTGTTGAAACTGGCTATGACACTGTGCTTAGACTTCCTCTTAAAATTCTGCATTCTGTTCTGGACCTGTTTCCAACCACAATAACACAACCCACTGATTTACTGTTCTTAAATCCATCTCTGCTATTCAGGCTGATTCCCAGTGATCTCATGTCCTTCTATCACTGCCTTTGGTCTTGCAAATAGACCCTACAGAGCCCCACAACTATTTAACCAATCATTTGGCCAGGGAGTAAGGCAAGAGACAAAAATTGAGGGAAGGAGAGAATGATGAGCAACTGAGGGAGCAGCTTGGGGTTGAAAAGCTACCTCAGAAAGCAGTTCTGTGATTGGGAGGAAGGTGGCTGATGTTACTGCAGGGGGTATCAAAAGCATCTGTCCTGAACTTCAGAGTCAGGTAGAAAACAAAACAGAAAGAATCTTCTTTTCCTCTGAGTCTGGGGAAACTGAGAGAGAAGGAGAAAGCCAAGGAAAGGGAACTGACACTCACTGAGCCGTTGCTATCTGCCAGGTGTATATTGATGGGCACTTTTCATAGTCATCTTTTTTGGTCCACATGACGTTCCTACCACACATATGTTATTATTTTTATTTTAGAGAGGAGGAAACTCTAAGTTAATGTGCATAAGATCACAGAGCTAGTGAGACAAGATAAGGCTAATTTCAAAGTTTATATCTTTACATACCAAACATTTCTAGTTATATTCTAGATATAAGCAAACAAGGAATTCAGAAGTAAAACTTAGCAAAAACTTCCAGATATTGTTAACTCCACCAACCTGAGCTAAAGAATGAGGCTAGAGATGAACACACACACACATGCATGCACACACATACACACAGTCACACACACACCTCAATCTTTTTAGAACTTTATTTATTTATTTATTTATTTATTTATTTATTTATTTATTTTGAGACACAGTCTTGCTCTGTCGCCTAGGCTGGAGTGCAGTGGCACGATCTCGGCTCACTGCAACCTCCACCTCCTGGGTTCAAGCAATTCTCCTGCTTCAGCCTCCCAAGTAGCTGGGATTACAGGCACCTGCCACCATGCTGGACTAATTTTTGTATTTTTAGTAGAGACGGGTTTTCGCCATGTTGGCCAGGCTGGTCTCAAACTCCTGGCCTCAAGCGATCCGCCCATCTCAGCCTCCCAAAGTGCTGGGATTACAGGCATGACCCACCAGGCCGAGCCTAGAATTTTATTTTTATTATTTTTATTTCGATAGCTTTAGGAGTACAGGTGGCTTTTATTTACATGGATGAATTGTATAGTGGTGAAGTCTGGGCTTTTAGTGTACCCATTACCCAATAGTGTATATTGTACTCAGTAAATAATTTTTCATCCTTCACCCCACTCCCCACTTCTGTGTCTCCAATGTCCGTTATACTACTCTGTATGGCTTTGCATACCCATAGCTTAGCTCCTACTTACAAGTGAGTGTTAAATTAGGTTTAGCCTAAAGCTGCTTCCTTACATGTTTTAAGTTCAGCCTAAAGGTTTCTCCATACATAGTAAACTGAAACCTAACTTGATGTGTAATCAGACTGAAACCTACTCTAGTGCCAATCACTGAGTTTTGGCCAATCAAAGGTGATCAACTGTTCAAACTGTGTTCAAATAAGACAAATGCCAAGCTTCAACCAATCCTGCTGTTTCTGTACCTCATGTCTGTTTTCTGTACATCACTTTACTTTTTCTGTTCATAAATATTCCACCACTTGGCTGTTCTGGAGTCTCTCAGCCTACTCTGGCTCAGAAGGCTCCCCAATTCACAAATTGTTCTTTGCTCAATTAAACTCTGTTGAATTTCATTCGTCTAAGGTTTTTTTTCTTTAACAATGAGAACACGTAGCACTTGGTTTTCTGTTCCTGAGTTACTTCACTTAGGAAAATGGTCCAGTTCCATCCAAGTTGCTGGAAAATATATTATTTCATTCTTTTTTATGGATGAGTACGATTTCATGGTATATACACATCACATTTTCTTATCCACTCATCAGTTTATGGGCACTTAGGTTGATTCCATACCTCTGCAATTGTGAATTCTATGTCTTTTTGATATAATGACTTCTTTTCTTTTGGGTAGATACCCAGGAGTGGGACTGCTAGATCAAATGGTAGAACTACTTTTAGTTCTTTGAGAAATCTCCATAGTGTTTTCCACAGAGGTTGTACTAATTTACATTCCCACCAGCAATGTATAAGCTATCCCTTTTCACTGCATCCTTGCCAACATCTATTGCTTTTTGACTTTTTAATATCAATGATACTGGCTGGGATAAGGTAGTATCTCATTGTGGTTTTAATTTGCATTTCCAGGCTGGGCGCGATGGCTCACGCCTGTAATCCCAGCACTTTGGGAGGCTGAGGTGGGAGTTCAAGACCAGCCTGACCAACATGGAGAAACCCCATCTCTACTAAAAATACAAAATTAGCTGGGCATGGTGGCGCATGCCTGTAATCCCAGCTACTCGGGAGGCTGAGGCAGGAGAACCACTTGAACCCAGGAGGCGGAGGCTGCAGTGAGCCAAGATCGCACCACTGCGCTCCAGCCTGGGCAACAAGAGCGAAACTCTGTCTCAAAAAAAAAAAAAAAAAATTGCATTTCCCTGATGATAGTGATGTTGAACATTTTTACATATGTTTCTGGACATTTGTATATCTTCTTTTGAGAAATGTCTGTCAATGTCGTTTGCTCACTTTTTAATGGGATTATTTATTTGGTTTTTTTTTTCTCTCATTTGTTTGAGCTCCTTCTAGATTCTGGATATTAGTCCTTTGTCAGATATTTGCAAATATTTTCTCTCATTCTGTGGTTGTCTGTTTAACTCTTGATTATTTCCTCTGCTGTGCAGAAGCTTTTTAGTTTAATTAGGTAGGTCCTATTTATTTATTTTTGCTTCTGTTGGATTTGTTTTTGAGGTCCTATTCATAAATTCTTTGCCTAGGCCAATATTCATAAGAGTTTTTCCAAGGTTTCTTCCAGAATTTTTATGATCACAGGTCTTAGATTTAAGTCGTTAATCTATCTTGAGTTAATTTTCGTATATGTTGAGAAACAGGGATCTGGTTTCGTTTTATTATTTTTATTTTTATTTTTTTTTGAGATGGAGTCTTGTTTGTCACCCAGGCTAGAGTGCAATGGTACGGTCTCGGCTCACTGCAACCTCCACCTCCTGGGTTCAAGTGATTCTCCTGCCTCAGCCTCCCAAGTAGCCAGGACTACAGGTGCACGCCACCACTCCTGGCAAAATCTTGTATTTTTTAGTAGAGACAGGGTTTCACTATGTTGGCCAGGCTGATCTCAAACTCCTGACCTCATGATCCACCCACCTCAGCCTCCCAAAATGCTGGGATTACAGGCGTGAGCCACCACGCTCGGCCCTAGTTTCGTTCTTGTACCTGTGTCAATCCAATTTTCCCAGCACTATCTATTGAATAGGGTGTCCTTTCTTCAGTGTATTGTTTTGTCTGCTTCGTTGAAGATTAGTTGGTTGTAGGTATTTGGTTTTATTTCTGGGTTCTCTATTCTGTTCCATTGATCTACTGTGTACTTTTATACCGGTACCATGCTGTTTTGGTTACTCTAGCCTTGTAGTGTAATTTGAAGTTGGGTAATGTGATGCCTCCAGATTTATTCTTTTTGTTTAGGATTGCTTTGGCTATCCAGGCTTTTTTTGTTGTTGTTCCATATGAATTTTAGGATTGCTTTTTCTAATTCTGTGAAAAATGATGCTGATATTTTGATAGGAATTGCATTAAACCTGTAGATTGCTTTGGGCAGTATGGTCATTTTTCATATTGATTCTTCCAATCTATGAGCATGGCATGGTTTTCCATTTGTTTGTGTCATCTATGATTTCTTTCATCAGTGTTTTGTAGTTCTCATTAGGGAGATCTTTCACCTCCTTGGTTAAGTATATTCCTAGACATTTACAATTTTTTTTGTAGCTATTGCAAGTGAGATTGAGTTCTTGATTTGATTGTCAGGTTGGTCGTTATTGGTATAGAGCTGTGTTATTGATTTGTGTATGTTGATTTTGTAACCTGAGACTTTACTGAATTCATTTATCAAATCTAAGAGTCTTTTGGAGGAGTCTTTAGCGTTTTCTAGGTATAAGATTATGTTATTGGCAAACAGAGATAATTTGACTTCCTCTTTTCCAATTTGGGTGTGCTTTCCCTTGTCTGTTTTCTCTGGCTAGGACTTCCAGTACTATGATGAATAGGAGTGGTGAAGGTGGACATCTTTGTCTTGTCCAGTTCTTAGGGGGACTGGACAAGTTCCCCTGGACAGTTTTTGTTTTTTTGTGTGTGTGAGACGGAGTCTCACTCTGTCACCCAGACTGGAGTGCAGTGGTGCGACCTCAGCTCCCTGCAACCCCTGCCTCCGAGGTTCAAGCAATTCTCCTGCCTCAGCCTCCCAAGTAGCTGGGACTACAGGCATGCAGTCCCACCATGCCTAGCTAATTTTTTTTTTTTTTTTTTTTTTTTTAGTAGAGATGAGGTTTCACTATTGTTGACCAGACTGGTGTCGAACTCCTGACCTCAGGTGAATTGCCCACCTTGGCCTCCCAAACTGCTGGCATTATAGGCGTGAGCCACTGTGCCCGGCCGGCTTTCAACTTTCATCCATTCAGTATGATATTGGCTGTGTGTTTATCATATCTGACTTTTATAATTTTGAGGTTTGTTCCTTCTATGCCTAGTTTGTTGAAATTTTTTATTATAAAGGGATACTGGATTTTACCAAATGCTTTTTATGCATTGATTGAAATGATCATATGACTTCGTTTTAAATTCTGTTTATGTGGTGAATCACATTTATTGACTTGCATATGTTGAACCATCCTTGCCTCCCTATGATGAAACCCACTTGATCATGGTGATTTATCATTTTGATGTGCTGATGGATTTGGTTTGTTAATATTCTGTTGAAGATTTTTGCATCTATGTTCATCAGGAATATTGTTCTGTAGTTTTCCTTTTTGTTGTGTTCTTTCCTGGCTTTGGCATCAGGTAACACTGGCTTCACAGAATGAGTTGGGGAGGATTCTCTCTTTCTTAATCTTTTGGAATAGTTTCAATAGGATTGGTACCAGTTCTTCTTTGAACATCTGGTAGAATTCAGCTGTGAATCTGGTCCTGGGCCTTTTTTTTTTTTTAAAAGATTTTTTATTACTGATTCAATATCAGTACTTGTTACTGGTTTGTTCAGGATTTCTATTTGTTCCTGATTCAAGCTTAGAGGGTTGTATGCTTCCAGGAGTTCATTCATTTCCTCTAGGTTTGTTCAGGATTTCTATTTCTTCCTGATTCAAGCTTAGAGGAATGCTTCCAGGAATTCATTCATTTCCTCTAGATTTTATAGTTTGTGTGCGTAGAGGTGTTTATAGTATTCTTAGATGATCTTTTGTATTTCTATAGTGTCAGTTGTAATGTCTCCATTTTCTTCTATGTTCTTAAATGCAGCTTCTACACAAGATTCCTGCATACTGTAGAAAATTTTATTTTTTTCACCAAGCCCAATTAATTTAGCTTAGCTGGAGAACTATTAAGAAGTGTGAAGACACAAATAAGAAACGAACGACTTCATTCCATAAATATAAGTAAAGGAAATTCCAGTGATGGCTTTTGCTGCACGAAGAGAAACCAGGCTAAGTTGAACTATTAATATTCGCTTTAGACTGCGTAATTTCTAAATGGTAACTATTCATACCTACCATTCATCCTAACCATACCTTCAGGCTTGGCTTAGACACTGGGACCTTTGTGAAGGAAGAGAGGCCTGAGGGAACTGGATTGTAGGAGATGGATGGTGAGAGGAAAGCTGGGGGTAAGGGTAGGCGTGCGTCTGGGCTTGCGTTGACTACATAAGAAGGAGATTTAAAAACTATAAAGACTTTTTAAGATTTTGGAAACTTAGTACCTTCTTCATTTTTACTTTTTTTTTTTTTGGTTTTTTTTTTTTTTTTTTTTTTTGAAATGGAGTCTCGCTTTGTCGCCCAGGCTGGAGTGCAGTGGCGGGATCTCAGCTCACTGCAAGCTCCGCCTCTCGGGTTCACGCCATTCTCCTGCCTCAGCCTCCCGAGTAGCTGAGACTACAGGCGCCCGCCACCACGCCCGGCTAATTTTTTGTATTTTTAATAGAGACGGGGTTTCACCGTGTTAGCCAGGATGGTCTCGATCTCCTGACCTCGTGATCCGCCCGCCTCGGCCTCCCAAAGTGCTGGGATTACAGGCGTGAACCACTGCGCCCGGCCCATTTTTACTATTTTTTATTCCTCTTTTCTGTTTTCTGATTGGGATTGGCAATAAAATCTCAAATATGGGGAAAATAATTTTTTACATAACATTTTTATGTTTTATAATTTTATATAACATTTTAATGTTTTATAATTTTTTATATAACATTTTAATGTCTTATAAAAACAAAATTATATGACATTTTTCTAGGTGAACTTATTCTTGGTGTTCCTGGGATGTCTATAGACAATGTTACAGTAACTTTTGACTACAGATCATTTTTTTCAAATGATATAATATTGATAAAGTAATTGTAGGGCTCCCAAAATAAAATGAGTTGGTTTTGAGCCTATGGATGAGAAATCTGCTGGGGAAATGGTCAAATTTTATGTCTGTATTTAATAGCCATGTAGTGGAACAAAAATTTAAAGGCATTACATCATGTTTATTTTATTTTAATTAAAACAAAAGAACAACCCATTTACATTATTTATTTAAATTATAAAATATTACAGAACAGGCTGGGAGCGGTGGCTCATGCCTGTAATCCCAGCACTTTAGGAGGCTGAGGTGGGTGGATCACCTGAGGTCAGGAGATCGAGACCAGCCTGGCCAACCTGGTGAAACCCTGCCTCTACTAAAAATACAAAAATTAGTTGGGCGTGGTCGTGGGCGCCTGTAATCCCAGCTACTCGGGAGACTGAGGCAGGAGAATCACCTGAACCCAGGAGGTGGAGGGTGCAGTGAGCTGAGATTGCACCATTGCACTCCAGCCTGGGCAACAGAGCGAGACTCTGTCTCAAAAAAAAAAAAAAGTTATTCAATTGGTGACATACATCAACTTGTGAGTTCAGGAATCTAGTGCTCTCTCCTTTAATTTCCTGCTATTTTCAAGTATAATAAAGCATTACACACACACACACACACACACACACACACACACACACCTCTTTAATTGTGAAAATTTCCAAACCTGCAGAAAACTTGGAAAAAATAAAATAATACTTGAAAGCTGCTATGGTTTGAATGTGTCTCCCAAAGTTACTAGGCTCTTCCTTTTGCTAGAGCTAGGACATATATATTAGTAAATCATTAGTTAAAACTGACATTTCTAGTTCAAAATATTTTTCTAGTTCAAATTTAATATTATTGTTTTAATTCAACTACGTTTACTTGCTTTTCATACATTAAAAATCTCAGTTCTGAATTACATGAACATAATCACTGATTTGCTTTATTTTATACATAACAAAAAGTTGTTATATATAAAACATTGGAAACTTAATCCCCAATGCAACAACGTTGAGAAGTGGGACCTTTAAAATACGATTAGGTCATCTCTTAAAGAGATGGGCAGAGCCCTCATAAAGGGCTTAATGCCATCATCTCTAGAGTGGATTAGTTATCTCATCTCAGGAGTGAATTCCTGATGAAAGGATGAGTTTGACTCCTTTCCTCTCCTTCATCCTTTCTCTCCTCCTTTTTTCTTCTGCCTTTTTTCTTCATCACAGCAAGAAAGCCCTTGCCAGATGTTGGCACCTGACATTAGGCTTCCCAGCCTCCAGAACTGTGAGAAACAAATTTCTTTCTTTTCTTTTTTTTTTTTTTTTTTTTTTTTTTTGGTAAATTACCTAGTCTGTGGTATTCTGTTATGGCAACACAAAATGGACTAAGACAAATACCCATCATATAGATTCAACAACTGTCAAGATTTTGCTGTGTTTGTTTGAACTGTGTGTGTATTCTGAATTCATTCTGAAGTAAATTAGAGATCTAGCATTTCATCCCTAAATACTTTAGCATAAAGATGACTTGATACATAACCGTGGTACTGTAATCATACTAAACAAAACTGAAAACAGCTCTCTAATATCATCGATTACCAGTTCATATTCAAATTTCCCCATTTGTCTGAAAAGTGCTTTTATATCTGTTTTTCCTCAAAGATATTGCCAAGAATCATTCACTAAATTTGATTGTAATGTCTCTTAATTCCCACTATTCCACCCATTTTTTAAACAGCATCTTTTTAGAGAGACAAGGCCAGTAGAATCTCTCACATTTTGAATTTGTGTGATTGGTTCTTTGTGGTTTCATTTGACTTATTCCTCTATCCAATGTATTTTTTTTATAGACTAGAACTTTTTGAAACAAAGGCTTGACTAGATTTAGATGAAAGATTTTTGACAATAATTCTTCATAGGTATTGCTGTGTACTTTGCATTTCATCTTATTAGGAAGCATATGCTTAATGTCTTGTCCTATTATTGGTGAGGCTAAACTTGATCACTCAGTCGAGGTGATGACAGCCATCACCTCTGTAAAGGTATTTCTCCCATTTGACAATAGCAAATAATCTATGACCATGATACTTTGGCATGATGTGACTCTCTTGTTCCTCACTGTCTATTCTCCTAATGGTTTTAACATATATGATGCCTTCCCTGAATCAATGATCACATTAGGCTTACAAAATGCTGGTTTTCTAATTCTGTTATTTTTCCCAACATTTATTCACTGGTACTCTGAAGGGTAGACCTTTTTTCATCAGTGGAACATTTCCTTGTGAAATGTCAGGATATATACTTGTTTTCTTTAAGCACCAATTTCCTGTGTTATGAATTGGAAGATCACATCCAGTGGTAATATCAATGGGTTGTTGTTGCTTACTTTTTAAAATCTGTATTCGACTATTAATAGGAACCCATGGATTTTTATATACTCAATGTGTTTAATTATATTATAGTCATCTTTTTGATGTCTGAGTTGTTCCAGTTTTGGCCAATGGAAGCTCCTTCAAACTGGCTGACCTGTTTTTTTGACATGACTCTATTAGTCTTTGAACAGTGCCTTGTTTTATGAAAACAATGAGATACTCACACTTGCTTTGTATTTTCCATAACTCAGGCCTGGAACTGGTCACTTCTCCAAGAAGCTCTATTTCCTTTGAGTGGGAAATGATATTTACACACTACAATCTGTGCATTGAGGATGCTCATTGCTACAGGGCTACTATTAGGCTCTTTCATTTGCTAGAGCAGGGACATATATGTTAGTAAATCATTAGTTAAAATTGACAGTTCTAGTTCAAATATTTTTTCTAATATTATTATTTTAATTCAGCTACTTTTACTTGCTTTTTATACATGAAAATCTTAGTTCTTTTTTTTTTTTTTTTTTTTCTTTGAGATGGAGTCTCTCCCTGTTGCCCAGGCTGGAGTGCAATGGTGCAATCTCCGCTGACCTCAACCTCTGCCTCCCAGGTTCAAACAATTCTCCTGCCTCAGCCGCCCGAGTACCTGGGATAACAGGCGCCCGCCACCACACCCAGCTGATTTTTTGTGTGTTTTCAGTGGATACGGGGTTTCACTGTGTTGGCCAGGCTGGTCTTGAATGCCTGACCTTGTGATCCGCCCGCCTTGGCCTCCCAAAATGTTGGGATTACAGGGATGAGCCACTGCCCCCGGCCTAAAAATCTTAGTTCTTAATTATATTAACATAATCACTGATTTGCTTTATTTTATATATAGTATAGTTTCAAATAAGGATACAAATATTACTTAACCATAAAACAACTGAATGATGTTCAAAGTTCTGATAGTTCTTTTTGTCCTTAGAATATATTCTATTAAGTCAGCTGGGGCAACATAATGAGACCCCATTTCTATTTAAAACATGTATTTTAATTAACTGGGTATGGTGGCATGTTCCTGAAGTCCCAGCTACTGTACTTGGGAGACCGAGGTGGGAGGATCACGTGAGCCCAGGAATTTGAGGGTGCACTGAGCTATAATCACACCAGCGCACTCCAGCACTCCAGCCTTGGCTGGCAACAGAGCAAGACCCTGTCTAAAAAAACAACAAACAACAAACAACAACAACAACAAAAAATAGAGAGAGAAGAGAGAGAGTAAGTGTATTCCACCAAGAACATACAGTAGTATCTTTTAATATCACTTGGGATACTTATTTTTTCTGTGTGGTTCAGTTCTATTTGTTTTAAATTTTAGAGGTTTTTGTCAATTTTTTATTAACATTGTAAATTATTTATACGTTTCAAAGGTCAATATTCACTTCTCACTTCTATTCTCCCTTCCTTCCTAAAAGTAGCCATTTTTATTAATTTCTTGTTTATCCTTCCAATGCAGCTTTTTTCCCCCTTTGGAGACATGGTCTCACTCTGTTGCCCAAGCTGGAGTGCAGTGGCACCATCATAACTCACTATAGCCTCGAACTCCTAGGCTCAAATGATCCTCTTGCTTCAGCGTCCTGAGTAGTTAGGACTACAGGGGGTACCACCATGCCTGGCTAATTTTTTTATTTTATGTAGAGACAGAGTCTTGCTATGTTGGCCAGGCTGGTGTTAAATTCCTGACCTCAAGTGATCCTCCCACTTCATCCTCCCAAAGTGTGGGGATTATAGGCACAAGCCACCACATCTGACCCAATCCACCTTTTTGAAAAAATATGTATCTTTCCTCTTTCTTACCCCAAAGGCAGTACATAGTTTAATCATTGTATTGCACTGTGAATTTTCCACTCTAACCTAGAGATTCCTCCGTATTAGTTCAAAGAGATCTTTCTCATTCCTTTTCGTTAGACTTTTTCCTTTAATTGATACATGATATTTTACATATTTTATTTATGAGGTACATGTGAGTATCTGTTACATGCATACAATGAGACTAATGATCAAGTCAGGTATTTGGGGTATCCTTCACCTTGAGCATTTATCATTTCTATGTGTTGGCAACATCTCAAGTCCTCTCTTCTAGCTACTTTGAAATATACTATATATATATATATATATATATATATATATATATATATATATATATATATATATTGTTGCTGGCTACAGTCACCCCAGTCTGCTATCAAACATTGGAACTTATTTTTTCTATCTCCTCATTCTTTTTAACAGCTTTGCATTACTCCATTGTGCAGATGTACTATAATTTTTTCAACTATTGTACTCTTACTAGGCATGTTTCCAATAATTTTCAATTGTTACAAATAATGACATATCATTTTTAAAAGGCAGATTACTATATAATAAAGATACATACTTCACTTTGGGAGGCCAAGGCGGACGGATCACAAGGTCAGGAGTTCGAGACCAGCCTGGCCAATATGGTGAAACCCTATCTCTACTAAAAATACAAAAATTAGCTGGGTGCGGTGGTGAATGCCTGTAGTCCCAGCTGCTCGGTAGGCTGAGGCAGGAGAATCACTTGAACCCAGCAGGCGGAGGTTGCAGTGAGCTGAGATGGCACCACTGCACTCCAGCCTGGGCAACAGAGCAAGACTCTGTCTCAAAAAAAACAAAAAACAAAAAGATACATATTTAAGTTTGGCATTTCCTTACATGTATTAAAATATGTTTTAACAGAAAAATATTACTTCTATTGATTTGTTTTTGGTTAGGTTATTAACACTCTCCTAAACACTTCGGTTTCATGCAACAATTTAGGAAATATCTGGTGTGCTTCTTAGTGAATGTGGAGATACTGGATTTGACAAATATCAGTTGGTTAGACTAGTGTTTGGCACATTGGAAGTGCTCAATAATAATAGTCAATACTATTATGAAAGATAATAGTATTAACAAAACAATACTTGTTAATATCAGAAAAACAAATTTTAATTTATTTTTCTTTATGCGGACATGTCATCAGGGAATTTGAGAGCAGGGTGACTACATTTTGTTTTAGTCAGCTGGGGCTTTAAACATTTATTGAGTAACCACCATGTTTCAGGCATTACAGTAAGAACTTGTACCTGAAGCAGATCCATATACTGAAGGCCCGAGGAAAGGAATAAAGGGCAACTGGGAACCTGACCAGGTCTCAAGAGCGGTGTTGGGACTCTAGGGAGGAGGCAGCAGAACGTTTCCAGTGGACGGAAGTGCCGGGGAGTCCACCTTGGGAGACCTTAGGCTTACTCAGATTTGGAGGCTCCAGGTGGGGTGGATGCAAACCACAAGATGGAGCCAAATTACAAGTCATAGGTAGCAACCTCCTAAACCACAAGGAGGAGAGGAGAGGAAGTGAAGTCGCTCCTCTGCGTGCACGATCACTTGTCTGGAAGCTTTTCTGAAGTCAGAGAGAAAGGAAAGCCTGAGAAGTGGGACATCATTCATTGAAAGGCATCTGTGTGTAGAGATAAATAGGGTAACATGATAGGGAGAGATTGGAGATAGGTGGTTTATTTAGCAAAGTTGGTCAATGAAGCTTCTCTGAATTGGTGCCACACGAGTTGTGAATGGGTGATGAATTGGAGGCATTAATGTTAAGGAGAATTCTGGGGAAGATAGTGTGGCTATTGCTTAATGAAAGAAGGAAGAGTAGAGGGAAGTAAAGATGAAGACACATGCAGCGCCAGATCATATAGAGTCTTGTTGACCAGGAGGGAATTTAGACTAAGCAAGAAAGAAAGTCTGAACTGGGGGAGTGCTTCGACTGATCCAGGAGGGAGAAGAAAATCTCTTCAGTAATTCCATCCCCAGTCATTCTTCAAGCTCACCTCATTCCCTGCAGCCTGTTGCTGCTGAAGCCTCAGAAGAAGTTTGTTCCCAAAGTTGGGAATACCTCCTCCTACACATTTCCTAGTAATGCTGATGTCTGACCCTGTTCATCCTGCCTCATGTCTCACAAGCTGGTCTCCATTCGCTGCTGAGTAGGACAGTGCAGTGGAAAGAACATGGGCTCTAGCATCACACAGACCTTCCAACCACCTCCTAGCTGTTTGACCTTGGGCAAGTTAGGTAATTTGAATCCTAGCTTCCTTCTTTATAAAATGAAATCATTATACTTAACTTGCAGATTGGTCATAAGGAAGAAATGAAATAATTCATGTATGGCAGAATGATGCTTTTCTTTTTCCTTTGTTTGTATTTAGGTTTGTCACACAAGACAATAGCACATGTCACCGCCAAGGCCTTTCCTCTTCTGGCTTTGGATTTCCCAAAATCTGAAGCTCACTTGACATTATGCCAGGTGTCCCAGACATTGTGCCAGAGAGAGAGAGGGGAATGCCTTTGACAGGCAAAGGGGGAAGGTTCTCCCAAACTGAGGAAGGCACAGTGGCCTGTGGGTCTGAAAGAGCCCTGCTTCCTTGCAGCAGCCAAGGCAGGTGGGGAGGCCTCCCAGGGACGGGGAAGTTGGCCGTATGGTGCATCTTTGCAGTCCTGCTCCCAGGCACTGGGGATCACTCCTCACTAAAGATTCCCCTGCCCCAAGCCTAGTGCAGAAGCAGCAGAGCTTCCACTTGGAAAAGAGCATACAGGTTAAGCCCTAGGCATGCTTGGAGTAAACAGTCTGGACTGGAGAAGACAACAGGGGCTTCTCCAAGGCCTCAGCACTGTGTCAGGGCGCAGACCCTTGGAACAACTGTAAGAGACCAGAAGCCCCAATAAAGACAGATTGAACTTAAAACCAGCCTCATGGCAGGGGTTTTGAATCAGATTTAAGATTTTTTAAAGAGCAGGTTTTGAATCAGATTTTCGATTATTTAAAGACATTTACTATTTTTTGCACTCTGTGCACTATCTTATTAATCTTTTGGACCAAGATTCAAATCCACTACACGTGAAAAGCATTAAGGCCAGGCACATTGCATGTGTTGGGTAAACGGTAGCCAATGTTATTAAAACCAGCTGCAGACAGTCGGACCAGGCTGGATTTGAAGCAAACAAAATTGAATTAAATAGAATTCTACAGTGTTTCAATGCCCATTATGTTCTGGGTGTTGGAACTATAAGACACAGCCTTCTCTTGCTTTAGAGGAGCAGTTAGTGGCAAAGGCAAATTCATACACAGTCAACTGACACAGGGCGGAATGTGGTATGCACTGCAGGGACAGGGTGGCCAGCATATTGGGGGCTGGGATTGAAAATGCTTCACAGAAGAGGTGACATTTAATCTGGACCCTGGAAGGACAGGTAGAATTTTGACTGGTTGGTGGAGGAAGGCAGGTCCAGCACAGAGAATAGTTTGTGCAAAGGCAGGGAGGAGTAAACATGCGACAACAGTTTTCTGTGACTTAAGCATTGATCATTTTCAGGAGGAGCTATTATATGGTTAAAATAGGCCAGGTGCGGTGGCTCATGCCTGTAATCCCAGCACTTTGGGAGGCCAAGGCAGGCGGAGCACCTGAGGTCAGAAGTTCGAGACCAGCCTGGCCAACATGGTGAAACCCGGTCTCTACTAAAAATAATAAAATTAGCCGGGCATGGTGGGGGGTGCCTGTAATTCCAGCTACTCAGGAGGGTGAGGCAGGAGAATTGCTTGAACCTGGGAGACAGAGGTTGCAGTGAGCTGAGATTGCACCACTGCACTCCAGCTTGGGTAACAGAGTGAGACTCTACCTCAAAAAAAAAAAAAAAAGGAAAGAAAAAAAGAAAAAGAAATACCCTGAGGACGGTTTGAGAAGGGTCTTCATCTTGTAGGTAATGGAGCACCTATAAGAATTTAAAGGAGGAAGGGAAAAAGCAGATATCCTATAAGCTTCTGAGAGAAAAAAACAACAACGATTACGTACAAAGTTTCATGACACAATATCTTTTGGATTATCAACAATAACGCAGGAAGCTAAGGGATTATAGAGAAATGCCTTAAAAATTCTGATGGAAATGATTTCCAATCTTGAATTTTATAACCGTGGAAGCTATTATTCAAGTGTGAGAGTAGAATAAATATATTTTCCGACATACGAAGCATAAAAAGTTTTCCTCATATGCACTGTTTCTCAGGAAGTGGAAAGAAGAGGTGCCTCATTAAAATAAGGCAGACCACAAAAGGGCAATGACTGGATACAAGAAGCAGAAGATCCAACTCGGAGGATAGGTAAATCCTGACGAGGATGGCGAAGAGTGATCTCAGAGTGACCGCTGTATCATCAAGGGCAAGGAGTTAAGAATGGAGCAGACAGAAGGTTCTGGGAGAGTTATATCTGGTGATAAAATTGACAGAATACCTGATGTGTTTGATTGTACTGTGAGGAATTTTGTGATTCATTAATAATAAGTACAAATACAGCCACACAAAGGAAAACAGGACAACTATATACTCCAGAGAAAACGAAGTCGTCTAGAAAAGGAAGAGTGAGCATGGCTTGCTCTATGGTTTGCCATTACATGGTCATATTGATAGAAACATAGTAAACACAGTAACTTTTACTATATTGTAAAAATTACAATATAGTCACATTAAAAGAAAGGGCATGGGAAAGGGGGCATGATGTTCTTTGAGGATGAAAAAAATCTAAATCCCCCTCTTCCACAGCAGGAGGTAAAGAGATAAAGCCTAAAGCTGAAAAATCTAGATGTAGCAACACAAACATGTTATTTAGAGATGGGAGGTTAATACCAACAAAACATATTAGAACAATTGAAAGTTATTTTCTGTAAGGGTGAGGATATGGTGGGAGATGGGGCTGGAAACTGGTATTTCTGTAGCAAATATTGTAGAAATATTTGACTCTTTAAACTATAACATAATTTGGTTAAAAATTAAAACCGAAAGAGAGTGGATGGGAAGAGGGGATCTGGAGGCAGTCCACGTAGACACTCTCAGAGAGCGTGACCAGGAGCTTGGGTGGAAGGGAGACTGGGTCAAGGACAGACAGAGGATTTGATGTTCTTGTTATATAGGAGAGATGACATGCTTATGATTTGTAGGGTGACCCTGCAAAAAGGGAGAGTTTGGATACAAAGGACAGGAGACTACTGGATGTCTGTTCTAAAAGAGAGTGAAAGATCAAGAATGCAGGAGGACAACTTGTTTTTTAAAATAAAAGACTACGTACCTTGAGACTAGAAACAAATGTGAGTATACACGCAGGTGCATAAATCTAAAAGCTCTGGAATTACTCCTAGAAGTTCCAGTGACTTCAGGGTAGTATATGCAACAGTAAAAAAAAAGCATATTTCTTTAGTCAAAAGAACACAATTTTAATGACTTTATCAAGCCTTAGGACAGAGATGAGAGAAACACCTTTCCAATGATGCATCAAGTTAACGTCTAAGCAAAAGATCAGCAGAGATCAGAGATTGTTGGGTACACACGTATCTTGTGATGTCTTCTGAGAACCAACTTATTCCTCTTTCTCTGAGAAGAACTTGACCCCTCGCCCCGGGGCTGAGTGCTTGGCAGCCACATTTGTGTTGAGATCTTGATTCCTGCTCTAACTACACAGGGCTGGGATGGACACCTGCTCCAAGTTTGGCCAGTCATTTATTTTTCCAGTAATTTAAAGCTGTGACTAGGAGACACAGCCTCTGTGGGTTGTGAGGGTTGAGATGATATAAACTCAGGAGCTGTCGGGTGGACATGTTCACTGAGAAGGACAGTCAGTCCACAGAGAGAGAACACCGCTAACATGCAGGGGGGTCTAGAGAACACAGACCATGTGGATCCGAGAGTGTTGGAGGGGCAGCTCTAGCTTCTCTGGGCTTTTCGGATCCGAGTTCTGTTCCTGGGAGGCCTGGCTAAAATCTACCCTTGGGCCCTGCACTCCTCCCCATGGCTATATTGCAAATATCCTATACTTTGCATGTGATCACACAAAGAGGGTTTCTGTTACTGGCACACAAAAAGTTTGCCTGAGATGATTCTCCTCCACTTCCATCAGGGTCTTCTGGTCATTGATTTCAACTTATTCTCTCTTAAGAAGCCCATTGAGTCCCCATAATCTCTTGGTTTCTTTCTTTTCCAGGACCAACTGCTCACAGTTCAAACCCTCATTTTGCCTCTATTTACTTGTACCTTGATTGGCTGATGCCCTAACAGACCCAGGTTCTTCAGAAAGCCTTCCTAGTCCACCTCAGACCTTGGGGATCCCCCTTTCCCATGACCCCCGATGGCACCTGATTACGTCACTGGGTTCCAGTTACCAGACCACAGCCAAGGTCCAGGATGGCTGCATCAGAGTCATCCAGAGCCGGTTAAAAATGACAGCCTCGGCTGGGCACAGTGGCTAATGCCTGTAATTCCAGTACTTTGGGAGGGAAGGTGGGTGGATCACGAGGTCAAGAGATGGAGGCCATCCTGGCCAACATGATGAAACCCCGTCTCTACTTAAAATACAAAAATTAGCTGAGTGTAGTGGCGCACACCTGTAGTCCCAGCTACTCAGGAGGCTGAGGCAGGAGAATGGCTTGAACTCAGGAGGTGGAGGTTGCAGTGAGCTGAGATCATGCCATGGCACTCCAGCCTGGTGACAGAGTGAGACCCCATCTCAGAAAAGACAGCCTCCCTGTTGCTGCCCCCTGCACTCCCGAGATTCTAATTCAGTAGGTCTGGGTGATGACTGTTATTTTTATATTTTATTTATTTATTTATTTAGAGACAGGGTCTCACTCTGTCACCTAGGCTGGAGTGCAGTGGCGCAATCTTGGCTCACTGCAGCCTTGAACTCCTGGGCTCAAGCACTCCTCCGGCCTCAGCCTCCCCAGTGGCTGGGAATACAGGTGCGAGCCACCATGCCTGGTTAATTTTTAAATCTTTCTTTGTAGAGATGGGGTCTCTCTATGTAGCCCAAGATGGTTTCCACCTCTTGGCCTCAAGCAGTCCTGTCCCCTTGGCCTCCCAAAGTGCTGGGATTACAGGAATGAGCCACTGCACCAGGCCAATGCCTGTACTTTTAAAAGGATCCCAAGCAGTTCTTATGTGCATTCTGGTTTGAAAACCGTAATCTGTATTGCTCATTTTGGTCCTGACATAAACTATGTGGTATGGTGATTTATCTCTTTGTATGTTTTAAATTCTGTTCACAGAAAAGTAGACCAAAATCTTCTAGGCCACATATTTAGAGTGTGTCTAGGTGGACCTCCCCTCTTACGAGATACCTCGCAGACCGACTCTACCACCTCCTACCTAACATGACTGACTCCACTGAGGGAAGTGGCCACCTTATCCAAGCCTTGGGCCTCTCTTTATCATGCATGGGACTCTAGGGAAAAGTAGAAAAAGGAGATAACATCATGGCAGGATACCAGTGGCCTCTTCATACAGAGTAAACCCAGGCAGGAGTGGAGTCCCCATGAGCCTGTCCTGTCCCAGCACCCTTCAGAACTGTTGTTAGCTGAGGGGGTCGTGAGGAACAGGATAATCTGCATCCCTTTCAGGGTAAACCTGAACTCAGGAGGCAAATTTCATGAAGTCCATGTGAAATGGCTCATTCACAAAGTAACACACAATGGGCCAAATGGAGCAAGACACACCTGTGTGGGCCCCAGGATGGCTGCCAATCCCCAGCACCACATGCCTCACCCCTGGAAGAACTGGCCAAGGCCTGGAAAGGACACAGTGCAAACACCACCAAAGCATTTAGTGCTGCCAGCCAGAGCTTTGGGTAGAGCAAGAATGTGTGTGTGTGTTGAATGGGAAGGGAAGCTAGTAGGTGTCCAACAAACCCTGCCATGAATACTGGGGCCAAAAAAGAGGGGACCCGTAGGACAGATGTTGATCCCACTCAAAGTCAGCACAGCGGGATGCACTTAAAGGGCACTGAGCACGCAGGGGCTGTCACAAACCCATGAGGATCTGCAGGGTGTCTCCCACAAGTCATTTCTCTCAGAAGGATCATTACCTAAAATAGCAGAAAACATACGATCGAGGTTGCTCAATTTCAATATGCTGGGATCCTATCTCTGAGTGCCCACCTCCCCCAAAACCTCACTCTCTCACCCCACCTCTGCTTCTTTTCTCCCTGCCCATTTCTTTTCTGACTTCTTTCCCCACAACAGAATCTCTGATTCTCCACCCACGTCCTGTTCAGAGTCATCCACTTTCCTCCCCCACCCCCCAGACTCCCGGGGCCTCTGCACCTGGGGACACTGGACACATATGTGCCCATGATGATGAGGACGGTGCCCACGAGGAAGCCCACCAGGCCGATGGCCAGGCCCAGGGCACAGACCAGGGTCTCCATGGCATCTGGTGGTGGAATAGGCACCTGGAGCTCTAGGAGAGAAAGGAAGGAGTTGGTGGTATATGAAAGGATTCTAGAGTAAAGGAAACCTGGGGCCAGGAGGGTGCATGGGGAGGGGGCTCCGTACCCCAATGCCTGAGGAGTGGCGCATCCAGGCCCCAGTGCTCCACCTGGCAGTCATAGACGTCCTCGGCTGAGGGCACGAAGGGCAGGTAGTGGAACTTGCGGAACAAATGGTCAGGCTGGGAATAGAAGCTGGTCTGGGCCACTCCCTCAGTGACAGTTTGGCCGTTGCGCAGCCAGGTGATATTGATCACAGGGGGGAAGATGTTGTCCACGATGCAGATGAGGATGTTGGGCTGGCCCAGCTCCACCCGAGACTTGGGGAGCACGGTCACCCGTGGAGGCACTAGGAGGAACAGGCCCTGAGTCCACAGGCTCATCCCTCACCCCAGGGCCTTACTAGGACTGGGATTAAGGGACGTTCCCCCTTTGTAGCCATCTGTGGGCAGGGGATGCTCTGGGGTATCCACTGGGGCAGGAGAGGAGGAAAACAGAGGGAGAGGAGACTGGGGAGGGAGTGGGGACGCCAGGAGCTCCTATATTTGACTGGTCCCTGGGCGGGAGTCCGGGTGAGAGGTGTCATTCCTCAAGGAGAGGGGTGCCAAAGGGGTCTGGGAAGACCTGGAGCCTCCTGGGAAAGAAAGGAACAGGGCATGACAGGCGCGGGCGCTGAGAGCGCGCCCCAGAGTGATGGGAGCCTAGGAACTGGGAGGAAGTTTCTCTGGACCTTCCCGCCTGACTGGGTGGGCAGAGGGAGGGCCGGTACCGTTGATGGCTCTGCTGCGGTTGGAGCGCTCCACCAGGATGTCCAGATGGGCTTTGATTGCGGCGATGCCGGCCAGCCCGCCCTGCGGGTCAAAGCGGGCAAAGTCACCAAACTCAGGCAGACGCCACACGGCCTCGCTTTTCTTCAGGTCCACAGAGAACAGCTGTTCCTCATCAAATTCATGGGTGAACTGGCCCGAGGCGCCGTAAGACTGGTAGAAGGCGGGTCCGTAGGAGCCCATGTGGTCAGCTGTGTTTGGCGAGTTCAGGGTCAAGGAGAGAGAAAAAAATGTGTCTGTCTCATCCACA
Source organism: Homo sapiens (assembly GCF_000001405.40). Classification (NCBI taxonomy): domain Eukaryota; kingdom Metazoa; phylum Chordata; class Mammalia; order Primates; family Hominidae; genus Homo; species Homo sapiens. The sequence goes on from NC_000006.12 coordinate 33,008,321, forward strand.
ATATGTGATTGTTGAGTCCCTGAGCCTGGGCCCCGTCCTGGGTTCTGTGTGGGGACAGAGTCCTGTTCTGACACTGGGCTGGCCCTGGGAGAGAGAAAGGGAGAGAGAACAGGAAGAAAGAGGCTCATCCCAGCACACTGCAGTCGGCACAGAGACAGTGCAGTCTGGCATATCAGGATGGGAAGAGGAGGGACTGCCTAAAATCATGCTTGGGGTTCCAGAATTTAAATCTTGGCTGTGGTCATCTGCCCTGGCTGTGTTGTCAGGCCCTGTGTTGTGAGCTGGTGGGACTGTGGGGGTGGGATGAGGAGGAATGATTAAGGACAGGAGAGTATGGAGCTTTGCACAGAGATGCAGTGCAGGTGGGTGTGAGGGGAAACAGGCCACGGCTGGCAGGGGTAAGAATTAAGGTTAGTGACCCAGAGACCAAGGGGATAGGGAGAGGCAACTCAAGGCATTACAAAGAGCACTGGACGAGGAGTCAGAAGTCAAGGTTCATGTCCCAATTCCTCCATCTCAGAGCATTATGACTGAGTGTGGCTCTTCCATAACTGTTGTCTAGTTTTCTGGAAGTTAGGGATTAAGTTTTAATTCTTGTAGAACTCTATGAAGTTGTTTGAGCAACAGTTATTGAGGAACTAGCATGCACCCAGCACAATGGGGGGCCAGGGAAATAAAAGAAAAAAAAGATGAACCATCTGTAGACCCGCACCCCAGCTCATGTCTCCCGAAGAACAAAGACAGGTAAATAGTTAACTACCGGCATGGGCATAAATACTGCAACAGAACTGGACTTGATCGGGCACATTCCCGGCCAGGGGTGGTAGAGAAATCAGGGTGCTTGCTGGCATCTGTTGGGTGGAGGTTTGGGTCTCAGGAAGGAGGAAGGAATGAGGAGAAATCTGAACGTCAGCAAAGGCTGACTGGGGCACCTGCGCAGCTGACCGAGCTGCATCTTCATTTAGGTCCAGAGTGGATGTGACAGAGATGAGGGGGATTGGGTGTCTCTTGGTGAAGGAAGTTGCCCATAAACCAGAGAGCGAGAGGAACAAGCATCCTCCATGCCACCTCCTCATGTAACCCAACTCCGTAAATCTCTGCTCCCCGCCGCACCCTCCTCGCCCTCGCACTCACCCTTGGTGGCCCCTGCCTCCTGCGGGCTCAGGAGGGTCATCAGGGTGTGGAACCCCAGGACCAGCCCTGCTCTGAGGGCCATTACACTCTGGTGCTTTAATCAAATCAGTCTCAGTCCGTGTGGTGAGGACAGGAACAAGGCGGAGGTAAAGAAGAAGAAAACAGATTCGAGGATGGGGGCGACCCCTGCTGTCTTCAGCCAATCACAGAAATTCTCTGAGTGAATGTATCTGTTGCTGGGTAAAGAGGGAAAGAGCCGGGGTGAGAAGGTGGAAGGATTCACTGGGCCCCCAGGAGAGGCCAGAGGAAGTTTTGGAGGATGGGAGGGGCTTGGACCAACTATTACCACGTCCTCCAAGAAGGGACCCCCTGAAGAGAGAGAAAAGGCCGTCAGAGCACCGCGCAGCTGAGCTCCAACAAATCCTCTCTCTATGTCCATCTGCGATGCAGGGAATCCTACTTTCCCAAGAAGTTTCCGTGGACAAATTTTGAGTTAGAAAGTAAAATAAACTTTACCAATAATCTTTAAAAGGAAAACATTGGCTACACAATGGAATAAAAACCTCTTAAAACTTTAAATCACTTTCAAAAATGTTATTTTATTTTTCTTTTATTATTATTTAATTTCATTGTGTAAGAAAAAATGTGTAATTGTTGGAGTTGTTTGGTCTAAAGCAAAGTGTAAAGAGCTCCCGTGGACTCCCCGAGGAGGGCAGAGGTGCTGGTCCTCTCTGTTGGTCCCTCCAGGACCCGGGCACCTCCTCCAGGCTGACACAGGCTGGAGGACGGCATCACCCTTGCCTTTGGCTTCTGGTTGGGCTCGGCTAATAAGAGGCACTGGGAGAATTTAGTCCAGTATATATATTTAAAAAACAAAACAAAACAAAACAACAACAACGTAAAGCTAACGTCTGTGTAAAGAGAAATCTAACCAAATTAGGCCATGTGTCAAAGACCATGAAATCGATGATTTTCAACTTGGAGGGAGCTAGGAAATCATGCGGGTCTCTGGTTCCAAATGAGAATCACCTGGGGGGTTCGTTATAATACGTGTTCCTGAGTTTCCTCTTTACTTAATGGGTTAGATTAGCCTTTCCAAGGCAGGGCCAGGGAACCTGTGTTTTCAGCATGCTCCCCAGGTGGTTCTCGGGTAGTCTGTGGACTGGTAAAACCTGCTCCAATGCTCTTTCCTCAATGAATAAGGGATGCCTATTTTAAGTGGGGCAGACACAGCTTCTGACTTCAAATTAATCAAATGACAGCTAGTAATTGATTTGCATGGCCCGGTTTATGGGGAGCCCTAATCTTAGTTTTTTCGTTTCTAGTCCACAGTGTCTACGTAATGCCTAGCACATCATAGGCGCCTAGGAGACACCTGCGCATGAATGAACAGTGTCTTCACTGCTTTGGTCCTGCCCTGGTTAGGACCCTTGCCACCTTCACCTCCCCCCAAGTGAGGTGGGAGCTGGAGCCATGAGATGAAAGACGGGAAAGCCATGAAAAACTCATGATAAAGAATGTTGCTTCTTTGGTTAATAACAGTCGAGTATCGGGTGTTTTTTTTATTTGAAAACATACATAGATTTTTTAAAGTATGTTTTTTGTTATTAACTTATAATTTAATTACATGATAATCCTCTATGGCTTGGAGTGTGGTGAACTTCTGTAAATATTTCACATGGGCTCTAATAAATGTGATGCAGAATTTTATACATGTACATGTTTATTGGATCAAGCATGTGGATTTTGTCATTCTAATTTATTACGGTTTTCTTTATCTTTGGACTGGCCTATACATAACTAAGAGTGGTGCATTTATTTATTTATTTTTTAGAGACAGGGCCTTGCTCTGTTGCTCAGGCTGGAGGGCAGTGAAGTAATCATGGCTCGCTGCAGCCTCAAACAGCTGGGCTTAAGCGATCCTCCTGCCTCAGCCTCCCAGAGTAGCTGGGACTATAGGCATGCCCCACAATTCCTGGCCTATGAATGGTATATTTAAATCTCTAACTGTGACTGTAGGTTTTTCAACTTGTTTCTAATTTTTAAATCAACTTTTGCCCTCTCTGCATTTAGGTTATTAAGGTGTTTACTCTTGGGAATTATTACAGTCTTGGTGAACTGAGCCTTTTCCCAATTTGTCCTGAGAATCTTTCTGTCCTACTCTGTCTTGTCTGATAGTAATAAGTTCTACAGCTGTCTTTGGGTATTTGTTCACTGTATCTTTTTCTACTCTTTTGTTTTTACTCTTCCTTTGTACTTATGCTTTAGATGTAGCCCTTGAAATGTCATAAATATAGATTTTTGCTTCTGATTCAATCTGACGATCTCTGTCTTCTAACCTATGTTCAATTCATATGGTAGTCAAAGTGAGCAAACTTGTTTCTGCAAGAGACAAACACTGAAGCCTCAGTGGTTTAACAAAACACAGGTTTATTTTTTAGCCACGTGTAGTTCAAGGCAGGTTGGGCACTCTGTAGCTCTTTTCCAAAACATGCCTCAAGGTGGCTAAGCTCCACTTTGCATCTCTATTATTGAAAAGCACTTCATGAACTCCTAGCTTTGCAGGTAGGAGAGAGAACCTGGGAAAGGCACATTGTTTCCATGGTTTTGGACCAGAAACTATTTGCCATCTCTGCTCACATTCCATTGGCAAGAAGTAAACAATGACCCCACATAGGCGCACGGGGATGGAAAAATGTACGTTACCTATGTGTGCAGGAAGATATAATGGTTTGGTGAGCACATGGCACTGTCTTTGCTGCATTCTGATTGTGTTTATTGTGAATATTGATGCACTTGGGCTTGTTTGTAATACCTTATTTATTTCAATATTTCTATTTTTTAAAGTTTTTTTGTTTGTTTGTTTGTTTGTTTTTGAGACGGAGTCTCGCTCTGTTGCCAGGCTGGAGTGTAGTGGCATGATCTGGGCTGGCTCACTGCAACCTCTGCTTCCCGGGTTCAAGCGATTCTCCTGCCTCAGCTTCCCGAGTGGCTGGGACTACAGGTGCATGCCACCATGCTTGGCTATTTTTTTTTTTTTTTTGTATTTTAGTAGAGACGGGGTTTCACCGTGTTGCCCAGGCTTATCCTCCTGAGCTCAGGCAATCTGCCTGGCTCGGCCTCACAAACTGCTAGGATTACAGGCGTGAGCCATCACACCCGGCCAAGTTTTCTTTTTTAATCTTCATTGCCTTTTTTTTTTTTTAAGTGTTACCGATACCTTCTCCATCTTCCCTCTGACTGGATAAGAACTTTAGCATGCTTTCAAATTTATTCACATATTTTCTCCTTCACCAAATTATTTGGTCAACATTACTTTTCATATCTTTTGGCACCTTCTAGAATGCGTTCTCTGATTAGAATTCTTCTTCCAAAAACTTTCAGATGTGGGAATTTGCATAGCAAACCTTCTAAAGTCTTGTATGCTTGATAATTTTTTAAAATTATACCAGCACTTTTGAATAAAGTTTAGCTGTGTATTACATACTATTTGAAGTATTTTCCCCTTTAATATTCTAAATAACATCATTCCAAATTTTTTTTTTTGCATCCAATGTCACAGTTAGAAAATCCCATGTCAGTCTTTCATGCTGGAATCTTCTAGAATTTTCTCATTGTCTTTGATATTTTTAAATTTTGCTAGTGTGTCTAGAGTGGGTTTTTCCTTCTCTCTGTAAGACATTATGGATCTTCTCTATCTTTTAATTCTGGGAATTCATCTTTTTATTTCTTTAACTATTTTTCTCCTCTATTTTTTGTCTTTGTGAAACTCATATAATCTATATTTGGATAATTCTCTCCTCCTTTTCCCCTGACTTTTCTATTGATGACTTCTCAATTCTTCCCTCTTTTGTTCTGAACTAGCTCCTCAGTGTAGTCCTCCATCTTTCTGTTTTGTTTTTCAGTTGCATCTCTCCCACTATTTATCCCATTAATGTGGCTTTTACTTTGACTATTATATATATTTTTTACACCTAGAACTTCTAGGTGTTTTCCCTATATTCTCTATTTTTTCATATTATAATAGCTTCTGACTTTTAAAGTGCACTTTTAATGCTCATTTTAAGCGGCTGGTCTATATTTTCTACCACTTCTTTCAAGGACATAGATGGTCCTGTTTGCTGTTTTTCTTTTGAGGTGTCGGCACTCCCTAAAGGTATTATTTTGACCCACTAGTGGCCATCTGTGTTGGTGTCATGTGTGTAAAGAGAAAGGAGGGCCAGCTGGAGTCCTAGGCCAGCGCAAAACCATAGTCACTACCCTTTGGGTGTCACTTCAGGTCAGGACTTCAGGGTGGGAGCACTAGGAGGCGTAGGGAGCACTGATAGCTGGGGTGGCAGAGGAGGCAATGACTAGGGCAGTCCCCAGCTCCTCCCACTCCAGCAGGATTTCAGCTTGGATTTTCTCACCCACCCCTCAACAGCTGGACAGGCAATCAGGATCTTGCCATCGTTTTTTGCAGCAGGGAGCAGGCAGTGATTGCTCAAGGCCAACACCGGGGAGGCAAGAGCAGAAGGTTCCAGGAACCTTCTCATAGCCACAGCCAGCAAGCAACCCAGTTCAGAACACCTTTCAGTCTCACCAGGGCTTCCTCATTATTTGTTTTCTTGGAATGTATATGTATGGTCCACATTCCCTCCTAGATGGAAAGGGCCTGTAAGAAGGGATCATGGATGATTGAATCTTTGTTACACAATCTTCCTTTTCCCCCTAAACGCTAGCACGTTATTAAATAAATAAGTCAATGATAACAAATAAAAGTGAATAAAGTGGATAACCCTGACTCTAGGGAGAGGTACTGTTATTGGGACTAGAGTCTAATAATGAGGCAAACACAGATTCGACAAAAACTTACTAAAGTGTCCTTTAAAAATGACACAAATCCAGTTGTTCTAAATTGTCTAAAATGCTGACTTTGAGGTAAAGTTGTATCTGTCATGTTCTTTGGAGCATGACAAGTTCAGGTAGGTGTTGGGGGATATTCTTCATTAAATACATGTTTATAGGACACCTGATGTGACTTAGGCACTGTGTGCTGCTCTGGGAGCACAGAAGAGCAGGACATGATCCCCTTCCTCAAGGACTGTGCTGTCCTGTGCAGTAGCCACAAGCCACCTGTAGCTATTAAGCCAAAAAAAACTCTAAGTATAAAATGCCCTGGGATTTGAAGACTTAATTAAATGTATATACATAATCTCAGTAATTTCTATATTAATTAATGTTCAGTTTGCAATTTTTTGTATATTTGCGGTTTAAAATATGTATTAGATTAATCTCACCTGTTTCTTATTGCTTTTTAAATGTAGCTACTAGAAAATTTGAAATTGAATTAAGAGGCTCCCATTATATTTCTACTGGACAGCGCTGCTCTGGGTGCTCTTGGTTGGCTACCAGTTGGCCACTGGCTCCTTTTCTGAGATTTTTACATTTAAGTAGCCAGCTTGCCAGAGTCTTCAAGTCCTTTCCTGTTACTACCTAGATATTCCACCAGAGGGCGACCTTACCATTGAATTTTTCCATTCTGGACCTTAGATCTGACTGTTTGCTGGTGCATCGCTCTGTTTTAATCTATTTTGCTTTAAGTGCCGTGCTAGGCTTTGGGACCACAATTATGGTTCCTGCCAACAAGAATGGCTGTCTTGGAAGTCTGTACACAGAACTAAATACGTGGTGGAAAAAGGAGAAGGTCTATTAATGTGCAATATAAATGTTCATGTGGCCTGCAACTTTCTGGGGCAATCCTTTCCCTAGTAATTAAGCAGTTTCAAGTGCCTGTCTAATTGCAGGAATTCAAATGGCTCACTGCTGTCACCAGAATGTCTGATAATTCCTGGACAGAGAAGTGATGCAAATGTGTGCTTACGTATGGAGTTGATGGCATCTCCTGCACCAGCCTCCTGCCCTGGGCAGACTGTTGTGGTCATTTGGGGGCAGCTCCCCAGCACAGCAGATTTCTTGCTGGCCATCACTTTTCAAACTCTGGACTTCTGCCCTTTGGCTGGGAACTGCTCACTTCCCTTAGAACTTTCCCCTCCCGTCTCCTGACTTCTCTAAATGCCAGAGTTCCAACCTCTGTCTCCTGGGAAATTCTAAGCTAAAATCACTCTTCCTTTATATCTGCAGATAGTTTGAAATTTATACATCAAAAAAAGTAACTTTAAAAATATATAACTGGTCTCATTACACTCTGGAGCAACAATTCCAAATGATGGTAGGAAAACCCCAAAATTGGCCATCGAAAGGCATAGATACAGCCCTTCCTGTTTAAAAGAGGTATTTTTGAAAAACTTCAAATGTCTTCTGGGAAAGGCACAATCTTTCACGGTTTCTTCTCTTCCCCCTCTCCCTCCCCCTTTTGGGAATGACATCCTGGGGCAGAGGATGAACTTACAGAGCGTGCTGGCTGTGGGAAGCTGGGTCTAGGTGGCATTTTTTCTCTTTTCTGATGGTTCTCTGCCCCCAGTTCCTTGGCCTGTCCCCATCGCTCGCCAACATTTCCGTGGCTGGTCTAATCTGCGATCGATTATCCCTGACGAAGGCAGTGGGGCTCAGCCACCTTGCCTGCTGGTGGCCCCAGCGTGGCTCTGCTACTACTCACATCCTTCCAGTTTGGCGAGGCTGCAGCCTGATCCTGGGCCCGTGTGTTCTGGGCTGTGGCCCCTGGCTCCAGGCCAGTTCAAGCCTCTCCATGACCATCCTGAACACCAATTTACTGCACGTCAACTCACTAAAATCAACCCATCAACTAATCAGAAATTAATACATCAAATCATCAATTCCCCAATTTTATCAATTTGCCAAAAACTTGACTTTAAAGTTTTGTCCTTTTATATTGAATTTAATGGTTTTTACAACTTTTGAAGACTTCTGAAAATGTTGGTTAATTTGCCTTTCCTTTTGTTTTCATAGTAGCTTATAAGTAATATTCGATTTGTCAGATGTTGGTGATACAGGGAGAAGATGACAATGGTGACAGAGTGTTTTTCATCTTCCCAAGTGTCCTCACAAAAACAGAGAGTGCAATTGGGATAGCAAAGGAAAATATCCACAGGCAGTGTCTCTTTATCAGACCAGGGATATCCCTAGAAGATCCCGTGAGACTCTAGAATGTGTGTGGGTAGATCCAAGCTGTAGATCCAAGGTAGATCCTGTGGGCTCTAGTGCCATGTGGAGGTAGCAGAGGGTTGAGAGGAGAGGGTTCTGGTGTTTCTAAGATCTCAGGAACACAGAAGTGGCCAGTGAGTGCCCACCTCCCAAAAGAGGTGATCTCAGTCTAGAATGAATCCCCAGCAGAGAGCTCTAAGGACCTAGACTTTTGTAAATTTAGAAACTCCCTTTTCTCTTACCAATGTCTAATTTTTAAGACTATGACTTTGATATAGCTGTCAATATTCTGTTTTGGAATATTGTTTGCTTTTGGTCTTCTGTGATAAAAATCCAAATTTTCCCCTGGGTGAATAGGCATAAGGTCACATCTAAAGAAGTGCAAAAGGAAAACATTAAGACCTCTAGTAAATTAATGTTTTTATAATAACATATATCTCCATATGCTTCACAGAAACATGTAACTTCTGTCTATACAAGCTTTGGGTATTTCATTTATAATGAAATGGCGCATTAACGTGTTTTTCTAAATCAAAAGTCAATTTCCTCCTTGAGATTAATTACATCTCCAGAATATGAAAGCAGCTTCTGACACTATGTATTTGAAATAGCAATTTCCCATGTTTGCTATAACAACAATAAATAAATTGTTGTGTAATACACAAAAGGGAATTCTTAATTCTGCCCTAGGTAGGAGAAGCTAGAGAGAAGATGACGTTTGAACTGTGCCTTGGAGGATAAATACAAGTCTACTGATGCGGAGAAGAGGATGAGAGCCTTGCAAGGAGAGAAGATGGCCTGGGCAAAGGCACAGAGGCCTCAAAGTATATGGTGGGCAGGGGACTGCTGCATGGCCAAGTAAACGAGGAGCCGGAGGAGACGAGGCTTAGGAAACAGGCTGGTGTCAAATTGTGAAAGCCGCAGATGTCCTGCTAAGTAATAGGGTTGTGCCTTATCTATGATTAATGGCAAGCAGGCACAGTTTTTGCCTTGGAGCCCGGTGAAAGCAGGATTGACTTGAATTGATAGAAAGAGAAAAGAGGCAGCAAACCATTTAATTGATTGACTGATCAATTAATTAATTACCCGAGTCTCCTTGTGAAAGTTCCAAACCTTCTCACTCTCCTCTCACTCCACATTCAGTTCTACATAGCAGCAGGAATTCCTTGGCTCTTACTTCATCAAGAAAATTGGTCAGGCACACCCTTCATCAGCGACATTCTGACCATTTGGAGACCCTGGTTTCTCTTTCTTCTTCTTCCTGAAGTCTCAGAGGCTGGGGCTCTTCCTGCTCCAGGCTAACCCTGACCTCCAGTTATGCGCTCGAGACCTTCACTCCTGCCTCCACTGGGAGCTTGTCTCAGCTGTCCTCCCTTCTATCTCTCTGTTAACTCTAATCAGCCCCCTGCTGCCAGATCCTTCCCTTCAGTTTAGAATTTAGGCTCAAATCTTCCTTGTCCCTAATGCTCTTCTCATCTCCCTAGCTTCCACCCTCATCTTTCTTCTTTACTCTTCCCATGTTCCTTAAAGAAAATGTTACACTTCTGTGTTTCCTCTTTCTCCCCTCCCACTCATTCTCAGCCCCACTGCAGTCTGACTTCCTTGTCCATGACCTCAGTGGGACAGAAATTGATTGCCAAGGTCACCAAATCTTTATCTTTGTGGAGTTTTCTGCTGCTTTCATCACAGTAGATCATTCCACTTTCTTGAAATCTCTCCTTATTCAGATTTCAAGACATCACACTCCTCTGATTTTCCTGACACCATTCAGATCATTCATTCTGGGGCTTCTGCTCCTCTGGGAATCTCTAAATGCAGAGTGCCTCTAGGGATCTGTCCCCAGCTAACAATGTCTCCTTGATCAAACATTCATTTGTATAGCTTCAATTCTTAGTCATCTAATTATACCTAACATAGCAAAGAACAATCCTTGGCATCTACTAGGTGCTTAGTAGCTGTCACATCTTTTCTTCTTCTCAGACCTTTTGAATACAGCAACCTGGTCTTCTATTAATGGAGAGCAAAATCTAACCATTCCACCTCCTCTCTCCTCAGGGCCACAATTTTATTCTTCTAGATATCTCTTCTTTCTCTACATTAATCCACTTCTTTTTCCATTTCTGTACACTCACTTTCCTTCTTTGGCTCTCTTCATCTGATCAAAATGAAAAATTAAAAGATATTTCAATGTTTTTGTGTAATAGCTAATCTATTATAAAATATTTATATTCTTAGACATGCAGCTTTATTATGCAATCACAAATGTTTTACACGTTTGACTTTTCTCAAAACCAAAAATCAGTTTTTAAAATTGCTTTTTACCTATATGTGGTTCTTGCTTGATGAAAACAAGCAACTAGAAAAAACTGGTCTACTTCCACTCAAACAGTGTCTCCAACTATGTGGCTTGCCCGGCTACCAGACCCTTCTTGAGAAATATTCTGCCGGACACAAATGAACACTCTTAGTTCACACTGCCCATTGGCACACGAGGGCATGGAGAGTGTTCTCTATGGAGAAGTAGGTGCTTACAGCAGAAATAGCCTTCCATGAGGTTGCGTCGGTTCTGCTTTCACTTTCCCGTCTCATGCAAAGTGGCCCAGAAAACAGCAGCCCCTCCCTGGAACTATTTCCTTCCTTTCTCAGAGAGTTGCATCTCCTGCTCTCTGGAAAGTTTCATGAGGAAATGGATTGCCTCTGTTCTTGGTGAAAATTAACTCCATTACTAAGTTCTTAATCTTTTTTGTTTATATAGCTCTCATTCCAAAAGACAATCTCCCTGACTGGGCTAGAAAGTCATATGTTTGTAAATAATCAGAGAGAGGCCAAGGAAAAGGACAGAGCTGGCCACTGAGCCCAGAGGGCTCTGTTATCAATCCCATGGCAATTCACTGCTAGTCTTCTGCAAAAGACACATGACCCAGAGGAGACCCTCAGACACAAGGAAAGAGGAACTCTGTAGGGGACTTAGAGGCAATCTCTTTAATTGGAGGGGCTAAATAGCTTTCCTCTCATGGTTTGCAGCTCAGTGTAAGGCCAGGCAAGCTCCCAGGAGGCCATCCAGGCTGTGAGGTCCCTAGAGAATCTCAGAGACCACACCAAAGGGTCACTCCTGTCTTAGCAACTGAGTAGGAAGCATTGTTGCCACCAAACTGTACAAATCTGAGAAACTTAGTCAAGGAGGGAAGGGAGGACTTTGGGGCTTAGAGTTAAGCAGACTACTGCCCAGACAGGCGATGGCAAGGACAGGCAGAGTCCAAAGTGTCCTTTGAGACAGAAGCAGCATCAATGGTGTGGTGATAATCCAAGGACATGATAGAACTTCAGGGGATAAACACACACGGATTCTAGAGAAAAACTGTATACACGGCCAGCGTGGATTAGTCTCAAAGCCAAGGGGAGGTTTGATGGGACTGAGATGTCTTCATGAGGCCAACCCGGAGTGGGACTGCCCTCATTTCCAGAGGATTTAGTAAGTAGGTTTGGGCAGAGAGTCAGGCTGGGACCAGCTATAAAGGCTTTGCCAATCTGACTTGACTTAGTGCCATAGGAAAGTGAAGGCAGGAAACTGATGCTAATTGATTCTGGGCCTCTTGTTTTCTGCCTCAAAATAGAGAGCTCTGGGATTGAGGAGGGAATCATACTAGCACCATAAATGGTTTGAAGGGGAAAATGTGAAAACATTTTTTATATGTCATGTCAAAGTCCAGTCTTTCTGGAGCACAGCGTGTTTGTAAGGACACAGAGGGAGGTCAGGCTGAGGAAAGACTGTAGACAACTGCAATGCCAGGCTCAGGATGTGGGACTTTGCAGGCAGTGGAGAGACAGTGATGGTTTTTGAGGAGGAAGTGAGATGATCATGGTTGTGTTCTAGGATTATTAACCTGGCACTAGTGTAGCAAATAAATTCGATCTGAGGGTGGCAGGAAGGTTAAAGAAAAAATAAGAACAGCCTTAGCCAACTGCTTTGGAGAACAACAGGGTAAGCTCAGAAATGCCCAATTCGATACAATAATTATCACAAAAGGAGTTGCATTTGTAACGTACGTATTACTTTTTAATGTGCCTTTTCATCTGTCACATCATCTGGTGCCTCTGGTGTGACCTTCCAAGTCCATCCTCCTTCCTGACCCTATCCATCCAGGCTCAGCCCCTGGGAGTGTGCCCACTGCTCCTACAGTGCCTTCCACCACTGGTCCTGAGTTTTGGAGAAGACATAGGGAGATGACAAAACTTTAGAAACAACGGAAACAATTTAGGGAATGGGGTGGTCACTATGAGAGGAATAAAAGATGTCCACTGTAGACAGCATATATGGTGCAAGTCTATAATCTTGGAAAAAGTCAGACTACATTAATCTTGTTCACCAAATCCTGAAATACACAACAGGGAGAGTCTTTTAAACTTTGAAGATGGTAAGTTTAACATAAGTAGAAAAGCAGACTCTCTCATACCAAGGCTAACAAACCTATGGGAACCTGTTAGTCCCAAAAGTGAAATGTGTAAATTCTCAAAACATGTACATATATATATATAATCTACTCACACACACACAAGGGTGACAGAAACTTGAAGGACTGCTAAGAGAGCTCAAGGATATTTATGGCCTATTTAAACTTATGAAGCTTCTGTGGAGGAAATCTGTCCTTCTACACTTTGTCCCTGATGAAAGAGAGAAACCCTATGCTTACAGCAATATCCACCAGGAGTGATTTTGCCTCACAGGGGATATTTGCCAATGTCTGTAAACATTTTTGTTCTCACACTAGGAGAGGGGAGCACTATTGATATCTGGTGGGTGTAGCCCAGGGATGTTGGATGTTGCTAAACATCTTGGAATGCGTAGGACAGCCCCCAGCACAAAGAATTATTCAGCCCTAAATGGCAATGGTGCCAGGTTGAGAAACCATGGCTTAGGGTCATGCTCCTGCCCTAAAGTGCCATTGCTATTGTTTGCAAGTTTAATTATTCCAGGAGCTATACCTCTGTTAAGGACTGAATTTTATCCCTCCCCACAACTCGAAATTCCTATGTTGAAACCTTAACACCTAATGTGAATGCTTTGGAGACAGGGCCTTTAAATAGGTAATTAAGGTGAAACGAGGTTATCCAGGTGGGGCCCTAAGGCCCCTTATAAGGACTGGTGTCCTTATAAGAAGAGGAAGAGACACCAGGAGAGCAAATGCACAGAGGCCCTGTGAGGACACAGTGAGAAGGCAGTCATCTCCAGGCCAGCGAGAGAGGCCTCAGAATGGAACCTACCTTGCTGGCAACTTGATCTTGGACTTCCAGACTCTGAGAAAATAAGTTTAAGTTTAAGCCACCCAGCCTGTGGTATCTTGTTATGGTGGCCCTGGCTAACTAATCACCCTTTCTCACTTACCTTTAGCTCTTCCTTACTCAATAAGTTTCCACTGAAAACTAGATGCTGGTGTGGTCCCCCTGCCCGATGTGCACACGTGGCCCACTGCAGATGGACCTACACAAGTGGCGCTGGAACCCTGAGGGGCTGAGGGGACCCCGCGTCCAGGCCACCCAGGTGCGGGGTGAGGGGGCACCCCAACTTCCCTGGATCACATGGGCTGCGGTGGCCGGTGGATCAGGGAGGAGAGGCGCGGGGAGCTTGCTGCAACTCCTCACCAGGGCAGGAGGGAAGATGCCCCCCACCTCCTCTAGTTCACCCTCTGGATTCAAGTTTGTCAGCCCCTGCCGCTGAGATCAGGGGATGGCACCAGATAGAATTTTAATTCAAAAGGAAGCAGAACTTAAAGATTAAGAAAATTCTTAGCCTATCCATATTGTGAAAACTAAGAAATCATGTTCAGGACAGAACACCAGTGGTGTGTCTATGTAACCATCGGATGAGGAAATTAGTATGGATCAACCATCTCAGTGGAATCTGGGTGCTATTCATCAAGGCAATGAAAGAATGACCCAAAGACATTTCAGATCAGGGCTGCCACTCCTATCCGAGGTGCGGAATACAAGGGCATGAGGGACAGAATGATTTCAAAGGAGGGGCTGCAGGTACTTGTGGGGCTTCAGCACTCACTATCATGGGCCACCTTGAGGCTCTGCTCTCCACATTCCATCACAGGGCTCCTAGGCTACCCCAGGTATGGCTCCAACAGATCCTGGTTTAGTGAGTGCTGTGCTCTGAAAAGCTGTGCGGGCATGGTAACCTCCACCTAGATTTCAAAGGATGCTCTGGAAAGCCACAGTGCGTAGGCAGAAAGCCACCATGTGCAGGGCCACCATGGAGAGATTGCACTGCGCAATGCCCAGTGAAGCAGTAGGGTAAGGCCACCCCTGAGGCCCTAGACCAATTGAACCACTGGTATACAATTTCAGCCTGGGAGAGCCTCGGGCACCCAGCTGCCTCAGAGGTAGGGCCACCAAAGGGAGCAACTATGAGGGCAGGGCTGCACAAAGCCATGAGGCAGAGGCCACCTCCCCAGTGTGCCTGGAGGGCAGAACCTTGATTCAAAAAGATTATTCTGGAAACTTGACTTGCTCAGGACCTGGTACACTTTTCTTCTCTCCCATTTCTTCCTTTTGGAATAAGAATTTCTATCCTATGCCTGTCCCATCATTATATTTTGGAAGCAAATAGCATATTCGATTTCACAGCTGGAGAGCAATTTGCCTCACAATGAATCATACCTTGAGTCTCATCCATATCTGATTTATCCTCTTAACCCTTTTATGTGTATAGCTCAGTTGGGTAAATAATATTCACATTGTTGTGTGACAACTCTAGAACTTTTTTATATGCAAAATGAAACTTTATCCTCAGGGAACAACTCCCTATTTCCCGCTCTTCCCAGCTCCTGGAAACCCCCACTCTGTTTCTATTATTTTGACTTTAGATATCTCTTATAAGTGTAATCATACAGTATTTATCTTTTTGTGACTGGCTTATTCCACTTACCATAATGTTCATCCATGTTGTACCATGTAAGAGGATTTCTTCTTTTTTTAAGGCTGAATAATATTCCACTGCATATACATATATATATATATACACACCACATTTTCTTTATTCATTTATCTGTCAATAAACTTTTCGGTTGTTTACACCCATTGTCTATTGTAAATAATGCTGCAATGTACATGAAAGCAGAAATATCTTTATTAAATGCTGATTTTGTTTCCTTTGGGTATGTATCGAGACATGGAATTGCTGAATCATGTGATAATTTTATTTGTAAACTTTTTAGGAAATCTCATACTGTTTTCCATGGTGGCTGCACCATTTACATTCCTACCAACAGTGCACCAGGATTCCAGTTCTTGACATCCTCGCTAACACTTGTTATTTTTTTTGTTGGGTTGGTTTTGTAGTGGCCACCTTAATGGCTGTGAGATATCTATCTCATTGTGGTTTTGATTCATGTTTCTCGAATAATTAATGGTGTTACACATATTTTCATACACTTGTTGGCTATTTGTATATATTATTTGAAGAATTATCTGTTCAAGTCCTTTGCCCATTTTTAAACCAGGTTATTTGCTTTTTTAATTGACAAAGAAAAATCATATATACCTATCATGTACAACGTGATGTTTAAAATATGTATGCATTGTGGAATGGTTAAATTGACCTAATTAATATATGCATTATATACTTCTATGGTGAGAACACTTAAAACCTACTCTCTTAGCAATTTGCAAGAATACAATGCATTGTTATTAATTATATTCACCACATTGTACACTAGGCCTCTTGAACGTATTCCTCCTATTTGGCTGAAATTTTGTAACCTGGGACAAACATCTTTCCAACCAGCAGCATTTTCAGCTCCTAATAACCACCATTCTATTCACTATTTTTATTAGTTCAACTTTTTTGGATTCACATATAAATGAGATTATGTGGTATTTGTCTTTCTGTGGCATATCCACTTAACATAATGTTCTTCAAGTTCATCCATTTTTGTTGTGAGTGACAGGATCTTACTCTTTTTTAAGGCTCAATAGTATGCCATTGTGTGTATATACCACATTTTCATTATCCATTTATCTGTTGATACACACTTAGGTTGTTTCCATATCTTAGCTATTGTGAACAATGTTGCAATGAACATGGAGCATAAGTATCTCTATGAAGTGCTGATTTCATTTCCTTTGGGTGTATGCTCAGAAATGAGATTGCTGGATCACATGGTAGTTCTATTTTTAATTTTTTAAGGAGCCTCCATACTGTTTTCCATAATGACTATATAATTTACATTCCCACCAACAGTGTACAAGGGTTCCCTTTTCTCCACACCCTTGCCAGCACTTGTTACCTGCCTTTGGCAATAGTCATTCTAACAGTTGTGAGATGGTATCTCACTGTGGTTTTAATTTTCATTTCTCTGATTAGCTATGTCGAGCATTTTTTTCATATGCCTGTTGGCCATTTGTATGTCAACTTTTGAGAAATGTCTTTTCAAATCCTTTGCTCATTTTAAAATCAGGCTGTTTTCTTGCTATTGAGTTGTTTGGATTCCTATACCCCTTATCAAGCATATGGTTTGCAAATGTTTTGTCCCATTCCATATGTTGTCTCTTCACTCTATTGATTGTTTCTTTGGCTGTAAGAAAAACAAGGTTTTTAGTTTGATATAATCCCATTTGTCTATTTTTGCTTTTGTTGCCTGTGCTTTTGGGATTATATCAAAAAATTATTGCCCAAACTAATGTCATGGAGCTTTTCTTCTATGTTTTCTTCTAGTAGTTTTACAGTTTCAGGTCTTATGTGTAAGCCTTTATTCTGAGTTGATTTTTGCATATGGTGTGAGATGACAGTCTAGTTTCATTCTTCTACATGTGGATATTCAGTTGTCCCAATACCATTTATTGAAGAGACTATGCTTTACCCATTGTTGGTTCTTGGCACCTTTGTTGAAAATCAATTGACCATGAATGTGTGGATTTGTTTCTGGGCTATTTTGTCAATGCATCTGTTTTTATGTCAGTACCATGTTGTTTTGATTACTATGGCTTTGTAGTATATTAGTATATTTTGAAATCAGATAGTATGATGCCTCCAGTTTTGTTCTTTTTGCTCACAATTGCTTTGGCTATTCAAGGTCTTTTGTGGTTCCATATGAATTTAAGGATTTTTTTTTCTGTTTCTGTGAAAAATGTAAGGAAATTTTGATAGGGATTGCATCAAATCTGCAGATCACTTTGGGTAGTACAGACATTTTAACAATATTGATTCTTATAATCTATAAACACAGGATATCTTTCCATTTGTTTGTGACTTCTTCAATTTCCTTCATCAGTGTTTTATAGTTTTAAGCGTATAGGTCTTTCACCTCCTTTGTTAAATGTATTATTTTACTTATTTACTTATTTTTAGCTATTGTAAATGAGATTGTTTTATTGGTTTCATTTTCAGATAGTTCTTTGTTAGTGTGATGCTACTGATTTTTGTATGTTGATTTTTGTATCCTGCAACTTTACAAGATTCCTTTATTTTTTTTTCAGTACAATCTGTATTCTGTTGCAACTAGATTTCTTTATTACTTCATAGTTTTTAAGTGGAGTTATTATGGTTTTCTATTTATATAATCATGTCATCTACAAACAGTGACAATTTACATTTTTCCTTTCCAATTTGGATGATTTTTATTTCTTACTCTTGCCTAATTGCTGGCTAGAACTTCAGTACTATGTTGAATAGAAATGGTTAGAGTGGACCTCCTTGTCTTGTTCCTGGTCTTAGAGGAAAAAAATTTCAACTTTTCACCATTGAGAATGATATTAGCTATGAGTTTGTCATATATGACCTTCATTGTGTTGAGGTGCATTCCTTATTTGTTGAGAGTTTTTTTTTAAATCACGAAAGGATGTTGAATTTTGTCAAATGCTTTTTCAGAGTCTATTGAGATATTAATATGGTTAGTATTCTTCATTCTGTTAAAGTGGTATGTCACATTTTTAGATTTGAGTATGTTGAAACATCTTGCATCCTTGGAATAAAACCCACATGATCATGATAAAAGACCCTTTTAATGTGCTGTTGCATTCATTTTGCTAGTATTTTGCTGAGGATGTTTATAGGCTATTTGTCATTGTTGCTGCTGTTGAGTTGTAGAAGCTCCTTATATATTCTGGATATTAACTTCTTACTGAAAAGATAATTTGCAAATATCTTATTTCATATTGTTTTTCACTCTGTTGATTGTTTTCATTGATGTGCAGAAATGTTTAAGTTTGATGAAGTTGGATTTGTGTATTTTTTGTTGCCTGTTTTTGGTCATATCCAATAAATTGTTGCAAAATTTAATGTCATAAAGTTTTCTTCTATGTTTGATAGAACTTCTAGGAGTTTGATACTTTTAGCTCTTACATTTAGGTCTTTTATCCATTTTGAGTTAATTTTTGTATTTGCATATGGTGTCAGGTAAGAATCCAACTTCATTATTTTCCATGTGGATATCCAGTTTTCCCAACGCAATTTGTCGAAGAGATTGACCTTTCCCCATTGTATACTCTTGGCACCCTGGTGGAAGATCATTTGACCATATACTTGAGGGTTTACTTCTGGAATAGACAGTTGACATTGGGGTACTCAGAAAACAGCAAGAATCTAAGAGTGTTTGAGGGTCTATTCTTAGAAAAAAACCTTTTTCATACCTCATAATCTCTGCTTTTGTGAATCCTTTCTATCTTTGAAAACAAAATCCATACTTATTCATTCATTTATCATTCATTCATTTACTCACTTACTTAACTCGATTTTATTGAGCACTTAGTGGCAGGATTCAGAGTAAAGACCCCCCTGTAGGACTTACGTCCTTCAGTTATCCTCAGTTTTTAATGATTCATGTTTCATCTTAGCTCCTGTAACTCTTCCATATGGTCGTTCATTTACTGTACCCATAGTGTCCCGTATTTGCATGGGACTCAAATATATATGTCTTGAATCTAGACAAGGGATATTGTGTTTTAAGAAGTTATAACAATGAACAAATTCCATTCGCCCAGAGCAACTTTCTAATGGATTATATATATATATATATATATATTTTTTTTTTTTTTTTTTTTTTTTTTTTTGAGACAGAGTCTCGCTCTGTCGCCCAGGCTGGAGTGCAGTGGCCCGATCTCGGCACACTGCAAGCTCCGCCTCCTGGGTTCACGCCATTTTCCTGCCTCAGCCTCTCGAGTAGCTGGGACTATAGGCGCCCGCCACCGCGCCCGGCTAATTTTTTGTATTTTTAGTAGAGACGGGGTTTCACCGTGGTCTCGATCTCCTGACCTCGTGATCCGCCTGCCTTGGCCTCCCAAAGTGCTGGGATTACAGGCGTGAGCCACCACGCCCAGCTCTAATGGATAAATTTAAGACACAACTATAAGATGGGAGTGGCTGAAAAAGCAGGGACTTCCTAATGCCCTGAAATCATGTGATAACTTTTTATCTTCTCTAAGACTGTCTGGCATGGTTTTCTCTTCTATTATTTTTGACAAATGTGGTACCTCTAGGCGTGAGTTTTTCTTTCACTTCTCATTTCTCCAACCACAAATGCTGTCACAGGCCAACAGGGAGAATTCAGTGATACATCATACTCATCCCTGAGCTGTGATGTTGGCTCTCCACCTCTATCAGCCATCAGATTTTCATATTATCTTGCCTCTCTCTTCCTCTTTCCTTACACCAAACATTGATTCATCAAGGAGTCTTACCACTTTACTATACTTCCATTTCAACTCACACTCAAATTCATCACTGATAATGTCTACTTTATAAAATATTCCTTCAAAGCAGCCATTGGCCTAATCCCCAGATGATGCCATTGATCCATGACAATAGGGAGAATAATGTCTCCATCATTACTTTCTTCTCATAGTCTTTTAATTCCTTATACAGAGGCTAGTTTCAACTGCAGAAGTAACATGGGGTCCTTTGTCTATCAAACACTCCCCTTGTAACATTCATATCTGCTCTGGGACAGAAATCTGTCCTTTGGACACCAGAGTAGGAGGTTTAAGAAAGGCCAAACGTTGATACAATCCAACTGATGTAGAGTGATAAGGAAGGCAGTCAGGCAGCATGAGGAAGTGGGAGGATGGGAGTTACAGAGAATTTCTGATGTAGACAATGAGCTTCTTTTCTTTTTCTTAAGGGATTTCCACAATCCTCCACTTTGTGGTATTGGGGACAGTGGTAATGACAGGGTGGGAAGGGCAGAAGAGGCTTATTTCAAGAGGAAGCAGTAAAAGGTGGGCCTGTGAGGACCTGTTTAGCAGGCTTTAACATCCTATGTACAAGTCCTTATCTTTTGAAGTGCTCTCCTGATCCAGGCCCTGCTTATCATTATTCACAAATTTCAGTGTCTGAAATAATCCAGAAGGTGGACAATCAGACATCCACAGATTAATTGATGATTTATACTTATTCTCCCTCTCTCCCCACTCTCTCTCCCTTTCTCTTCTCTCTCTCCTCCTCTCCCTCCCCTCCCTCCCTCCCCCTCTCTCCTTCTCCATCTCTCCCTCTCCATCTCTCCCTCTTCATCTCTTCCTCCCCTTCCCTCCCCTCCCCTCTCCCTCTTCATCTCTTCCTCCCCTTCCCTCCCCTCCCCTCTCCTTTCTGTCTCTCTCAGCTCCAAAAAAGAATGATACAGAGATGCATAACACTCCTCTCTCTCCCATCTGAAAATTTAGGGATGGGGTGGGGTCCTAAGAAGCTAGCCTTAGAATCTCTTCCTCTTACTGTGGTTTCCTTAACCCTCCATCATCTCATAACTAATGATAAGTCTGAAAATGAGCTTCCGTATTAATTCTCATTATTCTGACAACAGACTCTAGAATCCAGCCATATTCTACTGTTTGGAGCCAGCCAGGGACTTTCCAAGTATTCACAGTGAAACACTGGCTTCCATGCCTGGGTCTCCCCACCCACTGCCTCTGCACTTGGTGCCTTTGAACCTCTCTTGTTCCTCTTGCCCTTGCTACTTCTGTATAGATCACAAGCTCCCTCCACACAGCTTCAGTTACACACATCCGTGCAGCAGGACCTTCTCAGGGGCTTAGTCTGCCAGAAACTAGTGACACTGCCTTTCACCCACTTTTTATTGGATAGAGAGAAATGTTACCAGAATTTCCCAGGAAAAGAGCTTCTTTGAAGTCTCTACATGCATTCAGATAAATCCTTTCCCCTGATATTTTCCCTCCATCCCCCTCCTCACAGCCCTGTTCAGAAGCCTGAACATGTCATGATGGCTGGGGCCTCAAATCCAGGGGACAATATGAGGTGAAGGTGAGCAAGGAGACAGTCTACAAAGAGGCCGTGGAAGCTGTCGGGGAAGGAGAATGTTCAAGTAGCACAGGCAATCAAACACTTCCTATTGCTCCAGGTGCCAAAGCAGGAATGAAAACCTGTCCCCTCTGTTGAATACTCTTCTTCTTCACTCCTAAAACTACACACCTGATGTTAGTCGTCAGCCCTCTTCTTATCACTCTACACCTGCTGCTCTGGAGAACTCATCCAGGCCTGTGGCTCCCTGCACGTCTACACTAGTAACCTCTGAATCCACGGTCTCCAGCACTCCCTCCTGCTCCCATCCCCAGGTGGCAGTCAGGTGCCTGCACTTGGCTATCTCAACATCAACATCACCCCAACACCTGTTTTTTCATGCATTCAAGGGAGATTTTTTTTCTCCCCAAGTTTCTTTCACCTTCCCTTTGGGGTTCCTGGAATAAATAATACAAAACTTGAGGTTCTCTTGTGATGCTGTTTGGAGTCGAGAGAGAGACAGAGAGAGAGAGATACCCCCAGGAGGGAGTTGTCCCGATTCTTTTCCATCACTCGGGAGCTAGCCCTACATCTAGTCTTACTGTTTGGAGCCTTATAAAAAGATCTCATGAGCAGCCCCCTGGGAATAGCATGTCTTTGTTCTCTGAGAGGCAATGATTTTTATCTGGACCCCACATAACTTTTCCCCAGAGAGCATCACAGTAAAAGCACATGTTTATCTTCTCTCCTTAACTTCTGACATCCTTAAATCCCAAGGAAGGGTATGGAGGGAGACAGATTGATGATTCTGTGTATTTGGGTAAACCAGGTTCCTGGCTAAAATCACTTAGTCAAAAATGCCAAGCATGGTCAAGGGAGAAGGGTTAGAGAGTCTAAAAGAATGAAATTTGGAGACAGGTAAACTTGAAATTTATTCTTTCCTTCACCTATTATTGTGTATGTGATTTGGGGTCATATTCTTAACTATAACTACCTATTGCCTCATCTTAGAATAAGGATAAATAATATCTATGTTGAAACACTGCTGTGAGCATTAGTGCTCAATAACTATTACTACTGTACTAATGCAGGTTCTTGATTTTAAACAATAGAATGCAAACTTGAATAATTAAGCAGAAAAGGCATTTATTGGAAAGGAACTAAATAGCTCATAGAGGATATGACAAAGGCAGGAGTTCTTCATAGTTGATATTGTATCTCCGTGCATTGAATCAGGAGACACATGATGTTGATTTGTTCTGTTATCAGTGATGCTAATTTTGACTACTTGATTTTAGTGGTAACTGACAGATTTTTTCAACCATAAAGTTACTATTTTCATTGCTTGATTTTCGTATATTAAACTTACCCTGTGATGCTAATTTTGACTACTTGATTTTAGTGGTAACTGACAGATTTTTCAACCATAAGTTACTATTTTCATTGCTTGATTTTCATATATTAAACTTACCCTATGTTCATAGAATAAACTCAACTTGGTCATTATTTTACCTAGTGTTATATTTAATTGACTAATAGATCTTTTAGGAGTTTTGTATCTGTGTTTAAAAATGAGATGAGCCTTACTTTTGCTTTTTTGTTTTTGTTTTTGCTTCATGCTTATGAGGATTTGGCATATTGCTGCATGAGTTGAGAAATGTTCCTTTATTCCCCCGTCTTTTGGAATCGCTTGTGTAAGGTTAGCAAATGCCTTCACTGAATATTTAGAAGAATTCACCCAATAAGATCATCTTTGCCTACAGATTTCTTTGTGGAAAGTTTTGTAATTACCAACTCAATTTCTTTAATAGATACAGGATTATGAAAATTTTTCTATTATTTCTTGAGTTCATTTTAGTAAGTGGTGTTTTCTAGAATATGTCTATTTCATCTAGCTTTTCAAATTTGTCAGCATAAAGTTATTTATAATATTTTCTATTGTAATTTTAATGTCTACAGGACCCATAATGACAGTACCTTTTTCATTCCTGATATTGGAATTTCATGCCTTCTGTCTTGTTTTAAAATCTTCCACAGTCTTGCTAAAATTTTATCAATCCTATTAGTCTTTTCAAAGAAACAAGCCTTTAGTGTTGTTGATGTTTTTCTACTGTATTATTATTTCCTATCAAATTATTTTCTTCTTTTATGTATATAATTCCCTTACTTTTACTTTTCTTGGGTTAAATTTGACATTCTTTTTCTAAGTATATGATTGATTTTCAGTATTTCTTTCTTTCCAATTAATTATATGCACTTAAGGTTGCATATAATTTTTGTCTAGACCTGACTTCAGCTTCATCTTATGTTATAATATTTTGTAATGCAAGTATAATTTGCAATATTTTCAATTTTCTTTCTTCCTTCCTTCTTTTCTTTTTCTTTCCTTTCCTTTTCTTTTCTTTCAAGACAGGGTCTCACTCTGTTGCCCTGGCTGGAGTGCAGTGGTGCTGTCATATCTCACTGCAGCCTTGGACTCCTGGGCTCAAGTGATCCTCCCACCTCAGCCTCCTAAGAAGCTAGGACCTCAGGCATGCAGCACCACACCAGCTAACTTATATTTTATTTTTCGTAGAGATAGGATCTCATCATGTGGTCCAGGCTGGTTTTGAACTTCCTAGGCTCAAGCAATCCTCTTGCCTTAGCCTCCCAAAGTACTGGGATTACAGGCATGAGCCACCACACCCAACTGATATTTTCAATTTTTTATTGTCAGGGATCTGATAATAATTAGATTTAATCTCTGATTATCTTCTTTGATCTATGGATTATTTTAATTTGTATTTCTTAATTTCTAAACTCTTCAAAATTTTTTGGTTATCTTTCTGTAATTGATCTCTAGCTCTGTTCTATTTTTGTCAAAGAACATTATAAAAGATAAAATACTTTGAAATATTGTATTCTTTTTCATTGTTTTAGTAGTTATGTTTTTCGAGAAATTTGTCTTTTTTTTTTTTGACAGGTTGCTATGTTGCCCAGGCTACAGTGCACGATAACCCCATACTCCTGGGTTCAGGCAATCCTCCTGCCTCAACTTCCCTAGTAGCTGGTACTACAGATGTGTGCCACCCTGCCCAGCACAAAATGTGTCCATTTTATCTAGATTATCTAATTGTTGGCACGCAATTGTACACAGTATTCCCTTATATTGTTTTTCATTTCTGTAAAGTGGTAGAAAGGTCTCATCTTTTATTCCTGATTTGAGTAATTCAATTCCTTTCTTTTTTTTCTTACTCAATCTAGCTAAAGTTTCCTCAGTTTTGATTCTTTAAAAGCAAAAACTTAGTTTTGTTGATTTTCTCTATCTTTTTCTATTTCCTAGTTCATTTATTCCCATTCTAACATTCCTTTCACTAGTTCTGGTTTGTCTTACTCATTTCTAATTTCTTTTCTTTTCTTTTCTTTTTTTGTTTGTTTATTTGTTTGTTTGAGACAGGGTTATTTTTTTGAGATGGAGTCTTGCTCTGTCACCCAGGCTAGAGTGCAGGGGCCTGATCTCCACACACTGCAACCTCCCCATCCCGGGTTCAAACGATTCTCCTGTCTCAGCCTCCCGAGTGGCTGGGGTTATAGGTGCCTGCCACCACGCCAGGCTAATTTTTGTATGTTTAGTAGAGATGGGGTTACATCATGTTGGCCAGGCTGATCTCAAACTCCTGACTTCAAGCAATCCACCCTCCTTGGCCTCCCAGAGTGCTGGGATTACAGAGTGAGCCACCGCACCCGGCCTCTTTTCTAATTTCTTAAAGTGGAAGGTTGTTACTGATTTGCAATTTTTCTTCTTTTTTAATGTAGGTATTTACAGCTATAACTTTCTCTTTTATCATTAAAATGTCCTTACTTTTCTCTAGTGGTATGTTTGTATTAAGGTCTATTTTGTCTGGCATTAGTGTAGCCACTCCAGCTTTCTTTTGGTTGCTCTTTACATGGTGTATCTTTTCCTGCCTTGTACTTTCAACCTCTTTGTAACTTTGTATCTAAGGTTTGTCTCCAGCAGAGAATATATAGTTGCATCATTTTTATTTTATCCATTCTGCTAACCTGTCTAAATTGAAATGTAATGTATTTATATTTAGTGTGATTACTGTAACATATTTTTATGTCTGCCATTTCATTGTTTATTTTCTATTTTTCTTATATCTTTTTTGTTCCTCTATTCCTCTATTACTGCTTTTTGTTGTGTTAAATAGACATTTTCTATGTATCATTTTAATTCACTTATCATTTCTTTTACTCTACATTTTTAGTTCCTCTACTTTTTTGTCTTAGTGACTACCCTACAGATTAAAATTAGCATATTAATAATCTAGTTTGTATTAATACCAACTTAATTTCAATAGTATACAAACACTTTATTTCTATACAGCTCTGTTCCCTACCCCCGTGCTGTTATTGTCATACAAATTATACCATTCTTACATGTGTGCCTATCAACACAGATTTATAAATATTGTTTGCTGAAGTTTTAAATTAAATAGGAGAAAAAGTCATTAAAAAGTACATTTATATTGTCTTTTATATTCACCTATTTCAGTTACCTTTTTGGTGTCTTTATTTCCTTACATGGATTTGACTATATTACACTATATTCTAGTGTCCTTTCACTTCAGCCTGAAAGTATTTTAGTACAGCTGTCTTGCTAATGATGAAATCTCTGTTTCTTTTTACCTGAAAATGTCTTAATTTCTCCTTCATTTAGAGTTTTTGGCTGACAGCTTTTCCCCTCAGCACTTTGAATAAGTCTTTCAATTGCATTCTAGCCTCCATGGTTCTCTTTCTTTCTCTTCCTTCCTTTCTTTCTCTCTCTCTCTCTTTCTTTTTATCTTCCTCTGTCTCTCTTTTTTATGTTTTTACTTTTTTCTTTTAAATAGGGATGGAGTGTTGAACTCCTACACTCAAGCAATCCTCCCACCTCAGCCTCCCAAAGTGCTAGGATTAAAGGCATGAGTCACCGCACCTGACCCTCCATGGCTTCTAATGAAAGATCATCTGTCAATCTTCTTGCTTGAATGTGATAAGTCATTTCTCTCTTAATGGTTTCAAGATATCTTTGTCTTCAACTTTCAACAGATTGATTACAATGTGTGTAGGTGTGGATCTCTTTGAGTTTATTCTACTTATAGTTCATTAAGATTCTCAGATATGTAGATTAACATTTTTTATCAAATTTGCAAAGTTTTCAGCCATTATTTCTTCAAATATTTTTTCTGGCACCCTTTTTTTCATTTTAGGACTACAGTTATACATATTTTGGTCTGCTTGATGGTGTTCTACAGGTCTCTGAGGATCTGTTCATTTTTCTTTTCCCATTTTTCTTCTTCTTCCTCAAACTGGATAATCAAAATTAACCTACATTTAACTTTGTTGATTATTTCTTCTGCCTTGCTCAAATCTGCTGTCAAGCCAGTCTGGTGAAATTTTCATTTCTGTTATTGTATTTTTCAACTCCAGAATTTCTATTTGGTTCTTTTCTTATATAATTCCTGTTGCTGTAGTCTCTATTGGGTGGTGAGACATCATTCATATGCTTGCCTTTAGTAAACATGATTTCCTTCCATTCTTTGAATATATTTTAAATGCTTATTTAATGTCTTTGTCTAGTAAGTCTAAATGCTGGGCTTCCTTAGAGACATTTTTTATTTATTAATTTCCCCCCTATGTACAGGCCATGCTTTATTATTTCTTTGCATGTCTTGTAATTTTTGTTGAAAACTAGATATTTTGTGTAATATAATGTGGCAACCCAGATAATGAGATTCTTCCCTCGCTTTCCCTTCTAGGGTTTGCTTTCATTGTTTGTTGTTGTTTTATTTTGTGACTTTTCTGAACAAATCTTGCAAAGTCTGATTCTTTGTTATGTGTAGCTATTACATTTTTTCTCAGTTAGCTTAGTGGTCACCTAATGTTTGAACAAAGGTTTCCTAAAATGCCTGGAATAAACATATCTCCTAGTCTTTCCTGGGGAGCTTTTTCTTTGTTTTGTGTTCCTATAAGAGAATACCTGAGATGAAGTAATTTATAAAGAAAAGAGGTTTATTTTACTCATGGTTCTGCAGGCTGGAAAGTTCAATATTAGACAGCTGATTTGGTGGCTTCTGCTGAGGTCCTTGTGCTGTGTCAAAACATGGCAGAGAAACAAAAGGAGAACGAGGTATATGTGAACAGGACAAAACAAGAGAGGCAAACTCACTTTATAACAACCCACTCTCAAGGGAACTTCATAACTAACCCAGTCTTTCAAGAAAGACACCAATCCAACTTAATGACCTAAGCACCTCTTAAAGGCACCATCTCCCAACACCACCAGATTGGGAACCAAGCCTCAAAATAAGTTTTGATGAGGACAAGCCATATTCAAACCACAGCAGGTTCTGTGTGCATGTTGGTGATACCTTCAACACTCAGCCAGACAGTTGACAACTCCACTTTACCCTTTATTTCCTCCTTGTACAGAGCACCAAGGCCAGTCCAAGAAGAAAGCTTACAATCTTCTCAGGTCTTTCCTAAGTATGCACCCCATCCTACATATGTACATGGCCTTCTAGATTTCCAGGAATATGATGGAAATAATCAAAGCCCCTTGGACATCTCATTTCCCAGATTTTCCCTTTAAGCTTTTTATTTAATCTCTTGTTTTCCTCAACTGTTATCCACTGCCTCAGGCAATTCGGTTGCCTTTAATTGTTTCCAATAAATATTTTCATGGAAAAGGATTTTTGCACCGGGCAAGTTCCCAATCAGGTCAAATGAGAACTACTTTGCAAATTGGGTATTCCAGGAAACCACCAGACAGGTAAAATAATGACAATTCTCTGATCACAAGATTTTGGAAAAGCCCCAGCTCTGTTCTGCTCCCTCCAGGCTGCTGATTTTCACCATGATTACAGCTTGTTGGTTCTCAAGTCTACTGCAGAACCCGAGAGGACAGAATGGGAATTGTACAAGTTAAAATGTCACAAAACTGTTCTTATTGAGATTGCACCATTTTTCTTTAGTAAATGTTCTCTGGATTGCTGCAAGACTTTGGTTAATTTCCAGAGTTCTGAAAGAGTTGATTTTTTTTTCAATTTTTGTCACTTTTCTTGTTGCTTTTATGGAGAGGAGAGTTTTTGGAGGTTCTTACTTTGTTATTTTTGCCAATATTGACCCATCTATAGGAGTTTTTAAAAATTTAT
The DNA here is from genome assembly GCF_000001405.40 of Homo sapiens. Classification (NCBI taxonomy): domain Eukaryota; kingdom Metazoa; phylum Chordata; class Mammalia; order Primates; family Hominidae; genus Homo; species Homo sapiens. The sequence continues at coordinate 33,036,962 of NC_000006.12, forward strand.
ATCATCATTTTTTAGTTCTAGAATTTCTATTAATTCTTTTCTATACATTCTATTTCTTTAATAAAATTTTTCATTATGATTTCTATTATCTTTTTACATATTCATTATAGCTATTATAAAGTTTATCTCTAATCCAATAATTAAGTTATTCATTATTTTTCTCAGTGATGCACTTTTCTTCCAGAAGGAATTAGCCCTATCCTCTGTTAGGCATATAGAGTAGAAAATGATCCTTATTTTAATCTGGAATGGATCTGACTTGAAGCAGAGTTTAAGCTTTTTCTGGCTGTCATTGTCTACTGTTTCACTGACATCCTGATCCCTTAAATTTGGCAGCCCCAGATACCATTCTTTGTCTCTCCATGGCCATAAGTTGTTTGCTAGAATTATCAGTCTGTTGCTCTGCCCTAAAAATAAGATAATCTTTAGGAGTAAAGCAACTGGAGAATGTTGGCTCCTCTCTTGTTATCTTCTTTTCATGATCTTGTCTTCTCAAGCTGTCATCACCTTGAGAGTTTTATGATTCCCTCAAGCGTATATTTTTTGTAGTTTTTTTTCCTTTGAGAGGGGGTCTTGCTCTGTCACCCAGGCTGGAGTGCGGTGGTGTGATCATAGCTCACTGCAGACTCAGCTTCCTGAGCTCCAGTATTCAAGCAATCCTCCTGCCTCAGATTCCCAAGTAGCTAGGACTATAGGCATGGGCCACCATGCCCAGTTGATTTTTTATTTTTATAGAGTCTGGGTCTTGCTATGTTGCCCAAGCTGGTCTTAAGACTCCTAGGCTCAAGTGATCCTCCTGCCTTGGCCTCCTGAAGTGCTGGGATTACAGGTATGAGCCACTGTGCCTGGCCTATTTTTTGTGTTTTATCTGGCTTTACTCATTATTATTGGAAGGAACATTAATATTGTACAAGCTATTCCATCATAGCCAAAAAGAGGAAGGCAATCTACGGTATTGTTTTTTATTGACAACTGGGGATAGAATTGGAAACTCAGGTCTTTCTACTAGTCTCTTCCTTCATAATCTCTTATTTCAGAAGTGGAAGTTGATATTGGACATCTTCCAGTAGCCAAGTGTATATATTGCATTAATATAGTATGGATCTGGGAGATAACCGAATGATGTGTTATGACTACCATAATCTACCACTTTGACCAGCAAACCATAGTCACTCCTTGTTGGGAGAATACAATGGATCAAACATACATTATGTCTGGGACTAGAAGAAAAATAATTTTATTCCTCTTCAGTTACTATACGGTAATCATTAATCTTAGATACTCCTAGAATTAATGACACTCATTAACCAGTTTATCATTGATGTCATTGTTGTCATAGTAAATTAGAAATGAGGGATTATCTTCATCAATGTCAGTATTTCAAGTAATACCAGCAAGAAATTAATAATAACCTGTATAGATGTGCTTGGGCAGATTCATTTGAGGCTGGGGAGAGAGAATAGCCAAGTACATCAAGTACATGGTCTGGTAAAAGTAAGGCGTCCAGTATGGCTAAAGTGTAGTGTACAATAGCGTGACAGAGAGTAAATGACTAGAATAATGAGTTGATGCCTTTTATTTACTACTTCTCTGCCTCTCACTGGGTAGAGAGGAGGTAAACAATATCAAATGTTGGCAAGTAACAATATCTTATTATGGCTTTACATTGAAGAATCAAGGCCTATAGTGATTAGTAAGCACATAAAACACAATATTGAGAGTTCTAAGATCATTAGTATAAGAATCAGTCATCCTTAGTTTAAACCTATCTATGTCCCTGATTAAGCCCGTGTAATAATTTAACTATGCATGGAGTGAATGTAAAGCCATAAATACATTTTCTACCTTGTGTATCCCCAACTTAACTTTCCCTTATTTGAATCTCTGAAATATCTATGGTCACTCTATTGCCGCCTAACAAGGGGCAAAATGTATGATGGATGAGAAGTCAGAATGAAGAAATACAACAGTCTTAACAATTTGCTGTTAAATTATCTTACTTTTTGCAGATTGTACAAAAATATATGATGTTAAAAGGCTCCTGCAAGAAGGGGTCCCGAATATTAAGTCTTTTTAGATTAAAGGTAAGTCAGCCTCTGTATAAGGACAATTTCATTCCTATACTTGCTCTTATTTTCTTTCCTTTTTCTCTGGATTTGGCTCTCTCCTATCTTCTTTTTCTTGTCACTCTATTTATTCATCTTTTTTTTGCCTATTTACCAACTGGTTGTAATTTAGAAATGAAAAATATGTATCTTAATATTTTGATGTATTCATTTACGTAATAATGTAAGTTCTGAAGATTTGGAATGTATAAGTGAAAATGTCATTATGCTTTGTTTCTGTAAAATAAAAACTAAACTACATGTTTGGGTTGGGGGCTTTGGTTTTTGTTTTTAGTTCTAAAATTTTTTGATACATTATATTTGAACATATTCATGGGTTATATGTGATATTTTGTTACATGCATGCAATGTAATGATGAAGTCAGGGTGTTTAGGGTATCTATCACCCACAATTTATCATTTTTATGCATTGAGTACATTTCAAGTCCTCTCTTCTAGTTTTTTTGAAAAATACTACACATTGTTGTTAACTATAGTCACCCTACTCTGCTATCAAACACTGGAATTTATTCTTTATATTAGTATAGGTTCATAACCATTAACCAACATCTCTGTATCTCCGTCCACTTCCTAGTCTCTGGTATCTATCATTCTACTCTCTACCCTGATGTGATCAACTTTTTAAACTCCCACATACGAGTGAGAACATGTGATATTTGTTTTTTTGTGCCTGGCTTATTTCACTTAACATTATGACGTCCACTTCCATCCATGTTACTGCAAATGACATGATTTCATCTTTTTAAATGGCTGAATACTTTCATTGTCTATATATACTACATTTTCTTTATCCATTCATCCATTCATGGACCCTTAGGTTGATTCCATATCTTGGCTCTTGTGAATAGTGCTGCAATAAAGAATGTGTGTATCCCTTTGATACATTACTTTCTTTTCCATTTGGATAAATACTAATTAGTGAGATTGCTTGATTGTGTAGTAGTTCTATTTTTAGTTTTTTGAGAAATCTCCATATTATTTTCCATAGTGGCTGTACTTACTTACATTCCAAGCAATGGTGAATAAGAGTTCCCTTTTCTCCATATCCTTGCCAACACCTGTGGTTTTTTTGTTTTGTTTGTTTGTTTGTTTTGTCTTTTTCATAGTAGCCATCCCAACTGGGGTAAAATGATATCTCATTGTGGTTGTTTGTTTTGCTTTTGTAGTGATGGGATCTCACTACTTTGCTTAGGCTGGTCTCAAACTCCTGGCTCAAGCGATCCTCCCACCTTGGCCTCTGAAAGTGTCGGCATTACAGTCATGAGCCACTGTGGCCTGACTTCATTGTGGTTTTGATTTGCATTTCCCTGATGATTAGTAATGTTGAGCATTCTTTCATGTACCTGTTGACCATTTATATGTCTTCTTTTCTTTCTCTTGCTCTCTCTCATTTTTCTTTTCTCAATGAAGAGAACAAATGCCTGTCTTCTTTTGGGAAATGTCTGTTCATGTTCTTTGCTCATTTTAAAAATGGGGTTATTAATTAATTAATTAATTAATTTAATTATTTATTTTTGAGACTAGATCTTGCCCAGGTTAGTGTGCAGTGGTCCCATAGTTCACTGCAGCATCAAATTCCTGGGTTCAAGCTATCCTTTTGCCTCAGTCCTTCAGCTGGGACTACAGGCTCATGTCACCATACCAGGCTATTTGGTTCTTTTTAATTTTAGTAAGAGACTGAAGTCTAGCTATGCTTCCTGGGCTGATCTTGAACTCCTGGACTCAAGAGATCCTCCTGCTGTAGGCCCCCAAAGTGCTGACATTACAGGCATTAGCCACCACACCTGGCCAGGATTATTTATTTTTTTACTATGAAGATGTTTGATTTCCTTGTATATTCTGGATATTCATCCCCTGTTGGATGAGTAGCTTGCATATATTTTCTCCCATTTAAGAGGTTTTCTCTTCACCCTGTAGATTGTTTCTTTTGCTGTGCAGAAGCTTTTTAGTTTAATATAGTTCCATTTGTCCATTTTTGGTTTTGTTACTGGTGCTTTTGAGATCTTAGTCATAAAATCTTTGCCTAGACCTATTTCCTGAAGAACTTTTTCTATGTTTTCTTCTAGCAGATTTATAGTTTCAGGTATTACATTTAAGTCTTTAATCTATCTTGAGTTGATTTTTGTATATGGTGAGAAGTAGGGGTCCAGTTTCATTCTTCTGCATATGGTTATCCAGTGTTCCCAGCACCATTTATAGAAAAGGATGTCATATCCCCAATGAATATTCTTCATAGCTTCATTGAATGTAAGTCAGCTATAAATATGTGGATTTATTTCTGGGTTTTCTATTCTGTTCTATTCTTTTTTAAAAAAAATTTATTTCTATAGGTTATTGGGAAACAGGTGGTGTTTGGTTACATGAGTGAGTTCTTTAGTGAAGATTTTTGAGACTTTGGTGCACCCATCACCCAAGCAGTATACACTGCAACCAATTTGTAATCTTTTATCCGTCACCCCCTTCCCACCCTTTCCTGCAGAGTCCCCAAAGTCCATTGTGCCATGCTTATGCCTTTGCATCCTCATAGCTTAGTTCCCACTTATGAGTGAGAACATACAATGCCTGGTTTTCCCTTCCTGAGTTACTGCACTTAGAATAATAGTCTCCAATCTCAAACAGGTCACTGCAAATGCCATTAAATCATTCCTTTTTATGGCTGAGTAGTATTCCATCATATATATATATTCCATCATATATATATATATATTCCATCATATATATATATATATTCCATCATATATATATATTCCATCATATATATATATATTCCATCATATATATATATATATTCCATCATATATATATATTCCATCATATATATATATATTCCATCATATATATATATATTCCATCATATATATATATATATATATTCCATCATATATATATATATATATTCCATCATATATATATATATATATATATATATATATATATATATATATATCAAAGTTTCTTTATCCACTCATTGGGTTACTTCCACATTTTTGCAATTGTGAATCGTGCTGCTATAAATATGTGTATGCAAGTATCTTTTTTGTATAATGACTTCTTTTCCTCTGGGTAGATACCCAGTAGTGGGATTGCTGGATCAAATGGTAGTTCTACTTTTAGGACTCTTTAAGGAAACTCCACACTGTTTTCCATAGTGGTTGTACCAGTTTACATTCCCACCAGCAGTGGAAAATTGTTCTCTGTTCACCACATCCTTGCCAACATCTATTATTTTTTGATTTTTTGATTAAGGCCATTCTTTCAGGAGTGAAATGGTATTGCATTGTGGTTTTGATTTGCATTTTCCTGATTATTAGTGATGCTGAGCAATTTTTCTTATGTTTGTTGGCCATTTGTATGTCTTTTTTTGAGAATTGTCTATTCATGCCCTTAACTCATATTTTATGGGATTGTTTGTTTTTTACTTACTAATTTGTTTGGGTTCATTGTAGATTCTGGATATTAGTCCTTTGTCATATGTATAGATTGTGAAGATTTTCTCCCACTCTGTGGGTTATCTGTTTACTCTGCTGACTGTTCCTTTTGCCGTGCAAAAGCTCTTTAGTTTAATTAAGGTCTCAGCTATTTATCTTTGTTCTTATTGCATTTACTTTTGGGTTCTTGGTCATTAAATCCTTGCCTAAGCCAATGTCTAGAAGGGTTTTTCCGATGTTATCTTCTAAAATTCTTATAGTTTCAGGTCTTAGATTTATGTCCCTGATCTACCTTGAGTTGATTTTTGTGTAGAGTGAGAGACATGGATCCAGTTTTATTCTCCTACATGTGGCTTGCCAATTATCCCAGCTCAATTTGTTAAATAGGGTGTTTTTTTACCACTTTATGTTTTTGTTTGCTTTGTCAAAGATCAGTTGGCTGTAAGTATTTGGGTTTATTTCTGGGTTCTCTATTCTGTTTTATTGGTCTATGTGCCTACATTTATACCAGTACCATGCTGTCTTGGTGACTATGGCCTTATATTATATTTTGAAATCAGGTAATGTGATGCCTCCAGATCTGTTCTTTTTGGTTAGTCTTGCTTTGGCTATGTGGGCTCTTTTTTGGTTCCATATGAAATTTAGAATTGTTTTTTCTAGTTCTGTGAAGAATGATGGTGGTATTTTGATGGGAATTGCATTGAATTTGTGACTGCCTTTTGCAGTATAGTCCTTTTCACAATATTGATTCTACCCATCCATGAGCATGGGATGTGTTTCCATTTGTTTGTGTCATCTATGATTTCTTTCAGCAGTGTTTTGTAGTATTCCTGGTAGAGATTTTTAGCCTCCTTGGTTAAGTATATTCCAAGCATTTTTTAAATTTATTTTCGGGAAACTATTGTAAAAGGGATTGAGTTCTTGATTTGATTCTCAGCTTGGTCATTGGTGTATAGTAGTGCTACTTATTTGTATACATTTATTTTGTAACCTGAAAATTTGCTGAATTCATTTTTCGGATCTAGGAGCTTTTTGGATGAGTCTTTAGGGTTTTTGAAGTATATGATCATATCATTAGTGAACAGTGATGGTTTGACTTTCTCTTTACCTATTTGTATGTCCTTTATTTCTTTCTCTTGTCTGATTATTCTGGCTAGGACTTCCAATCCTATGTTTTGTCTTTTTTTTTTTTAATTTGTAACTTCCCTTTTCTTTTTCTTTTTTTATTTTTATTATTATTATACTTTAAGTTTTAGGGTACATGTGCACAATGTGCAGGTTAGTTACATATGTATACATGTGCCATGCTGGTGTGCTGTACCCATTAACTTGTCATTTAGCATTAGGTATATCTCCTAATGCTAACCCTCCCCCCTCCCCCCACCCCACAACAGTCCCCAGAGTGTGATGTTCCCCTTCCTGTGTCCATGTGTTCTCATTGTCCAATTCCCACCTATGAGTGAGAACATGCGGTGTTTGGTTTTTTGTCCTTGCGATAGTTTACTGAGAATGATGATTTCCAATTTCATCCATGTCCCTACAAAGGACATGAACTCATCATTTTTTATGGCTGCATAGTATTCCATGGTGTATATGTGCCACATTTTCTTAATCCAGTCTATCATTGTTGGACATTTGGATTGGTTCCAAGTCTTTGCTATTGTGAATAGTGCCGCAATAAATATACGTGTGCATGTGTCTTTATAGCAGCATGATTTATAGTCCTTTGGGTATATACCCAGTAATGGGATGGCTGGGTCAAATGGTATTTCTAGTTCTAGATCCCTGAGGAATTGCCACACTGACTTCCACAATGGTTGAACTAGTTTACAGTCCCACCAACAGTGTAAAAGTGTTCCTATTTCTCCACATCCTCTCCAGCACCTGTTGTTTCCTGACTTTTTAATGATCGCCATTCTAACTGGTGTGAGATGGTATCTCATTGTGGTTTTGATTTGCATTTCTCTGATGGCCAGTGATGGTGACCATTTTTTCATGTGTTTTTTGGCTGCATAAATGTCTTCTTTTGAGAAGGGGTGAAAGTCAGCATTCTTGTCTCCTTCCAGTTCTCAAGGGGAATGCTTTCAACTTCTCCCTGTTCAGTATAATTCTTTCTGTGGGTTTGTCATAGATGGCTTTCATTAAGTTGATGTATGTCCCTTCTATGCCAATTTTGCTCAGGGTTTTAATTATAAAGCGATGGTAAATTTTGTCAAATGTTTTTTCTGTGTCTTTTGAGTTGATGATGTGATTTTTGTATTTAACTGTGTTTATGTGATGTATCACATTTATTGACTTGCATATGTTAAACCATCCCTGCATCCCTGGTATGAAACCCACTTGATCATGGCGTATTATCTTTTTGACATGCTGTTGGATTCAGTTAGCTAGTGTTTTGTTGAGGATTTTTGCACCTATGTTCATCAGGGATATTGGTATGTGGTTTTCCTTTTTTTCTGCCTATTCCCAGTTTTAGTGTTAGGGTGATACTGGCTTCATAGAATGAATTAGGGAAAATTCTCTCTTTCTCTATCTTTTTGAATAGTTTCAGTAAGATTGATACCAATTCTTCTTTGACTGTCTGATAGAATTCAGCTGTGAATACATCTGGTCCTGGACTTTTTCTTTTGGGCAGTTTTTAAATTATTATTTTAATCTCACTACTTGCTATTGGCCTGTTCAGAGTTTCTATTTCTTCCTGATTTAATCTAGGAGGGTTGTATATTTCCAAGAATTTGCCCATCTCCTCTAGACTTTCTAGTTTGTCTGCATAAAGGTGTTCATAGTAGCCTTCAATGATCTTTTGTATTTCTGTGGTATCGGTTGCAATATCTCCTGTCTCATTTCTAATTGAGCTTATTTGGATCTTCTCTCTTCTTTTCTTGGTTAATCTTGCTAATGGTCTGTCAATTTTGTTTATTTGTTCAAAGAACCAGCTTTTCATTTCATTTATCTTTTGTATTCTTGGTTTCAATTTCATTTATTTCTGCTCTGAAATTTATTTCAATTTCATTTATTTCTTTGCTATTTATTTTATTCTGATGGGTTTGGGTTTGGTTTGTTCTTGTTTCTCTGGTTCCTTGAAGGGTGACCTTAGATTGTCTATGTTGACTTTTTGATGTCTAGATTGACTTTTTGATGTAGGCATTTAATGCTATGAACTTTCCTCTTAGCACCACTTTTGCTGTCTCCCAGAGTTTTTGTTTTTGTTTTGTTTTGTTTTTTTGAGAGTTTCGCTCTTGTTGCCCAGGCTGGAGTACAGTGGCACAATCTTGGCTCACTGCAACCACCACCTCCTGGGTTCAAGCAATTCTCCTGCCTCAGCCTCCCGAGTAGCTGGGATTATAGGCACACACCACCACACCCGGCTGATTTTTGTATTTTTAGTAGAGATGGGGTTTCATCATGTTGGCCAGGCTGGTCTCGAACTCCCGACCTCAGGTAATCCACCCACCTCGGCCTCCCAAAGTGCCAGGATTACAGGTGTGAGCCACCGTGCCCGGCCTTCCTAGAGTTTCTGATAAATTGTGTCACTATTATGGTTCAGTTCAAAGATTTTTAAAATTTCCATCTTGATTTCATTGTTGACCTAAAGATCATTCGGGAGCAGATTATTTAATTTCCATGTATTTGTATAGTTCTGAGAATTCATTTTGGATTCAATTTCCAGTTTTATTCCACTGTAGTCTGAGAGGGTACATCATATAATTTTGATTTTCTTAAACTTATTGAGACTTGTTTTGTGGCCTACCATAACGTCTGTCTTGGAGGATGTTCCACATGCTGATGAAAATAATGTATATTCTGCTGTTGTTGAGTAGAATGTTCTGTAAATATCTGTTAAGTCCATTTGTTCTACAGTGATATGGTTTGGATCTGTGTCCCCACCCAAACCTCACCTTGTAGCTCCCATAATTCCCACGTGTTGTGGGAGGCACCCTGTGGGAGATTACTGAATTATGGGGGTGGGTCTTTCCAGTGCTGTTCTTGTGACAGTGAATGGGTCTCAGTTGATCTGATAGTTCTGAAAACGGAGTTGCCCTCACAAGCTCTCTCTTTGCCTGCCACCATCCAAGGAAGATGAGACTTGCTCCTCCTTGCCTTCCACCATGATTGTCAGGCTTCCCCAGCCATGTGGAACTGTAAGTCCAATTAAACCTTTATCTTTTGTAAATTGCCCAGTCTCAGTTATGTCTTTATCGGCAGTGTGAAAACAGAATAATACAGTAAATTGGTACCGGTAGAGTGGGGCACCACAGAAAAGATACCCAAAAATGTGGAAGTGACTTTGGAACTAGGTAACAGGCAGAGGTTGCAAGAGTTTGGAGGGCTCAGAAGAAGACAGGAAAATGTGGGAAAATGTGGAACTTTCTAGAGACTTGTTGAATAATGATATGGACAATGAAATCCAGGCTGAGATGGTTTCAGATGGAGATGAGGAACTTGTTGGGAACTGAAGCAAAGGTGACTCTTGTTATGTTTTAGCAAAGACACTGGTGGCATTTTGCCCCTGCCCTAGAGATTTGTGGGACTTTGAACTTGAGAGAGATGATTTAGGGTATCTGGCAGAAGAAATTTCTAAGCAGCAAAGCATTCAAGAGGTGACTGGAGTGCTGTTAAAAGCATTCAGTTTTAAAAGGGAAACAGCATAAAAGTTTGAAAAATTTGCAGCCTGACAATGCGATAGAAAATAAAATCCCATTTTCTGAGGAGAAATTCAAGCCAGCTGCAGAAATTTGCATAAGTAACAAAGAGCCAAATGTTAGTGCCCAAAACAAGTCCCTTCCGCTGCTTCCTCTACCCCTGTGTTTCCCTCAGCTTCTAAATGGACTCAGCTCCAGTTCAGGTCAGAATCTTCTCCCATGATCTACACCTTCAGGTTCCCCAGTGAGGTATGCATTCAAGGGTGGAAGATCCCCCTTTCCCACCTCCACAGTTTGGGCACTCACAGTATTTGGGATGTCTCCCAGGTCCTGCAGGAGCAATCTGCTCCCTTCAGAGGGTCTGTGGGTTCTCTCAGCTTTCCCAGTCATTCCTGCAATAGGTCTGGAGCAAAAGTTCATGATGCAAGACTCCACAAGCTGCTCTGTCCATCCAAGTTGGAGGGGCAATGTATAATGCCTCCCATCCACCATGATTCTGTCCCCTATTCTGTTGTATTCTATTGGTCTATGTGTCTGTTTTTTATACCAGTACTCTACTCTTTTGGTTACTACAGCCTTGTAAAATGTTTTGAACTCAGGTATTGTGATACTTCCAGCTTTGTTCTTTTTGCTCAGGATGGCTTTGCCTATTCAGGATCTTTTATGGTTCTATACAAATTTTAGGATTGTTTTTTATATTTTTGTGGAAAGTGACATTGGTATCTTGATAGGGATCACATTAAATCTGTAGATTGCTTTGGGCCATATGGTCATTTTAATGATATTAATTCTTCTGATCCATTAGCATGGAATTTCTTTCCATTTGTTTGTGTCCACTTCAATTTCTTTCATCAGTGTTTTGTAGTTTGCCTTGTAGGGATCTTTCATCTCTTTGGTAAAATTTATTCCAAGTATTTTATCATATTTTTTGTAGCTATCATAAATGGAATTCTCTTCTTCATTTCTTTTTCAGCTATTTCATTGTTGGTGAATAGAAATGCTACTTATTTCTGCATATTAATTTTGTATCCTGCCAAGTCTACTGAATTGGCTTATCAGTTCTAAGAGTGTTCTGGTGGAGTGTTTGGTTTTTCTAACTATAAGATTATTTTGGAACTTGCTTTATGAGCTCTTGCCAGGAAGATGGCAGATAGGAGACAGGGCTGATGTGCAGCCCCCCTTGGATAGATAGAATAGTACTATGTTGAGTAGGAGGGGTGAACATGTGTATACTTGTCTTTTCCCAGTTCCTAAAGAAAAAGCTTTCAACTTTTCACCATTCTGTATGATGTTAGCTGTGGGTTTTGTCACATAGAGCCTTTATTATATTAAGGCATGATCCTTTTATGCCTAGTTTGTTGAGAGTTTTTATTACGAAAAGGTGTTGAATTTTATCAAATGCTTCTTCTGCATTTATTGAGATAGTCATATGGATTTTGGCCTTCATCATGTTGATGTGATGTATCACATTCATTGATTTGTGTATGTTGAAATATCCTTGCATCCTTGCTGTAAATCCTACTTGATCACATTATATTATTGTTTTGATCTACTGTTGGATTCGGTTTGCTCCTATTTTGGTAAGTATTTTTCCATCTGTATGTATCAGGATATTCACCTGTAGTTTTCTTTCTTGGAGCATCCTTGTCTGGGTTTGCCATTAGGGTAATGCTAGCCTCACAGAATGAGTTTGGGAGAATTCCCTCTTCTTCAACTTTTTGGACCAGTTGGAGGAAAATCGGTGGTGGTTCTCTGAAAGTTTGGTGGAATTCATCAGTGAAACTATATGCTCTTGGATTTTTCTTTTTTGGGAGATTTTTTATTACTGATTCCATTTCAGTACTCAGTATTAGTCTGTCCAGATTTTCTTTCTTCCTGATTCAATCTTGGTAAGTTGTATGTTTCCAGAAATTTATCCATTTCCTCTTGTTTCTCCAGTTTGTTACCATATATTTGTTCATAATGGTTTCTGATTATCTTTTGTATTTATGTGGGATCTGTTGTAATAGCTTCTTTTTCATTTATGATATGGTTTACTTGGGTATTCTCTTTTCTTTTCTTGGTTAGTCTAGTGTGGGGGTTCAGTCAGGATGGTGGGAGAAATTGTAAAATTATAGGATATAGACACAAACCTTCTTGGAAGGCCGGAAGGTATTTGCAAAAGTCTCAAGATAGGGTTATGGCTGAAAGCAGCGTAATCCTTACCTTGAGTTAATTGCTTGGGGCACAGATACAAAGGAACATTTATCTAAATAGCTTGTTTACTCATGTGGTCGTAAGACCAACATTTGTTCAACTGCAGATGCATAATTGCTCTCTACTTGGGGGGGTCGGCAAACAGGTCAATTGCCCTCTAGTGGTGTGAACAAATGCGAGCTTTGCTGGTTGATCAGGGCCATAGATGCAACTCTTTACAGCACCTTCCTTGGTGTCTGTGTGTGGCCTGGACCCTCAGCTGAACTGACAAGCAAGATATCTGTGTCAGTGTACACCTCTCATCCATTACTGGGTCAGGGTCTGTAGGTCAGACTACCACAGCTGGTGCCCCGCGTGAGGAATGCTGCAAGGGGAGATTGATGAACCCCCTGAAAATGAAGGTGAAAAAGGAACTGCGCAGTCAGTGAGTAATCAGTAAGTCATTGGTACTTGCTTGGGATTTCCAAGTTCGGGGCGGGGGATTGTTCAGGCTAAGGTTTCATCATGGGACAACAGTTATCAGCTCAACAGAAACAGTATATAAAAGTATTGAAATGGCTGCTTAAAGCTAGCAGAGCCTCAGTTTCACAGGTTTAATTAAGGAACCTAATGCAAACTGTTGTATCCCATAACCCATGGTTCCCCCAAGAAGGCATGCTAGACCTAGAGCTCTGGGAACGAGTGGGAAAAAATCTTAAGCAACATCATGTTCAAGGGTAACGGGTCCCAGTATCATCTTTAATGCTATGGGCCTTAGTAAGGGCGGCTTTGGTCCCATTATACACAGAAGAGCCTAAAAAGGGGAAGGACAAGGCACCATCATGTATTTTACCACCCGCAAGTTCCTCAGCCCTGATATCACCAGGCCAAAATAACAAAGAGGAAATGGAGGTTTTGCCTGAGCCCCCTCCTCCAATAGATAGGAAAAAAGACAGGAGACATGCTCCAGCTGTGGGACCTTGTCTTAAGCAAGTGGCATTAGAAGGGGAGCTCTTAGCCTGCCTGGTAATGCAAGACCGACAAGGCAATCAGGTACATGAACCCATTTCTTTTAATGCTTATAAGGAGCTAAGAAAAAGCATTAAAGAAAACAGAGCTGCTAGCCCATTTATGAAAGGAATGATTGAGGCCTTGGCAGACCACTTTTCTATGACCCCATGGGACTGGGCAATGCTAACTAAAACAACTTTGGAGCCTAGCCAATACCTCCTCTGGAAGGCAGAATATGATGAGCTGTGTGAACAACAAGCTAACCAGAATCAGGTGACCGGGCAAGACCTAACAGCTGCTATGCTCCAGGGGAAGGATCCCCATGCCTATGTACAACAACTAGATTTTGATTCCCCAGGCCTAAAATCAAGTGTCTTTGTGTGCTCTCAGGGCTTGGGACTGAATTCCTGAAAGTGGAGTTTAGCAGGGATCTTTTATAAATGTTCAACAAGGGCCTCAGGAGCCATTTGTTGAGTTTTTCAATTGGTTAACCCAGGCAATTAAGAGACAAATTAGTCACGCCCAGGCTGCTGATATCTTATTGTTGCAATTGGCTTTTGAAAACTCTCATGTGGATCACCAGCAGGCAATGCAGGCAATCAGAGGAAAGGCAGCCACAGTCGGGGAACTTATATGAGCATGTCAGCTGGTGGGAACTGAGACACACAAGCCAAAATATTGGTTATGGCATTAAGGCCTCCTAAAGTGAAAAGGGAGAGAAGCCAAAGTTGTTTTCTATGTGGAGAGCCAGATCATATGAAGAGGGAATGCCCCCATAATAGAGACGAAGGTAACTCAGGGAAAGAACCCCCTTCTATATGCCCCGGATGTAAAACGGTGAAACATTGGGCAAATCAATGCAGGTCAAAATTTGATAAAAACAGAAACCCCATAAGTAACCAGGTGGGAAACTTCATGACGGGCTGGCCCTAGGCCCTGCTTCAAACTGGGGCAATCCCAGCAGCTTTCCTCGGTCTGATGGAGAGCTCACAGTCCTCTCTCTCAGAGCAGCCACCACTGGGAGTGCAGGACTGGACTTACTCTGCCCCAACAAATCAGTGCTGAAAGAAGGAGAAGACCCTAAAAGGGCTGCATACGGGATCTGGGGCCAGCTGCCTCCAGAAGCAGTGGGATTAGTCCTAGGGCGGTCTAGCCTGTCCAGTAAAGGAATTAATGTGCTCACTGGGGTAATTGGTAGTGATTACCAAGGTGAGATATTGGTTATGATGGAATGTAAAGGTCTGAATATTCTTCCCCCTGGATCAAAGATAGCTCAGTTACTGATTTTGCCATACTGGGTCCCCAGTGCCCACGGAAAGGAAAGGGGAAAGGAAGTTTTGGGAGCACAGGAGCCACAGGAGTATATGGGAATCAATTAATCACTGATCAGAGACCCATGATTATCTTAAAAATTGGAAATAATAATTTTACTGGCTTATTGGACACAGGGGTGGACGTTTCAATCATTAGTGATCAAAACTGGCTAGAAATTTGGCCTTGGGTCACTCAGAAATAAAAAATTGTCTGCATCAGGGAAGCACACAGAGCCAAGCAGAGCATGCACTCCCTAACCTGTTGCAATTCAGAAGGAAGAAAGGCAGTTATACAACCCGTAAGCATGCGCATCCCTGTTAATCTTTGGGGACAGGATTTATTAGCCCAATGCGGGAGGGGTGACTCTCAGCCCCCTTTATAACAATGGCCACTGTTATTATTCCTCCCCTACCCCCGTCGTAGCTCTCTCAAGATCCAATTTGAGTAGAACAGTGGCCTCTGAAGGGAGAGAAATTACAAAAAGCCTGTGAATTAGTTGAAGAGCAATTAAAAGCTGGGCATGTAGAACCATCTATTAGTCCTTGGAATTTGCCCATTTTCATCATTCCCAAAAAGTCTGGGAAATGGAGATTTTGCATGACCTATGTGCTGTTAATGCTAATTTGCAACCTATGGGACCCCTTCAACAGGGCCTCCCATCCCCTGTGGCGATTCCTCGAGATTGGCCTATAATCATTATTGACTTAAAGGACTGCTTTTATATGATTCCCCTAGCAGAACAGGACAGAGAAAAATTTGCATTTACAATACCAGCTATCAATAATGAAAGGCCAGCTTGTTGATTTCATTGGAATGTGCTTCCTCAAGGGATGCTAAACAGTCCTACCAACTGTCAGTATCATGTAAATCAAGCTTTGCTCCCAGTAGAAAAGAATTTCCTAATTGCAAGATTATTTGTTTTATGAATATTTTACCAGCAACCCCAACAGAGCCAATACTTTTAAATTTATATACCTCTGTCATAAAGAATAAACAGCTAAGAGGTTTAATCATTGCACCTGAAAAAGTACAACTTTCTCTCCTTGGAAATATATCTTGGGTACATGCTAACTTCCTGGTCAGTAAGACCTCAAAATGTTAAATTAAATACTAGCAACTTACATTCCTTAAATGATTATCAGAAATTACTAGGTGATATCAACTGGCTCTGCCCCACTTTAGGCATTCCTACTTATAAGCTGCAAAACCTGTTTTCTATCTTAAAGGGCAATATAGCCCTGAATTCTCCCAGATATTTAACCCCTGCAGCAAAAAGGGAAATTGAGGAAATAGAACAAGCCATCTCTCAGAGGCAACTAGATCACATAGACACCCATTATTCCATCCAGTTGTTTATTTTCCCCACCAAACACTCCCCTTCAGGATTAATAGGACAGATGACCCCAAGACTGCACTTTCTAGAATGGATTTTTTTTTGCTCACATACCAGGACTAAAACACTCTTTCCCTATATTCAGTTAATTAGTAAAGTCATATATTCAGGCCTCAAACAATGCAGTCAGTTGCTAGGCTATGATCCTGATATCCTGAAATCATCAGGATTCCTTTAAGTAAAAAGCAATTAGAAGCAGTTTTGTCCCTATTGTTAGATCTGCAAATAGCTCTCTCTGATTACACAGGACAAATAGAGCATGTTCTTCCTGCTGATAAATTCCTTCATTTCTTATCTCATACTCCTGTGATCTTGCCTACAAAAATAGTTCATTCCTCCATACCTAATGCTTTAACATTGTTTACTGATGATTCAGGCAAACATGGAAAGGCAGCAGTCTGGTGGAGACCACATAATTCACTCACTCGATCTGGGTTTACTAGCATTCAGAGAGGTGAGATCGGGGCCCTGATATTGGCCTTGGAAACTTTTTCTACTCAGCCATCAATATAGTTAGTGATTCTGCCTACTTTATTTATTTATCGCAAAATCTTGAAGCAGCCGTAATTAAGTCCACTCTGGAGCCCGCCCTGTGTGCTCTTTTTCTCTGATTTCAGCAATTGCTAAATCAATGTACACATCCTACTTTTATTACACACATTCGAGCCCACAGCTCTCTGCCTGGCCCATTGGCTTATGGCAATGATCAAGCAGACCTTCAGGTGATGACATCACTGCTTGATCAAGCCACCCAATCGCATCAATTTTTCCACCAAAATTGGAGAAACTTATCTAAGCAATTTCAACTTACCCAGAGACTGGCTAAACAAATTATCCCACAATTCTCAAATTGCCAGCTAACAGGCATGTCTCCTCCTTCAAAAGCTGTTAACCCTAGAGGATTAGAACCTAATCAGTTATGGCAAACAGAAGTTACATCCCTGAATTTGGAAAACTAAGATATGTACATGTATCCATTGATACTAACACTCATCTAATTAGTGCACACGCTCTTCCTTGGAGAGTCCACTCAATATGTCATTAAACATCTTCTTTCAACTTTTGCATGTATGGGGCGGCCCATAAAAATTAAAACTGATAATGGTCCAGTTTATGCCAGCTCACAATTTCAACAATTTTGTCACACGTGGAATATCCAACGTTCCATAGGCATCCCGTATAACCCCCAAGGACAGGCCATAGTAGAACGTGCCCACTCCAGCCTTAAAAATACGCTCAAAAAACAGAAAAGGGGGAGTATGGGTAAAGACCCTGCAACACTATTGGCACAAGCCTTATTTACCCTTAATTTTTAAAATGTAGATGACAAATTTCAATCAACTATAGAGAAACACTTTTTGCTAAAACCTCTCAAGACATAAAACCTGCAGTTTTATGGAAAGATGTAAGCAGTAATGTATGGTGTGGTCCAAATGAATTGTTAACTTGGAGAAGAGGGTATGCTTGTGTCCACACCCTCTCAAGTCCTCTTTGGATTCCAGCACGATGCATCAAACCATACCATGACATGGCTAGGACCCAACCCGGTACCAGAAATGAAGGAACTAACCCTGCAGGACCCACGGTCCCGGATGATGCAGCTTCCGTGGATGACACAAACCCTAGACATTACTGGGGAATGCTGAAGAGGACAACTCGGGAGGCTGAATGAACCCTGCTCTGGACACAAACACCATTCACTCCAGATAATTTGCTCCTTGCTATGATTTCTGTTGTACATTGCAACTCATGTAGGGTATTGATCCTTTTTATGCTCGTGCTTTGTCTGCAACCTGTTCCTGCTACACTCTATTGGGCTCATATCTTAGATCCGCCTTTCTTTCACCCTGTCACCTAGGCAGACACTCCCTTCCCAACTTTTAATAACATAACTGCTTGGCTAGGAGGGATAGATTTACCCCCAGTGGGGTCCCTCGATAATGGCACACATTGGACTAAGGTGCCAGAAACACTGCATATCACTCCACTATCCTCCCACTGTGTGTAAGTTATAAAGATTATAACCCTTACTGTGTACCTGCCCAAACACAATTATGGCTACATCATGGCAAAAGAAATGCCTTTAAAGTCTTAGCTGCAGGTAGCTTCAAATCAGGTAATGCAATCAATGACTCTTTCCCAAACATTCCTTCCTGTGCTAAAGAACAAAGCTGGGAAAGTAATGGATTCCACTTTAGCTGGGAGGTCTGTCACGGGGAATAAGCTTGTAGCCTTCAGCTAGGCCATTATAATACCTTAGACTGGAGCCCCCACGGCCATTTTCAGGGCATCCTTACTGATGTCCTCATCCATCATGGTGTCAATCACAGTTTCGTAGCCTCATCACGTTCCCCTATGATTTGGGCCAATAGGGGGGATGGGTTATCCCATACCCCAAGTAAAGTCCATGCTACCCAAGACATTTTATGGTACCTGAGACATCTTAGCACCTCCTTTTCACCTGGCATGGACATATCATAATTCCAGTGGCAAATACACTATAACCTTTATTCATAATCACACTGATCAGTGCCTAATTTACACTACCCATACATATATTTTCCTTATGGGAACTGATATTTCCATTACACCCCAAAACTCCTCATTTGTGACCCAGGTGCAGAAACAGGCTTGGTTTGCCTCATGTATCACTAATTATAATACATCTAATTTAAATATTACTAGTGTCATGGTATTAAGGAGACAATCTGAGGCATTCCTACCCAGTCAATTTGACATGCGATTGGCAAAGTTCCTCTGCCCTTGCCACCTAAGAATGTGCCCTGTCCTAGGCCAGACCCAAAAGATACATAGGCACACTTACAGCCTTTATAGTCTCAGCCACAGTCATCCTAGCAACTGCTAGTGTGGCTGTAGCAGCTATTACTGAATCAGTACAAATAGGTGCTTTTGTAGATAATTTGGCCAGAAATGTGTCTAATGAACTTCTCTTACAGCAGGGTATAGAGCAAAAGATTCTTGCACGTCTGCAAGCCCTTGAGGCCCTTGAGGCTGCCCTGGAATATATGGGGGAGTAACAAGATGCACTGGTATTCTAACAGCAACTAAACTGCGACTGGGCGCATAAACATATCTGCGTCACTTCTCTATCATAGAATCAATCAATACATAGTTGGGATGAAGTGAAACAACACCTCTGGGGAACATTTCATGACAATTTAATAGCAGATGTAAAGCAACTTCAAACTAAAATTTTAGAATCCCTTCCCACTATAGATCTACACACCCAACAAACAGCCATATGGAAGGGTGTGCAAGATCATCACTCCTGGTTAGACCCCCGCTCCTGGGGTTCACTCTTTGACTGGAAAAGAATATTGCTAATTATTCTCATGATTGTCTTATGTTATTTGCTAATTCTAGGATGCAAAGCCGGAATGAAAGCGATGACTGCCTTGCCTGACAGACGTGTTGCTGCACACATCTGTACACTTCAGTCAACAGAAGAGCGTGTGCACTTATTAGATGAGTGTTGGTATCAATGGATACATGTACATATCTTAGTTTTCCAAATTCAGGGATGTAACTTCTGTTTGCCATAACTGATTAGGTTCTAATCCTCTAGGGTTAACACCTTTTGTGTTAGAACCTGTGAAGTAGAAGTAACTCAGAAGTGCTCCTCAGAGAGTAGACAGCTCTTTCTCTAACCGTTTCCAGCTCAGTAGAATTTAGAAAGGCTTCTAGGAGGCCAACCAGTCTTTTTGATCCAACATTGAATTGTAAAACCGGATATGGAAGCCAAATTTCACAGTGGATCTAACAAAGTAGCTAATGGGTACTATGCTTCTGAGAACCTGAACAGGCATCTGAGAGCTGTAACTAGAAGAAAAGTAAAGACTCCGGACTCCAGCACCAAGCAGGTTTTCCTTAGCAATTTACAACCTGAAGCTCCAAGGAAAAACTATTTTAGCATACACCAAAACTATTCCCATGTGCCAACAGGTAAGGAGACTTGTACTTATATTCTGTTTTATTCTTCTCTAACTCGTTTCTGTGCACTATTTCTATGTTTTCTCCTTAGTTTTACCTTGCCTGGGTTTGCCCATTTGTTATTCATATCTATTTATCAATCCCAAAATACTAAAAGGATCCAGGCAGGGCAGCTTTAATTGGTGGCTGCACAGAGTGCTACTTCCTGTGAGGCAGCAATTCTAACCCTAGTTGGCATACACTTCAGATTTTCTCAACAGCAGAAGATGTAACCTTCCCAAGAACCCACTTCAACCCTCAGTTCTCTCACTTCTATGTCCACGTGACACTCTGATACATTTTCCCACTATGAAAAGAACTGTTCTCTTGATAGCATGCCATACCTCTCCCTTCTCTGCAACTCACTCAGGACAATCTCAGTACCTTTATTACCTGGTCACAAGTGAGGATGCTTCACACTCAAATCTCATTGGCTGGAGGGAAAGTCATTAAGCAGAAGTGATAATTCTTGTCATCACAGCTTTCTCCAAACCTTCTCCATCGGCATTTTACTCTCACTCTTAGAGCTTAGCTTCAACCATCAAACAGACAGTTGAGTGTTCAACAGTCCCTTTATGGGACAGATTTTTTTAGTTGACTGTGTATTCTAACCCTGAGCAATGGGGCCCCTGGCTAAGAGAGAGAAGGGAAAGCAGAGAGGGAAGTGTTGCAATGCTACCTTTTCAGAGAGGAAATAGAGACAAATAGTTTTTATGGGTGTAATACACAGCCTCCACTGTCCCACAATAAGAGCAATTGAGCTTAAATACCAAAAAGGGCTTTTCTATGTGAGCTGAAAACAGAAAGAGAGAGCAAATGGGAGGATGGGCTGGAGTAATCTTGTTTGAAGTTCTCTCATCCTAAGGAAGAACCTTTTCTTCCTCTGTCATACACGAGTGCTTAGGGCTTACATAAGCCCCATCTGCACGCTGCTAGGAGCAGATCATCCTACTCAAGACAATAAAAAAGGAATCATCATGTACCTTACATATTTAGAGATACGTGCGTACACTTTTCTCATAAATAAAGCAACACACCCCTGCCTGACCTCCTAGGACCTCCATAGTTGAGGTATAGTTATTTGGAGTCAGAGATTCTTAAACCAATCCTGGTTCTGCTTTTTTCACTTCACCAAACCAAACTTGACCAGATTCTTTAATGGCTCCAAAATCACAACCCTTTGAACTATTTTACTCCTGTTTTCCATTTTCCTTTATACCTCTGTCCAGGTGGTACAGATTTTTCTTAAAAATCTATGTCTGAGTGTACAGAGCTTCAAGTAAAGTTCAAGAAGGGAATAGGAGATCTATCACCTTCCTTATTACAGAAATATTGCTGATATTAATGCAGGCTAATGTTATATTAAGTCCCTTGACAGGTATATCAAACTATTTGGTCTTATCCAGTTGGTGGTCAACCAGATAGTTATAAGTGAGATGGAGAGACAGGTCATTCTCTTCCCATAGCCCTCTCTTCCTTACCCTATTTACCCCAAAACGCTGAGGCAGGAAATAATGCATACTCCTTTGTGCACTGCTCCTCCATTTCCCATTTTTAAATGGAGACATACTTAAGGCATAATCTTCAGCCCTTTGCTCATCTCTCTACACTCATTCTCCTGCAGATCTCAGTCACCCTCATGGCATCAATCATGATGCCACAGAAAAACCCATTAGTGTATAGTCTCTGGCTTCATCTCAGTATATGTACTGGGCACATCCGTCTGGATGTTCCGTCATTACCTCAAACTCTGTCCTTAATTTTTTTGTTAGAAACATCTCTTCTCTACAAACCATGCTTTGTGTTCAGCATGCTCATCTGGCATCCAGTTTAAGAAGGATATCTTCTGGCCATGATTTGATTTTTGTATGAAAAAAATCTTTGTTGTAGAAATCAGCATACTATTTTTTTTTTATTATTATTATTTTATTGATCATTCTTGGGTGTTTCTCGCAGAGGGGGATTTGGCAGGGTCACAGGACAATAGTGGAGGGAAGGTCAGCAGATAAACAAGTGAACAAAGGTCTCTGGTTTTCCTAGGCAGAGGACCCTGCGGCCTTCCGCAGTGTTTGTGTCCCTGGGTACTTGAGATTAGGGAGTGGTGATGACTCTTAAGGAGCATGCTGCCTTCAAGCATCTGTTTAACAAAGCACATCTTGCACCACCCTTAATCCATTCAACCCTGAGTGGATACAGCACATGTTTCAGAGAGCACAGGGTTGGGGGTAAGGTCACCGATCAACAGGATCCCAAGGCAGAAGAATTTTTCTTAGTACAGAACAAAATGAAAAGTCTCCCATGTCTACCTCTTTCTACACAGACACGGCAACCATCCGATTTCTCAATCTTTTCCCCACCTTTCCCCCGTTTCTATTCTACAAAACCGCCATTGTCATCACGGCCCGTTCTCAATGAGCTGTTGGGTACACCTCCCAGACGGGGTGGTGGCGGGGCAGAGGGGCTCCTCACTTCCCAGTAGGCGCGGCCGGGCAGAGGCGCCCCTCACTTCCCGGATGGGGTGGCTGGCCGGGCGGGGGGCTGACCCCCCCACCTCCCTCCCGGACGGGGCGGCTGGCGGGGCAGGGGGCTGACCCCCCACCTCCCTCCCGGACGGGGCGGCTGGCTGGGCAGAGGGGCTCTTCACTTCCCAGTAGGGGCGGCCGGGCAGAGGCGCCCCTCACTTCCCGGATGGGGTGGCTGGCCGGGCGGGGGGCTGACCCCCCCACCTCCCTCCCGGATGGGGCGGCTGGCCGGGCGGGGGACTGACTCCCCCACCTCCCTCCCGGATGGGGCGGCTGGCCGGGCAGAGGGGCTCCTCACTTCCCAGTAGGGGCGGCCGGGCAGAGGCGCCCCTCACCTGCCGGACGGGGCGGCTGGCCGGGCGGGGGGCTGACCCCCCCACCTCCCTCCCGGAGGAGGTGACTGCCGGGCGGAGACGCTCCTCAATTCCCAGACAGGGTGGCTGCTGGGCGGAGGGGTTCCTCACTTCTCAGACGGGGCGGTTGCCAGGCAGAGGGTCTCCTCACTTCTCAGACGGGGCGGCCGGGCAGAGACGCTCCTCACATCCCGGACGGGGCGGCAGGGCAGAGGTGCTCCCCACATCTCAGACGATGGGCGGCCAGGCAGAGACGCTCCTCACTTCCCAGATGTGATGGCGGCCGGGAAGAGGCGCTCCTCACTTCCTAGATGGGATGGCGGCCGGGCAGAGACGCTCCTCACTTTCCAGACTGGGCAGCCAGGCAGAGGGGCTCCTCACATCCCAGACGATGGGCGGCCAGGCGGAGACGCTCTTCACTTCCCAGACGGGGTGGCGGCCGGGCAGAGGCTGCAGTCTCGGCACTTTGGGAGGCCAAGGCAGGCTGCTGGGAGGTGGAGGTTGTAGCGAGCCGAGATCACGCCACTGCACTCCAGCCTGGGCACCATTGAGCACTGAGTGAACGAGACTCTGTCTGCAATCCCGGCACCTCGGGAGGCCGAGGCTGGCGGATCACTCTCGGTTAGGAGCTGGAGACCAGCCCAGCCAATACAGCGAATCCCCATCTCCACCAAAAAAATACGAAAACCAGTCAGGTGTGGCGGCGCGCGCCTGCAATCGCAGGCACTCGGCAAGCTGAGGCAGGAGAATCAGGCAGGGAGGTTGCAGTGAGCCGTGATGGCAGCAGTATCGTCCAGCTTCGGCTCGGCATCAGAGGGAGACTGTGGAAAGAGAGGGAGAGGGAGACCGTGGGGAGAGGGAGAGGGAGAGGGAGAGGGAGACCGTGGGGAGAGGGAGAGGGAGAGACACTATTTTTTAAAATATGGAGAGAAGATATTCTGGTGGCTGAAAGTGTGGTCTGGTGTCAGATATAAATGTGCAAATGCCTTCTTGCTGTCCTGTCGGTCTCAGTACATTCACCTTGTAGCTGCTGGAAATATCGAAGGTTCCTTTTTTGTTTGTGTAAACTCTAATTTCTATCAAGGTGTCATGGACTTTTAAAATTAGTATTTCATTACAAATGTCTCAGCATTGGTCAATTTTTGCCAGGACCATTATTGATCAAGCAAATAAATTCAACAGCCATTAGGAAAAAAAAAGAAGGCCATCTTCTTTTTTCAATAAATGTATTATATAGTTAATAGTTTCATTTATATAGAATGCATAGAAACTGTTCACAGAATGTCCAGCATTTTGTATTTTTGCAGTAGGGAACATTTCTTCACTGAATTCCACTTTCACATTAGATAATTTAATAGTTTTATGGAGAAAGTAAAATGCCCGCCCCCCTCCCCCACCCAAAATTGAAAATTTCAGTTGTTGGTTTTCATGGACACACCTTATCAGGTAATTCCTTTTTATTCCTAGTTTTCTAGGACTTTTTATCATGAATGAGCAAATGCCTTTTTCTGCATCCATTTACATAATTACATAATTTTTCTTTGTATTCTGTTAAGATGTGGAATCACATTGATTTTTTGCATGTTAAACATGCCTTCCATTCCTGGCATAAACTTTTATGATCATGTTATATCATCCTTTTTAATATATTATTGAATTCAATTTTAAAAAATATTTTGTTAAACATTTTCATGGCTATGTTTGTGTGTCTTTAGTTTCCTTTTCTTTTAATGTCATTGTTTGATGTTAGTATATTGGACTTGTAAATTATTGGGATGTGTTTTCTTCTGCTCTTTTGTTGAAAGAGTTTGTATTGAGTTTGTATTGTTTCTTCCTTAAATGTATAATAGAATTAATCATACAGACATTAAAAGTATTATGACAGTATTATGACAGAATACTATGGATTAATCAATGAAGCCATCTGACCTGGAAACCATTTGGCCTTCTCTGTGAGAAGGATTTTTAAAATTACAAACTTAATTTCTTCCATTGACAGAGATTTCTTCTTGATTTAGTTTTGGTAATTTGAATCGTTCAAGAAATGTTTCTATTTCATGTTGTTAAAATAAAAATTTTAGAGAAGTTGAATTTAACAGAGTTTATTTAGCAAAGAACAATTCATGAATTGGGGAGCCCTCAGAACCCAGAAAGATTCAGAAAGCTCTGTCCAGCAACATGTGAAGGCAGTGTTTATAGATAAAAACAGGAAGTGATACTCAAAACCAGCCAATTTATTACAGCTCAGTGTTTGCCTTATATGGGCATGGCGTGATGAGGCATTTGCCTTATGGGGGACATAATATGATCACTTGGCAGCCTGTGATTGGCTGAGACTCAGCTATTTATTACAACACTCTTAAGTTAGGCTGTAGTTTGTTTGCATAACGCAGTTATGTTAAGTTGGGTTAGTTTGCTATGTAGGAATTTAAGATATGGAGAAAGCTTTACACCAAATTTAATTTAATTTAACAATGTAAATTGTCAAATTTATTGTCATTTTTGTTTATTGGCATTTTCATAGCATTCTGTCATAATACTTTTAATGTCTGTATGATTTGTTGTGACGTACCCACTTCCATTTCTGATATTGGGGATTTGAGTCTTATCTCTTTTTCTTGATCCATCTACCTAGAGATTCATGAATGTATTGAGCCTTATTGAAAACCAGCAATTGACTTTGTT
This sequence comes from Homo sapiens, assembly GCF_000001405.40. Lineage (NCBI taxonomy): Eukaryota > Metazoa > Chordata > Mammalia > Primates > Hominidae > Homo > Homo sapiens. The sequence goes on from NC_000006.12 coordinate 33,062,602, forward strand.
TATTTTCTTTATTGTTTGTCCATTTTATTGCATTTATTTCTGATCTTATTAATCTTGGGATTCATTTGACTTTTTTTTTCTAGCTTCTTAAGATGGGAACATAGATGGTTGATTTTAGAGTTTCCCTCCTTTCCAATTATGTAAAGTTATAAATTATTCTCTAATTAGTGTATCATACTAATTTTGATAGTGTGCTTTCATATTCACTCAGTTCAAAATATTTTCTAATTTTCCTTCTGACTCTTTTTAAATCCAGGTGCTGTTTAGCAGTATACTTTTTAATTTCTAGGTATTTGGGACTTTCAAGGTATTTTTCTGTTATTGGTTTCTAATTTAATGCTATTGTGGTCCGAGAATGTATTCTGTATGATTTCAATAGAGACATTTATTTATTTAGACATTTATTTATATGTGTTTATGACCCAGTGTATAGTCTGTCCTGTGGAATATTCTTGAGCATTTGAAAATAATGTGTATTCTGCCACTATTGGGTGGAATATTCTACAGATCTTGATTAGATCACGTTGGTTCATTGATAATGTTATTTAAATCTATCATGTCCTCATGAAGTTTTTTCCTAAATATTTTATTGTTTACTGAGTGCTAGAATACTAAAATATAATTGTGAATTTGTCTATTTCTGATTTATTTTTATCATTTTTGGTATAATGTGATTTAAGACATATTTTCTAAGAACAAACACATTTAGGATTGTTATATGTTGATAATAAAATGATCCTTTTATCATTATGAACTATCCTTCTTTCTCCTTGGTAATATTTCTGAGTCTTATATTTCTGATATTAACACAGCCACCAATACTTCCATGGTTGGCATTATTTTCGTTTTTTTTTTTTTTACTTTAAGTTCTGGGATACATGTGCAGAATGTGCAGGTTTGTTACATAGTTATACATGTGCCATGTGGTTTGCTGCATCTATCAACCCATCATCTAGGTTTTAAGCCATGCATACATTCGGTATGTGTCCTAATGCTCTCCCTCCCCTTGCTCCCCATGCCCTGACAGACCCTGGTGTGAGGTGTTCCCCTCCCTGTGTCCATGTGTTCTAATTGTTGAACTCCCACTTACGAGTGAGAACGTGTGGTGTTTGGTTTTCTGTTCCTGTGTTAGTTTGCTGTGAAGGATGGCTTCCAGCTTCATCCATGTCCCCACAAACAACATGAACTCATTTTTTTATGGCTGCATAGCATTCCACGGTATACATGTATTTTCCCATTCTTTTACTTTTTACCTGTCTTTGCCTTCATATTTAAAGAGGGCATTATGTAGAGAGCATGAAGTTGGCCTGTAGATTTTTTTGTGCATTCTGACAATCTTTCCCTTTTCATTAGAATATTTAGGCCATGTGCATTTAATTCAATTATTAGTATGGTTGTTTTAAACTCTACCATCTTACAGTTTGTTTTCTTTTTGTCTTACCAGACTTTCCCTTTTTTATTTCTTTATTTTGAATTAATTATGCTTAGTGTTCTATTTTATCTTCTCCATTGGCCTCTTGGCTATACCTCTTTTTTTTTCAATAGTTATCAGGAGCTTAAAATATTCATCTTAATACATTCTACCTTCAAATAATAACACACCACTTAACATGTATAAGAAACTTACAACATTATACTTCCATTTCTCCCTTCTATTCTTTGTGCCATTGTCATCATATTTTACTTCTGGGTATGTTATAAACCCCCAAATAATTTTTACTTTAAACAATTCCTTTTTTAACTTAAAAAAAACTAGAGAACATGTTTTTATATTTATCTGAATTTTTACCATTTCATGCTTTTTTCATCGTAATATCTAATGAACACTCATAAAGAAACAAAATCCTTGCTCAAATAAGATATTTTTCTTCATAATCATCACTATTCTCAAACCTTTGAAAGCTCTGGTAATCATGATTTAAGTTCTCCCACATGGAGTGACTATGGCTGGTAAAAATTGCAATGAATTAGGGCATTTTAAAAATTTTATTTCTTGGCTCTTAGTTTATCATGTAGAAAAATCCTCCATGAAATATTGCTATAATTACAATACAGCCTTGGGAAGGAAGCTCAGGGGCTGTGAATGGAATCCTAATCTGCCTGAAATCTTGATCCAGACAGACCAAATCTCTTCCCTCAGAGACTTCAAACACTGCAGTCTTCAAACTACATCCAAGAAAATCTTCATCCAAGTAAAATTTCCCCCAAATATCCTTTCTCTACCCCACCCTATCCTGTAGTTAGGGAAAAACCCAGGACTGAATCAATATCCTCAGACCTTTCCGTTCAAGTGGGATCAGAACCTTTAGTAACCACATCGGCAACAGAGGTTGAAACCACACCTTCAAGAAATAGTATTCACATGTGACCTGGTCCTAGACTTCCAGTAAGAATGACTCAGAGTCTCCCCGCTCTGAAATACTGAAGTATTTATTGGTCTTAGGGTATTCTCGGGAAGGTGACAGTGAGGGGTTCTTCAAAGGAGAACAGAGGATAAAAGGCTCAATGAAAGGATAATCTCCATATTAGTGCTACCAAAGTGTCATTAATTTCTATTTGTTGGAAACTTTACTAAGGAATGACTGCTTTGAGGTAATGGATAAGGACAGAGCTTGAAGGGTCAGCAATTCAGTCAGCCACTGGAGTAGTTTTCACATGAAGTGAGAAGAAAAGCTGAGATGGAGTTTGTAGGGCAGCTGGAGTTCAGATCTCTCCTAAGTCCTCTTCTGTTCAGATATTTTGTCACCTGCAGCAACACACACAGTTATTGTCATTCCTGGGTTCAGTACTGTAAGCCCGGACCCATCTTCCCCACTCCCTTTGCACCCGAGCTTCCCATTTCTCTGCCCTGTTCAGGTCCCAGGGAGAAGGTGGTCATCCCTGCACATGCCCTGGTCCTCCAGGTGAAGAGCACATAGGAGCCAAGGAGTTCACGAAAGTCATTGAATTTCACCCTCAAACCCCAGCTGACTGTGAGGCCATCCCACATGCTTCATGTCTCCAAAATATACAGACAAGGGGAAGGGCCACATTACTGAGGGCAGAGAAGAAGCTTAACCCTGGAATGAGAATTGGAAGGGACAAATATCCAAACCATATCAATGACGGCAATGAACGAAGGATACTTGCTCACATTGTGTATACTGCTCTTTGAAAGGATTTCAAAAACCAAGGTAAATTTTCTAAAATGACCTCTGTTGAACATCTGACAGCAGTACTTCCTCCTTCCTGAATTCTTTAATTCCTTGGCTCATGTGACAGCATATTCTCCTAATTCTTCTGCTTCTCTGCTTCTCCATTTTTGTTAAATACTCCTCTTTGGATGTTTTGTTAATCATGTATCTTTGCATTAATTTTGCCTTTTCAAGATATTTCATTAAAATATGATTTATTACTGAGTTCTTTTGGTATCCCCCAAATTTTGCACCTAAGCCAGGTGCATCCCCTACATCACCCTAGTCCCAGCCCTCTTTTCCATTCTTCCTCTTAACATCTGACATTCTACATTCACTTCACTCTGTTACAAATCATTATAGATATAATTATAAATGTGTGTGAACTAAGAAAAATAAACAAGAATTTGTCCTACTGGATACTAACACACACTACAATGTCATAGTAATCAAAATACTAGGACACTGGCACAAGAAGAGACAAACAGAACAGTGGAACAAGATGGAACTCAGACACAGGCCCACCTATAATGGGAGCTTTCAGTATAGCAAAGGAGACACTACTAACCTATGGGGAAAAGGTGAACTATTTAGTAGTTGTGGGAACACACTGGCCCATTATATAAAGAAAAATAAAACATGATCCCCATCAAACACAAAGATGAATCCCAGATGAATTAAAGTAGTAAATGTGAAATTTAAAACTGTAGGAGATGTTTTAAGAGTATCTTTGATATCTCAGTATAGGGAAGACTTCTTTTAAAAAAGACACACAAACAAAAATACAGTTGATGGACTTCATTACAAAATATTAAGGATTTCTCTTCAATAAAGGAAACCAAGGAGACAGTTGCCAGAAGTCAGATTAGAGGAAAACATTTGCAATGCCTAAAACTGACAAGGGACTACTAGCAGGACTATATAAGGATCACCTGCAAATCAATAAGAAAATGATGGAAGCACATAGTACAAAAATGGACAATGAATGTGAACAGGCAATTTATAGAAAAGGAACCCCCAAGTGGCTAATCAGTCCTAATTATAGCCCCAATTATTAGTAATTAAAGAAATGCAAAATAAAACAGCATATTTCTTTATGCACATGAAATTGGCAAAAGTTAGAAAACTGGATAATGTCCAGTGTTGAAGTCCATTTAGGAGTTGCAGGACAATTAGAGTACTGACAAAGGAAGTTCAGATGAGTACAGCCATTCTGATGAGAAGATGAGCAGTGTTTAGTCAAATTAAGGAGCTGCATCTCCAGCAACCCTGCAACCCCTTTCTAGGATACATACATTCCAGGGATGCAGGTCAGGCCCACATGTATATGCAGTTCCATGTGAGATACAAGCATTGCTTGCAATAGTAGAGAACCAGGAATGATCCAGGTATCCCAGGAGCAATGTAGATATGTGGATTAATATGATTTGGATATTTGTCACTTCCAAGTCTCATGTTGAAAATTGATCCCCAGTGTTGCAGGTGGGGCCTGGTGGGAGGTATTTGAATCATGGAGGAGACCCTCATGAATGGCTTTGTCCCCTCTCCGGGTAATGAGTGAGTTCTCACTCTATTAGTGCACATGAAACCTGGTTGTTAAAAAGAGGCTGGCACCTCTTTCTATGTCTCTTTCTCCCTCTATGACCATGTGATGCACTGGCTCCACTTGCCTTCCACCATGAGTAAAAGCTTCCAGAATCCCCCAACAGAAGCAGATGCTAGTGCCATGTTTCGCGTACAGCCTGCAGATCTGTGAGCCATTTAAAGCTCTTTTCTTCGTAAATTAGGTAACTTCAGATATTCCTTTATAGCAATGCAAAATGGACTAATGCATGGACATATAAAGTAAAATACTATGGAAGATTTGGAAGAAACAAACTGGATGTACAAAATTAGATCTATAATTTAATGCCATTTTGGTTAATTAAAAATACATGTACACTGGACACTACTACATATTACAGAGGATCTATGCAAATAAAAGGAAACATCAAATTCATTAAAATGTTTACCTATGAGGTAGGGGTAAGAGGTTAGATATGGGAGTAAGGACTGGAGATAAAAGGGACCAAATAAATCAAGGGAGAGAGAGAGAGCTCGGAGGCACCAATGATGATCATATAATGAACTGAGAAGTTCTTAACCTTTTGTACCTGAGGTCCAGCATGAATAACAATAATAATAATGAATTAGATGTGGTCATCTGCATGGAAGTTCACTGTCTAATGCTAAGAGAATTCCCAAAACATATAAAAATATAAAGCATGGTGAGTGTTATGATAAATAGAAACCTGTAAGATCTCTGGAGGGGCATTTTTTGTGTGAACATTGCCATGGAATGAGTCCAAGTAGAGACAGTAAGTAGTTACAGGCACCCACCACACTGTGTTGTAATTATGTATAGAAATATAGATCTGACTCCATTATTTGGCAATGGACTCTGGAGAATTTGAACTTGGTCTTTTCCTTCACAAAATAGGGTGAATAGGACAGTGGATAAACAGTCTTGGATCCAGACTTTCTGGATTGGAAGCTAGCCCTACTACTTCATAGCTGTGGGAACTTGATCAAAGTGCTTAAAGTCTCTGTGTATGTAAAAAGATGTAAGTATCTCTCATGTGAAATAGTGAAAATAATAGTACCTACCTCAAAGACTATGTGTGAGAATAAAGTGAGTTAATAAATGTAAATCCTCAGAATAGCGCCTGACCATATTAACTACTCAGTTAGTTATCGGTGTTGTTGTTGTTATGTGGCTGAATGCTTTTAACCCATTAGAAGATCAATGAACACTTATCAGATTGAATTTTTCCTCCCTTCCTTACATTCTACAAATCCTAGGGCCTCCTCTTTACATTCCCACCTTTACAGTATTTCACAGGGTCCCCTGGGCCCGGGGGTCATGGCCAGAACGCAGAGACTTTATGATGAGGACGGTGCCCACGATGATGCCGACTAGGCCCAGCACCAGGCCCAGGGCACAGAGCACAGTCTCCGTTGTCTCAGGCATCTGGATTGGCTCTTGGGCCTCTGGGGGAAGAATGAAGAGATAGGGTCAGGAGGTGCAGTGAGGGTGGTGATGGCCTGGGATGGTTGTGGGAATTGAAGGTTATGGACCAGTTAATTGGATGTTAGGACGAGGAGAGGACTGAGACCCAGCCAGTGCGGAAAGCTGGTGCAGAGGACACCAGGTCTTTGGAATAGAGGATGCCAGGAGATTATGGAGAGAAAAGCAGTTGCATACCCCAGTGCTTGAGGAGCGGCTGGTCCAAGCCCCAGTGCTCCACCCTGCAGTCATAGAAGTCCTCTGCTGAGGGCACAAAGGTCAGGTAATGGAACTTGTGGAAGCTGTAATCTGTTCTGGGCAGGAAGAGGCTCTCAGCGACACCCTCAGTGACCAGCTCCCCGTTGCACAGCCACGTGACGTTGAGCACTGGTGGGAAGAACTTGTCAATGTGGCAGATGAGGGTGTTGGGCTGGCCCAGCTCCACAGGCTCCTTGGGAAACACGGTCACCTCAGGGGGATCTGGAAGGAGACAGCACCAGGTTAGGCCCCTCTTCTGGGATGAATCACAAAGGCTCCACCTCTTAGGGGAGGGTGGTCCTCTACCTCAGCCTTAGATTTTATGGCAGCTCTGAATCACAGAGAGGGGTATCACACCACTGACCAGCCTCACTCTGCTCACCTTTCTCTCTCCTGAGAAGAGAGGATGCAAGCCCTTGCTGTAGTGGGATCAGCCCATGGCCACTAGGGGAAGAGGATCACACAGCAGGGGGCACTTAGGCTTCCTAGTCTGAGGGTGGCAGAGAGGCCCTCTCATCCCTTCCAGTTGGGCTACAGAGGAAGAGGCAAAGATAGGGCGTACCGTTGGTGGCCTGAGTGTGGTTGGAACGCTGGATCAAGGTATTCAAGTTGTTGTTCAATATAGCAATGTTAGCCAGCCCGCCCTGAGCCTCAAAGGAAAAGGCTTGGCCAAACTCCTCCAGATGCCAGACGGTCTCCTTCTTGTCCAGATCCACATAGAACATCTCATCTTCATCAAATTCAAACATAAACTCCCCTGTTGGTCTATGCGTCTGTACAAACGCGGCATAAGTTGACACATGGTCCGCTGCATAAAGACAGTAGAGAAAAACACGACAAAATGTCAGTTTGAATATGCAAGTGGTCAAAGCTAGAGAATGAATAAAGACTTATGAATATAAAAAGGAAGAAGGTAAGAGGTCAAAGGAAGGACATATGGGGAAGAAGAAGGAGCAACACCATAAAGGAAATAATACAGAGCAGATGAGCAGTTATAAAAAGAAAGGAGCAAAGAACAAAATGAAAAGTTTATCACTGATAAGTCAAGCTGCTTCCTGGTCTTTGAAAGTCTGGGCATCCTGACCCTACACAATAGTAATAGTAACAATGACAGCTAACATTTGTTGAGCACTTACTTGTGCCAGGCATCCTTCTAAATACTTTACATATTTCACTCGCTGAATTGTCACAATAACCCTATGAAGCAAATACATATCATACATTTTACAGGTAAGGAAATGCAGGGAAGTTACATATTAATAACTTGCTAAGGTCATACGGCTACTGGCGGAACTAGTAGAGAGGTTTTCTCTCCCATTAAGATCTTAATTTTTCTATGACACAGATGTAAAATTGTTTTTAGAGTCATGGGGGTGGGGGAATGGACATTTTCTTTTTCTTATTATAGAAAAGGTAGAAAAAAATACAAAATTGAGAGGAAGAAGAAAATATCCTTCAAATTTTAGGGCTCTTGACAGTTTTAAAGTTTCTGTCTTAGTTTATGAACATGAAACTGTAGAATGTATAGCTTTGTTGATAATATTTTTCATTTGGGGCATATAAATTCAAAAGTACAGTACAGTTATTTTGGCATTTGTTCCAAACTTTTGTTTCCTTTTTAAAAATATTTCAACATTTATTTTATGTTCAGGAGTACATGTGCAGGTTTGTTGTATAGGTAAACTCATGACTTGGGGGTTTAGTGTACAGATTATTTCATCACACAGGTACTAAGCATTCTAAACTTTTCTTACATTTATATTTTGATTTTTGTTTTAGAGGCCAACTAGAAATTATTGCTGAGTTTGGAACACCTGTAGGATTTAATTTATTTTGTTTCTTAGTCTTTATTAGTTTGTAAGAATTAGCAAAGATAAGAGGATAAAAGCAACTATTATCATGAAAGAAAACGATGAATGTGTATGTGAAAGTCTGGGTTTAGAATGATAAATGCATCAGAGTGAGAAGGAACTACGGGACTCTTCTGCTCTCACCTCCCAACTCACAGATTTCCCTGTGAGTTTTCAGCCCTGACATGTGGGGACCCAGTCTGTGCTTGGCCACTTACAGTGACAGGAGAATGACTCCTTGCCACTGTAATTGTAAGTGTCTAGAGGGTATGACCTGTGTCTTATTTTTCACTGAGAATGACTCCCTGACACAGTAAGTGGCCAAGCAAAGAGTGGTATTTGAAACTAAACAAAACAAATCCTATAGGTATTTCACTAGGAAACTTAGCTTGCTCCTCAGTTTAAAGGACTCAAAGGACTCATCAGGAAAAAGAGGGTAAAATAAAAAGACACAAAGTCCTCTAGCAGTTATTGGAAACTCATCTTCTTAATACATGAATGTCCCTTGTACTTTTTAAAATGCTTTTTAAAAAACACTTTCACAAGTTCTGCAGTCCAAAGATCAGCCAGCTATGGAACAGATTATTTTTCTTCAAAATATCATTTCCATTCAGACAAAAATATGTATTAAAAGACTACTATATGTCAAACACTGTTAGATGCTAAATACCCAAATAAAAATAATACATACGTCCTGTTCTGCAGACGCGTATAAGTCACAGAAGGAAACACAAGTGACAGGACAACAGCAGGTTCAGAAGGATAAGTGCAGATACGTAGGTATACACAAGATGCGACCAAACAGCACATCAGGGAAGGCTTCCTGGGGAACAGATGGCTTCAATGTAGGCATTCAGAAAACAGGGCAAAAGCCACTTCTCTCAGGGAAGACAGCCTGACCGGGAGAAGATACTGAGTTTACTGTGGGGCTATTGCACTTAGAAGACCTGAAAGTCATCTAAGGAGAAATAATACATAGATATTTGTGGATTATGGGTGGTCTCAGGAGAGGAATTTAGGCCATAGAACTGAGAGTCATTAGTGGCAGGTGCAGGTTAAATAAGATTTTCCAGGAAGAGTGCCAAAAATCAGAATTGCCGAGATCTCAGGGTATAATGAGAGAACATGATAGTTAAGAGGTGGTTTAAAAGATGATAAGGAGGATCCAGGTAAACAGGAGAAAAATAAGGACAGGGTAGTTCATCAGAAAGAAGTGGATTATAGTGCAAATGTTATTAGTAACTCAAGTCAGAGGCACTGAGAAGAACCCACTGAATTTGACCTTCTGTAGAGGTTCCTGATGGCCAAGATGAGAGGATCCTCAGGGATGTACCAGAGACAAGTCAGAAGCTTAGCTCCACGTGTGAGGACACAAAGAAAGTGTCTCTGGGACAGGATGCAGACTGAAGGCAAGGTTGTTTTTTATCAGTTGGTTTGCACTTATGTTTTTAAGGTAAATGACATGTTTAAATGTTAAGAGACTGGGCAGGGAAGCCCTGAAGAGACAGCTGAGCTCATTAGGAATTTCTACCAAGAATACTAAAAAGTATTTGCATCTATGAAGAGAAGCCTATTGTGGTGTTTATTATAACATAACATTAGAAATAACTCAGGTGACCGCGAACAGGGCAATAGATACTTCTGGTTCTACCCAGCCTGACCTCCTCTTTATTCTACACATCTTAAATAAAACTGTCTGAAGCCAGTGTGCATCTTGTACGTTATGGATTCTAACCTTCCCCATCACTAGATTTTGGAATGACAGCATCATGCACAGGCTTGATGTCATTCTCCCTGATTTCAGCTACAGGAAAAAGGAGCATTCACTACGGTCCATCTCTGGCTGAGTCCTTGCAGCTATCAAAAGTCTAGGCCTCCCTTGCAGTCCTGAATCTCTCAGAACCCGAATCACAAGGCTATCAAGACCATGCAACCCTGCTGTCTTGAGAGAGGAAAGCTTGTGACCACCCACAAAGACCCAGGAAGAGCCCTAGGGTCCTAGAAGAGAGGGAGGATACAGAAACACTCTTTGCACTTCGTCTCCTAATGCAGAGTCCATAGCTCGGAGTTCCTGTAAAGCAGCCACAAAAGATAGAGGCTGGGGATCCCAGAGAGATAGGAGGGCCCTGATAGTAGGTCACTGTGTGCAGGAATCTGGGGAAGGCAGTGTATGACCCTCAGAGCTGGGTCTGGACTTCAAACTTGGCTCGTTGATCTGCTGTGTAACCTTGGAAAACTTATTCATCTTTTTGAGCTTCAGTTTTTTCAAAATAATTTCTAAATAAAAGGAATAATTTCTAAATGAATGGAATATTATCTTCATTGAAGATTCCTGTGAGATGTAAATGGGGAAAGAAACTATGCAGGAGTCTCATAAATTCTGGCTGTTATTGCTGTTATTATTATGAGGGCCAGAGGGAACATAGACTATGAGGACCAGATAGATCAATGAGCCCCTAAAATCTGTGATCCCTGAAGCAGCAATTGATGTGAACCACCCCATCACTCACCCCGACGCTCCTGCGTCCTCCTGAGCACTCACCCTTGATGGCCCCAGCTCCTCGGAGACTCAGCAGGAAAGCCAAGGAGAGGGCTCTCAAGATCACAGCTCTGATATGGAACATTCTGTCTTCAGGGCGCATGTTGTGGGGTCTATAATTGATGACTGTGAGCACAGGAACAGTGATGAGGAACTGAGGCCGAGTGGAGGCAGATGAGACTGAAACTGTGGGCCTCTAGCACTGGAAATGGGTGGAGAGGAATCAGCATGGCTGGGATTCACCTATCAGAGAAATCATAGAGCTGACATTCTCTGTTGCTGGGTAAAGAGGACGCTGGAAGGTGCTGGGGAAGAGATGGGAGAATTTTAGGTACCAGCGTGGTCAAGAGAGCTCCAGTTCACAGTTCATTTTCAGAGTTAGAGAAAGAGATGTAAAAAGATAAGTTACACCTTCTTCTGACGGCAAATGTTTTCCATTATGTTCCTTCTCCCGAGCCCCACCCCCATCCCAGACAGTCAGATGATCTTTGATGTTTTTTGGTCACTATATTTTAAATCATGTTTTATGTTATGTTGTCAATATTTTACAAAAATATTCTGCTGATAATTAAGAATGAATGTGCTATCTAATAAAATATATAATTAATCTTTCTTTCAGGTCCACCTCCCTGAGATACCTCCTTTTTATTTAATCATTTCTGCAGAAGTGTTATAATTTCTATTTAGAGGTTTTAATTAACTTGAATGAAGTTGATCTTTAATTGTTTATCTATTCCTGGTTACCTTTGTTAGTGAAATTTCTAGATAATTTTTATTTTTCAGATTTCTTAGTATTTGATTTTTCCTGGTATTTAAACAGTGTAATAACATTTTTATCTTTAAATTACTAGTCTTGTTATTTCATTTTCATATAAGAATACCCAGGACAGCATTACCTGTGGTAACAATGTGCGCCCATATTTTGATCTTGTTTTTAAGAAGGGTTTCTCTAATGTTTTTCTGTTACAGGTAATGTTAATTTTTTATTTTATATTCTCTTTACCATATTTAAGAAATACTTTTCTAGTCTCATTTTAAATATTTCAATTTTGAGCTATTTATTTGATACTCATAGAGAAGGTCACAAAACATTTACTATTTAATGTAATGATGAAGTACATATATTACGTTAATATTTTATCTTATTTGTGGTAGCCTTACCTTGCATAAATAATAATTACTAACAGATTAGGACATGAGAGATTCTGTTATTAGTGCTTTGCATGCATTACCTCATTTAAACCTCATATTAAACCTGAGGGAGGTATTATTAATGTCTACTGTAAAAATAAATTACCTGAGACATCGAGGAAGTATTTGTCTAATTATCTATGGCAGGTAAATGACAAGGAGAAAAGTCCCACCCAGGCAGTTACTAAAAAAACTGAGTTTTTCTCCACAATCCTCTCCTGGCCCCTTAATCCTACTAGACACCTTCTACTACATAATTATTTTCTTCTCTTGCATTTTACATGCTAGCCTTCTATTTACATTTTAATATTGATTTAAAGAAATGATGCCAATTTGATTTTTTTTGAAATTAGAATTGGTGGTCCAACAGGATCACATTTATAAGTGTCTAAAGTAAGAAGTAATGTTCTTTGAAAGTTTGTAAAAATATTCACTCTAAACAAAATAGAATCAGATGCTTTGAAGGAGGTGGGGTCTTTGATGATTTTTTTTCACTTTCTTCCTTATTTACCAGTCAATTTATATTCTCTATGGACTTTATTTTTCCAAAGCAATTTCAGACCTATTGATCTCATTTGATCTTAAGAGCTTTGCTATAAGGCAGGTTATATCATCCCCATATTGAAGACAAGGAATCGAAGTCCAAGAGAGGCAGTGTCGTTAAAGCTGCATATTTACATGGTAGGGTAGGTGGTGTGTCCACGCTCCCAGTGTAAGGTCCCTAGACTGAGCCCTCCTGACCCTGATGACAGTCCTGTGGAAGAACCTGGTAACTCCTGCACATCGCAGGACTCACAGACCTCTGGGAGAAAGTAAATATGAATGGGTGCTAATCTTAAACACACCCTTGGACAAAGGCAAGACAGACAGACTCAGACCTCATTTGAGTTCTGAGATGGGTACTCTAATCCCTCTAAGTCATGCCACTGAATGACCTTTTACACACTAAGATAGCACTTTTTCCACAACAGACCATGTCCTGTGGGTGTGTGAGGTGTGGCAGAATTGGGGAAATGATAATCCCTGTAGATGGGCCAGCAGAATATTTGAGATCACCTTCAGAGCAAAGAAAACGCATAATCTCCCCAAACATCATGACTTATCTGACTGGTTAAAATGAGTATCACTGTCTTTCCTCCGTCATCTTAAGTGCATCACAGGCTTTATATTTTCAGACCTTTCATACTAACTTTCTGCCTAGTGAGCAATGACTCATACAAAGCTCAGTGTCCATTGGTTCTTTTCTCAGACTCTGTCCAATCCCAGGGTCACAGAAGACTACTTGGGTTCATGGTCTCTAATATTTCAAACAGGAGCTCCCTTTAGCGAGTCCTTCTTTTCCTGACTGCAGCTCTTTTCATTTTGCCATCCTTTTCCAGCTCCATGATGGTTCTGCAGGTTTCTGCGGCCCCCCGGACAGTGGCTCTGACGGCGTTACTGATGGTGCTGCTCACATCTGTGGTCCAGGGCAGGGCCACTCCAGGTAAGAGCCGAACTGCCATTCTTGGAGGGTCTGGCTCAGGGAACAATTCCTAGGGGACGTTATCTTTAAGGGATCAAATTCTGAGACAGGCTGCGGGGGCTCCTGCCCTAAGGCAGTGTCCTCTCTTCCCAGCTAGAGAAAGAGGTTCATCCCCTATAGGATAGCTTGCTACCCTACTGGCCTATTCTCTCTCCAAGGACATGGGTACAGTAAACAGAGAGAGGTGCCCAGTGGTCAGTGTCTTTGGGGAAAATGGGACCAAGAGGTCCTGGATAACCTTGGACAGACAAGGTTTGCAGAGAGAGAAGTTGGCAAGTGCAGGCTCCTGGGCGTGTTCATGTCTGCATCCAGCCTGGAGGGGACTCAGGCAGAGAGCCCTAAGCTGGAGTGTCCAGGCTCTGAGGATCACTGAGGATTCAGTGCTCACGAAGAATGCCTCTTATTCCCCAGGGTGGAGCAGGAGCCCACATCCCTTGGACAATTAAGGAGAGAAGGGAGGGAGGGGGATAGGTTTTAGCCCCTGAAGGCATTCTCATTAAAGGTACTTCTCCCAGCCTCCCCAGAACTTGGTTAGGGTACTAGAGTGGGTTGCGACTTGTAGGAAGAATGAGATGAGGTTGTGTGGGTGCATGACAGGGATTGAGTGTAGGTTATCAGACAGCCAAGGAAGCAGTAACCAAGTGAAAAATCTCTTCTTCCTGCTGCCTCCCTGTGGCTGGTGTAATATTATGGCATCTATGATCCATTGTTTTTCTCTCAGGATACTCTCAGGATATTTCTTTTTATATATATATATACTTTAAGTTCTAGGGTACATGTGCACAACGTGCAGGTTTGTTACATATGTATACATGTGCCATGTTGGTGTGCTGCACCCATTAACTCGTCATTTACATTAGGTATATTTCCTAATGCTATCCCTCCCCCCTCCCCCCACCCCACAACAGGCCCCGGTGTATGATGTTCCCCTTCCTGTGTCCATGTGTTCTCATTGTTCAGTTCCCACCTATGAGTGAGAACATGTGGTCTTTGGTTTTTTGTCCTTGCAATAGTTTGCTGTGAATGATGATTTCCAGCTTCCTCCATGTCCCTACAAAGGACATGAACTCATCCTTTTTTATGGCTGCACAGTATTCCATGGTGTATATGTGTGCATTTTCTTAATCCAGTCTATCACTGATGGACAGTTGGGTTGGTTCCAAGTCTTTGCTATTGTGAATAGTGCCGCAATAAACATATGTGTGCATGTGTCTTTATAGCAGCATGATTTATAATCCTTTGGGTATATATCCAGTAATGGGATGGCTGGGTCAAATGGTATTTCTAGTTCTAGATCTTTGAGGAATTGCCACACTGTCTTGAGATACCATCTCACACCAGTTAAAATGGCGATCATTAAAAAGTCAGGAAACAACAGGTGCTGGAGAGGATGTGGAGAAATAGGAACACTTTTACTCTGTTGG
The DNA here is from genome assembly GCF_000001405.40 of Homo sapiens. Lineage (NCBI taxonomy): Eukaryota > Metazoa > Chordata > Mammalia > Primates > Hominidae > Homo > Homo sapiens. The sequence goes on from NC_000006.12 coordinate 33,077,605, forward strand.
TGGGACTGTAAACTAGTTCAACCATTGTACTCTCAGGACATTTCTAGTCCAAATTTACACCAACACTCTGAGAGGAAGGACTGCAAAGTAGGTACCTTAGTTTTCCACTGACTTCCACTTTTCCTGCTTACACCCTTCCTCCTAGACCTCTCCACACCCCTCCTAGGACACACCTAGAAGGTACTGACATCATGTCACCTCCTCATCTTTCAGGGTAGCAAGGTTGGAATCTCCTGAATACAGCCCCTCAAGCCCTAAAACCTCTTATCTATTACCTTGGGTTCATTGTCCAGGAAGGGGAGGAGAACTTGAACTTGTAGTCACAGAAGGGTGCTGAGAACTAACCAGCAGGACGGCTCAGCCCTGGGAACTGCAGAGGGGTGAGGCTGGGGAGAGAGGAGGCTGGAGCAGCACTGGTGACACTGAACAGTGTCAGGAGGAAGTGACGGATGCAGCGCCCCCATCCCATAGGCAGAGCTGTCATGTGGGATGAGGGACAGTGTTGGGAGCCACCAAGGAAACCCAGAGGTGGGGGAGCAGAGAGCAGAAGGGGGCATGTGATGCTGGGCAGTGAAAGGGAGGACGGGCAAAGGCTGGGTTGAGGTTTGTAGGGGGAATGAGATGAGGCAGTGGAGCCATGTGACAGGGACTGAGGGTAGATTACTGGAGCTCCCTGCGTAGAATGAATGTTCAATCAAAACCTGCTGGAGGGAGAGCTGGAGCCATAGGGGAGTGGGTAAAGTGGGCAGGGCTGATTCCACAATTCCCTGCATGCTCCCCCAACTCCACACACATCCCCAACCTCAAACAGGGCACAAGACCAAAGGGCTGAGGAGCCAGGCTATAGCTTAAAGAGGCTGGGGGAGAAAAGCTTGGCTGAGACAACCCATAGGGAGCTAGAGGTTTTTAATATATCCTATTCTGAATAAGAGACGAATTCATTCAGATCAGTGGTTTCAAACCGTGCTCTGGGCAACTCAATTGCTAAGGGTTCCACAAACAGGATAAAGTTTCTTATATACAAAAAAAAATGAAGGTTTCAAATTACACCATAAAACCCCTCATTGCTTATGTCTACTTGGCAGGTAAAATTCCATTTCAAAAGTTAAATGTACTTAAAAAATTACCTAAGACTGGGTAAATTAAAAAAATTAAATGTTGCAAAGAAAAAATTCAAAATTCTTATTCTTGAATGAAAAACGTTCTCTTACTGGTGATTGAGGAGGAGAAACAAAGACTAACAAATGAAAATGGGAGAATCCACACTCAGAGTGGGGCAATTGAACAGGCAGGGGCGGATGGATGGCAGAGGAGGAGGAATCTGGACTCAAGGAGCTGGGGGGCTCTGGGCCTGGAATTTTAGGGTCTGGGGCCCAAGGCACCAGGAGAAGAGGCAGGTCAGGATATCTGAGTCAAGACCTGGGATCTTGCCTTAGCAATGACACTGGAGACTAAAGGTGGACTCCATGGTGCCCTTGAGCCCAGCCCTACCCCATCTCCACTATCCTCTGCCACCAGCTGTGCAACTTCTGCTAGGGGTGAGGTTAATAAACTGGAGAAGTTAATTTGTGGAGCATGAAACAGATGAGCAGAACAATCACAGCACCTTAATTTCCCCAGTGTGCCCAAGAACAGAGCAGGCCTGAAGATACTCAAACAGAAACAAACATGTGCCGTGTCACTGATAATTCTGTGTAGACACACACCTGCCAGACACTGCTCATGGCACTCCCTAGGAAGAACAGCATGTGGGAAAGGCTGCCAAAATTGTTCATGTAAAAATTACATCAATGCTGTCTTCCTCGGTGCTGCCTATGCAGCTGGCAGCCATCTCTTCCTCCACATCATGGCCTCCCTCAGACTCCTCATGAAGGATAAGATCCTCAAAAAGAGGACCAACAAGTTCATGAGGCACCAATCAGACTGAAATGTCAAAATTAAGCATAACTGGCGGAAACCCAGAGGTCTTAACAGTAGGGTTCGTAGAAGGTCCAAGGGCCAGATCTTGATGCCCAACATTGCTTATGGGAGCAACAACAACAACAAAAAAAACATGCTGCCCAGTGGCTTCCAGAAGTTTCTGGTCCACAGCCTCAAGGAGCTGAAAGTGCTGCTGATGTGCAACAAATCTTACTGTGCTGAGATCGCTCACAAAATTTCCTCCAGAACTGCAAAGTCATCATGGAAAGAGTCACCCAGCCGGCCATCAGAGTCACCAACCCCAGTACCAGGGTGCACAGCTAAGAAAATGAGTAGAAAGTTCATGTCCACGTTTTGTGTGTAAATAAAACCATAAAAACTGCCAAAAAAAATTACATCAATGCCTCTAAACCCAAAGGACTCTACCCCCACAGGTCCCTGGTTGTTGTGGTGATTTTCATTGTGTAAAATACTTTCCACATCTTTTGACACCAAGTCTTTCTGCAGCCATGTTTGAAAATTAACTTTCAGGCTACAGAGTCTTTCTTATACCAAAGTTGAAGAAAGTTTTAAGAAATATATTTCTACATCTCCTACATGCAAAACAACAGGAGCAAGTTGAGGAATTCTCAAGAAACTGGTCGAGAAGAGAGAGCGCTTAGCTATGGAAAAGAGAAAGAAGGAAGGGAGGGCTTCCTGGAGGAGGTGGCATTTGAACCAGGACTGACATCAGGATGGAAATGTCAGTCAGGGAGTTAAGTAGGGGGAGCAGCTCCGCCCTCCACGTCCCCAGCTCCTCCCGCCCCTGTTTTTTCTCCCAGTGACCCCACGTGAAACGTCTCCGCCTCCTCCAGCCACCAGCAGAAGGGACTGCCTTCCCCTCAGTGCTCGCCCCTCCCTAGTGATCACTCAGTGCCCCTGAGCTCATTCTTTTCAGTAAATTCTCTCTCTGCGTGGTGAGAAAACAGGCCTGGAGAGGCTCTGCGACCCGCTTAGGACCACAGAACTCGGTACTAGGAAAACTCCTATTTTAAAATCCAGCCCTGGGTGGGAAGATTTGGGAAGAATCGTTAATATTGAGAGAGAGAGGGAGAAAGAGGATTAGATGAGAGTGGCGCCTCCGCTCATGTCCGCCCCCTCCCCGCAGAGAATTACCTTTTCCAGGGACGGCAGGAATGCTACGCGTTTAATGGGACACAGCGCTTCCTGGAGAGATACATCTACAACCGGGAGGAGTTCGCGCGCTTCGACAGCGACGTGGGGGAGTTCCGGGCGGTGACGGAGCTGGGGCGGCCTGCTGCGGAGTACTGGAACAGCCAGAAGGACATCCTGGAGGAGAAGCGGGCAGTGCCGGACAGGATGTGCAGACACAACTACGAGCTGGGCGGGCCCATGACCCTGCAGCGCCGAGGTGAGTGAGGGCTTTGGGCCGGCGGTCCCAGGGCAGCCCCGCGGGCCCGTGCCCAGGGCGCAGGAGCAGCCGGGTTGGCCTAAGGGACCTTAGTGCCGGGCGGAAAGGGGACTTTGGGTTGGGGATTCATGGGGGGAGCCCATCTGGAGCTTGTCAGGGGAGCGAGCGCGGGGACCTGGACTGGGCTGAGCATGGAGTGAGGAGGACGAGAGCAGAGAGACCCCCGGGACTTCATCAGGCCTGGCAGCTGACTGCATGTGGGGTGAAAAAAGGAAGCCACAGGACAGCGCACAAGGGTATGGTGTGGAGATGGAGGTGGAGATGGCACAGCAGGCCACACAGAGAAGAAACCTACAGGGAGGTAGCTGGGTTTGAGGTGCTTGAGGGGCAGATGGGTGGTCTGATGGGCAGGTAGACAGAAGGGTCTGCAGCCGGGGAGGAGACTGAGATACATGAGACCATCCAGGGAGAGGGGACCCAGGGGGAAGAGCAAAGGACCGGATCCTGGGAACTGGACAGTTGTGATTTGGCCAAGACAGAAAAGCCTGTGAAAGAGACCAAAAAAACCCAAGTGCAGTGTGAGGAGAGGCCCGCAGAGAAGAGTCTTGGAAGCTGAGGGGAGGTGACCTCAGCAGCACAGTGGACAGCGGTGCCAGTGACTTGGGAAGGTCAGAAAACAGAAGATGGAAAGTGGGTTTGGAAACCAGGGAGACCTGGGGAGAGCAGGTTGGCCGCAGCGGCAGGAGCTGGAATGGGAGGGGGTGCATGAGGCTGAGTGTGGCGCATCCTCCTCGGGGCTGAGATGGATTTTACTTGTCTTGGGTTCCCCACGGCTGTCACAGGGCAGTGTCTCAGTTCATTCGTCTTTTTCCTTCAGGAAGTCTGGGTGTAAAGGGATGGAGAGAGGTGAGGTGTGTGCAGTAAGAGGATTTCTCAAGGATGGGACAGGAAGGCCTTGGAGCTTTGGCTTCCTCCTGTGAACTTGTGGGGTGGGGAGCCTGGTGCACCAACCTGAGGGACTTGAGGGAGTAGTATCAGGATGTGGGATTGAGCCCTGGACCTTTTTTCTAGAAAGAGGAAAAAAATGAAGGGAGGAGGAGGAGGAAGCTGGGGAGATCACACCTTTGATTTTCTTGTTCCTGGAAAGTGAAAGGAAGTTCACCTGCTATGAGTGAGAAGGTGGACACACTGGGTGGGGATGAGGTGAGTGACATGAGCTTAGGAAAGTTGCTGAGGTAATTGGTTGAGAGAGGTGTTCAAATAAAAATAACGCAATTGGCAAAAACTGTTACTAAGACTTTGTAGAGGCACCAATCAGTGACATGGCAGCATTTTCTTTCACAGTAATCAACTGCCAGATTGCAGACAGCCCTGATGCCAGCCTAAGGAGTGTGGGTTTCTCCTCCAGGCCCGCAGGTCCCCAACCTCACTCCTCTGAAGACTCTTCTGGAGATCCTCTGTGATGCACAGATCTCCAGACTCAGTGCCCCCAGACTCAGATTCCCTGGGTGGGGAGGTCTGGGGATCTCTGCTTGTAATCAGCTCCCTAGAGGTTCCCATGTAGCCAGATAAGTATTGTCAGAACACTGAAGATTTTTGAAAAATGAAAAAGAGAAGGTTGGAGATGTGTCTTCAGAAGACTACTAAGGGTGCTGGCTAGAGGAGGGACCAGAGGCAGGGAGATGAGGTAGGAAACTGCTATTATTTGTCAGGGAAATTGCAATCAAGGCATGAGTTAGAACAGGGAAAACACAGAGGCAAGGGAGAGGTGGAAGGGGGAGGAAAGAAGTAGTGACAATTCCAGGGTGGATGTCCACCCAAATCTAGAAGTAATTGAGCAAATGTTTTCTGGGCATTAGAGAAGGCAACTAGAACAAACAGGAATCCTTGCCTTGGTGAAATGTATTTGAACTGGGTCAGAAATGAGGCCATTGGGTATCAGGCCTTAACTCCAGCGCACCCTGGAGGTCACTGATGTGGCTCCAGGCTGACCTGCTCCTGTCAAAGAATATTGAGCAAGATGCCTCTCGTGGAATGTTCTGGGACCTTAAAACAGATACCCAAGTATTCCCCCTGATTTCATGGTTCCCAGAAGCTCTATGGGGAAGAAATTGTAGGTAATTCACAACTGAGATTTAGACATAAGTTGAATAGTGTAATGGACATTGAGTTAACCGAGGTAATGAAGTAGTGAGACACAGGTGCCCCTGAAATAAACTCACATTGAGGGAAGAGGCTGACAATGTGGATCAGTCTGAAAACAAGGCAAAAATACAATAGGGAGTAAGGGTTGTGTGTCAGTTCAAGACTGTACTTTTACCTGGCCCAGCGCCATGTTAGGGTATTTGTGTTCTCCAGGAAGTAGAAAGGAAAGAACTGAGTGATTAGGGACCTAGAAGACTAATTTGAGACATTCCTCTTGATGAGCTGTTCTCTAGGGTAGTCCTCTGAAAGAGCTGTTCTCTAGTGGATCTCCCTGAATGAACTGTTCTCTAGGAGCACTTGACCCTTTTCTGTGTTTGTTTTTTGTTTTGTGTTTGTGTTTGTTTTTGAGACAGGTTCTCACTTTGTCTCCCAGGCTGGAGTGCTGTGGCACCATCATGGCTCACTGCAGCCTCAACCTCCTGGGCTCAAGTGATCCTCCTGCCTCAGCCTCCCATGTAGCTAGAACTACAGATACACGTACCACCATGTCTGGCTAATTTATTTTTCTTTTTAGAGATGGGTTCTCACTATGTTGCCCAGGCCGGTCTCAAAACCCTGGGCTCAAGTGATCCTCATGCCTCAACCTCCCAAAGTGCTAAGATTATAGGCATGACCACCATGCCTGGCCTTTTCTGCTTTCTGAGGAGGAAAAAGGTACTGGTGGCAGAGATCCAAAAGAAAAGTTGCCAGTGGCAGTGTGGAAATTCACCTGAGAACAACAGGACAAGCTGGGGCACAAATGCAAAGATGCAGAGGGAGGCAACACCTGGTCATCTGTGAGACCTTCATGGGACCTGAAGACGCAGCACAGAGGAGGAACTTGAAAAAGGACGGGATTTCTACTACTCAAGCATGTAGGAGCTCAGGATATTCTGTAAATATGAAGATTTTGAGTTTTTGTAGGTGAGGTAAAAAAATACATAGGTTTTTTACAGAATAAGACATGTAAAGCTCTCTTCATTTTCTTTGTATTTTCATGAAGTTATTAGATTCACAGGCCACCATAATGCCATTGTCTGTATATCTTAATTTCAAGATATTATTTGAGTAAATTTTGCTTCCTTTGTATCAAGATAGAACTTTGAAAAGGTAGGTAATTTCACAGTTGATCAAATATTCTTTGCCCAAATTACTTTTGGTTAAAATTTCTCCTAAATGTGCTACAGAGTGCAAACTCTGTCTCCCTGCCATTCCGCTATATACTTACTAACTATTATTTTATTCAAGATCATGCATGCTCTACTTGAAGGTCTATTTCTATCTTTTCAATGCTACCCTTACCCACTAGCCTAATCACATTATTCCTATTTTCAACATCTAGGAATCAATTACATAGTGAACATGCCTAAGAAATAATAATCTGGGCAGATGCAGTGGCTCAGGCCCGTAATCCCAGCCCTTTGAGAGGCCGAGCGGGTGGATCACTTGAGGTCAGGCGTTGGTCAAGTGCTCCTAGAGAACCAGGCTGACCAACATGGAGAAACCTTGTCTCTACTAATAATACAAAAATTAGCCAGGTGAAGTGGCAGGCACCTATAATCCCAGCTATTCGGGAGGCTGAGGAAGGAGAATTGGTTGAAGCCCGGAGGTGGAGGTTGCAGTGAGCCAATATTGCGCCACTGCATTCCAGACTTGGCAACAGAGTGACACTCCATCTCAACAAAAAGAAAGAATGAAAGAAAGAAAGAGCGAGATTATGTCTCAAAAAAAAGGAAGGAAGGAAGGAAGGAAGGAAGGAAGGAAGGAAGGAAGGAAGGAAAGAAGGACAATCTCAAATTCTATTTCATTATTTTTCTTCCACGCTCCTAGTCCAGCCTAGGGTGAATGTTTCCCCCTCCAAGAAGGGGCCCTTGCAGCACCACAACCTGCTTGTCTGCCACGTGACGGATTTCTACCCAGGCAGCATTCAAGTCCGATGGTTCCTGAATGGACAGGAGGAAACAGCTGGGGTCGTGTCCACCAACCTGATCCGTAATGGAGACTGGACCTTCCAGATCCTGGTGATGCTGGAAATGACCCCCCAGCAGGGAGATGTCTACACCTGCCAAGTGGAGCACACCAGCCTGGATAGTCCTGTCACCGTGGAGTGGAGTGAGTCTCTGATGACCCTCTAGACCCCACCTCTGAAGAGCAGGGGACTCTCTGGCTCTGGGGTCCACTCATCTTATCTTCTGCATCTATACCCTGGGGCCATGTCCAAACCCCATCTTTCTTCTATACCAGCTCCTGAGCATAGTTTGAAGCCAGGGAAATGGAGACTTCCTGACCTTGGCTTAGGGGTTCCTGAAGATTCATAGTTCTCCCCCTTGTCAGAGAATCTAGGGACACTGACTGGTCTCGAAACCCTCACACTTAGGAACTGACCTCACACATAGGAACAGTTCTCTTCCTTCAGCATTTTAGCCTCTTCTCAGGCATTTTGAGAGGCAACTTCCAGAATCAGCATTTGCCACCTTGTTGAGGTCACACCCCTGTTCCAGATATGAGGGTGGCTCTTTCTGAATTTCCTCTTAGCAAGCTTTTTCCGCTGCACTGTCCTCATCCCGATATGCTGCATCAGGCTCCAGAATCTCAGACAGGACATGAGTAGGGATGCAGCTGGTGGAGGTGACACTAAACCTGGGTCTGTCCTTCCCAGAGGCACAGTCTGATTCTGCCCGGAGTAAGACATTGACGGGAGCTGGGGGCTTCGTGCTGGGGCTCATCATCTGTGGAGTGGGCATCTTCATGCACAGGAGGAGCAAGAAAGGTGAGAAAGCCTGCAGGGTGAGCGGGACTTACCTTCCCCTGGCATATTCACACTTATTCCACGATGAGGGGTTTGACAGAAAAGAAATGTCAGAAAGCTCTAGAGGCCACTGATATCAGATAATCGGGGAACAAACATGACCTATAGCGAGAGAGGGATCCCAGGCTGGGATCTTAATGCAGCCAGATGCATGAGGTCCCAAGTACTCAGGCTCCTGCGGAGCGTCCATTGAGTGATGGGCAATGGAATTTGGTGGGATGGAAATGTTTCTCTAATTATCTGAGGTGGTTTCAATGGCTGATTATATAACCTTTCGTCTTTCATTTCAGTTCAACGAGGATCTGCATAAACAGGTAATATTCCTGCTTTGATTTCCTTGTGGGGTGGGTTGCAGGAGGATATGAGTCCTTTCTGTGCATTGTAACACTGAGGCTCCTCCAGGAAGGGAATCTCAGGCATGAACCCCTCTTTCAATGTCAGCCTTCAGGCAAGTGGGGAAAGAGCATTGCTTGGCTCCATTGCTGAAGGAAGCAGAGATCAACTCTGTTATTTATCAGCCTGAGACGCATCCTCTCACCATAATTTTTCTCTCCTGGACTTACAGGAAGGAGGCTGGCAACCTGGGATAACTTGTCTTTTACCCCCACAGGGTTCCTGAGCTCACTGAAAAGACTATTGTGCCTTAGGAAAAGCATTTGCTGTGTTTCGTTAGCATCTGGCTCCAGGACAGACCTTCAACTTCCAAATTGGATACTGCTGCCAAGAAGTTGCTCTGAAGTCAGTTTCTATCATTCTGCTCTTTGATTCAAAGCACTGTTTCTCTCACTGGGCCTCCAACCATGTTCCCTTCTTCTTAGCACCACAAATAATCAAAACCCAACATGACTGTTTGTTTTCCTTTAAAAATATGCACCAAATCATCTCTCATCACTTTTCTCTGAGGGTTTTAGTAGACAGTAGGAGTTAATAAAGAAGTTCATTTTGGTTTAAACATAGGAAAGAAGAGAACCATGAAAATGGGGATATGTTAACTATTGTATAATGGGGCCTGTTACACATGACACTCTTCTGAATTGACTGTATTTCAGTGAGCTGCCCCCAAATCAAGTTTAGTGCCCTCATCCATTTATGTCTCAGACCACTATTCTTAACTATTCAATGGTGAGCAGACTGCAAATCTGCCTGATAGGACCCATATTCCCACAGCACTAATTCAACATATACCTTACTGAGAGCATGTTTTATCATTACCATTAAGAAGTTAAATGAACATCAGAATTTAAAATCATAAATATAATCTAATACACTTTAACCATTTTCTTTGTGTGCCATCACAAATACTCCTTAACCAAATACGGCTTGGACTTTTGAATGCATCCAATAGACGTCATTTGTCGTCTAAGTCTGCATTCATCCACCAGCCTAGGCCTCCTGTCTTAATTTTCATACAGACAGAAATGACTCCCCACTGGGGAAAGAGCAAAGCAATACATGTAGCACTCTTTTTCAAACACTGGTCTTTTTTTTTTTCTTAACAATCCAACATTGTTATGTGTTTTGCGTCTCATATTGACACCTTTTGGTCAAGGTAGAGGACATGTTTGTTGTAAGCTTTCTTTTTCGTGTAGAGGATGGATTCTTCACTCCTGATACACACAATCAGTGCACAGCAGCTCTCTTATACATCCAGTTGATGCCTTCAGTCTCCCTGGCTTCTTACAAGCATCTTCTGGGCCTTGTGTGTCCCTGGGCACCTGTCCCTGGTCAATTCCCGAAAGCTACTGTGCTCCTCTTGCCCATCTCCCCTTGCAAATAATATCTTCCATCGGGGGACCGGCTTCCTCCAATTTCAGGAGAGGTGGGGCTGAAGGCACAGACTTGGGCGTCACTGGCACAGATATAAGTAAATACAGCTGGAGTCTGCAGAGAGGCTGGACTGAGTCAGGGAGTCAGGAAAGAGAAGCCACACACAAGGACAACCAATCATGTTTCTCATAATCTTCTTAACCTAGGGAATAGGACACAATCATTTTTTCTTTTTAAAACATCTTTATCCCTGATCAGCCTCATTTCCTCAAAAACTATAAAGGAAAATGCTGCTGACTTGTTTTTGCGTAGTAATTTCAGCTGTCACATAATAAGCTAAGGAAGACAGTATATAGTAAATAAGGACCCTTTATCTGTCTTATTTTCCCTTTTGGCTTCACAGGAAACTTGTGAGAAACCTATGCAGCATAAAATTAATATGATTTCAATCCAGGGATTCAACGATGGAAGGAGGTCATGAGAATAGCAGAAAGTCTTCAAATCGAGATCATTATGAAATCCTCAGACCCAGAGCACATAAATCCTACCCTCAGAGTCACTGAGCAGTTAACATTACAAATTACAAACCATATCCAGTCAGAGTCATTCTCTTTCCTGCTTGTCTCCTGTACTCATGTTACAGGTTAGGGCAGTACCCCGAGTGGAGTGAACAATCTCTGGACTAACACTTGTCAGGATCAGAAGCTGAGGTATCTGCACCCACATTACAGGAACAGGATATGTGCTCCTAGGGAACTGAGGGTGTCAGGAGATGAGGAATGTCCCTGGAGTCACAGAAAGAAGGTATCAGATGTGTCTCACTCTGACATATGCAGGTGTTTATGAAACTCTGGGATTTCTAAGGAAGGATGCAGTGCAGAGACAGGTCCCAGAGGAGACAAGAGCTGAGAGACCATCCAAACTGGGACCACCTTGTCACTAGACTTCAAATTTTCAATATTGATAGAGTGTTTTCTAAGAGTCAGGCCCTTTGCTGAGTGCTATGTGCAGCAGGATCAAAGGCAGCCAGGAGGTAGAGGAGTCTTGAGGTACATCAGTCATTGGAGTTGAAGAGCAGAGATTCAAAGGAAAGTTGGAACTGGAGCTTTAAAGGAGATGTGAAGTGGGTGACTCAACCTCTGACTCAGAAAAATTGATACCTGCAGAAGAAAAAACCCGGCGGGCTTAGGACTCCCAGCTGAGTGTTGTATCCTCCATCCCTTTCCACCTGGTCCCTTCATTTTCTACCCCTCACAGTTCCCTAACGAGAAGGTGGTCCACCCAACAGACAACACTGCCTCAGATGGTTATCAAGGGGTACCCTAAGAAGAAATCATCTCACCCTCTCTTTGTCCCCATTTGTCAAGTAGCAGTGAGGCCGAGCCAGGGGATGGTGAAAGTGGAAGGAGGTGGGAGTTGGGCATCGGGTGTGAAGATGCTCTTGAAAGGGGTTTTAATAACCACTTGCTACCAGGCCAGTGAACACTTACCATAGTTGATGCCTTTTGAGCATGTTGCATTGTAAACTGTCCCTGAAATTACTGTGCACTTGGCTTATGGGATGAAACATCCTCCTAGTTCTTTTGTCTCTCAGCTTCTCTGAAGTCTCATTGAGCACCTTCTCTTCAATTTCTTTTACACAGTAAGAATAGGATCAGCTGTGCTAAACTAACAAATACCCAGATATCCAGGTTTGGCTCATGTTACACGTCCAAAGTAAGTCATGCAGGAAGCTCTGCTCATCATCGTACTCAGGAAGTCAGGCTGACAGTCTTTCTCCTGCACATCTGCTCCCAGAACCTCCCCAGCAGAATGAAGGGAACCTAAGAATTTATTCACTGGCTTTTAATGATCCCTCCTAGAAAGAACACACTTCTCGCATTTCATTTTCCAATGTAAATCATATGGCTGCAACTAACTTCAAATAAGTGGGAATACTTGAAGGTGGAAAACATTTAAGAAGTACACACTAAATAAATAATAAAATACTTCTACAAGAGATATTTATGGAGGACCTACTGTGTACCAGGAGCAATGCTAGGCATTATGGATATCAGCAGCCTTTGGCTCCTGAAAAGCTTACACACTACCTCCTGGCCTAAGGAGGGGCACAGGGATGCTGGCAACAGTCTATTTCTTCACCCGGGTACTAGTTACATGGGTGCTTGCGGTGATAACCATTCAACGTACATTCTATTGGTTTGTGTGTTTCTTCCAAATGTCCCCTAGTTCACAATAGAAAGGGCTTAAATAGAGAAGTAAAGGAGAATTTGGGAATTTGAAGCAAAAGCAAGAAGCCACTGAATCAAGCACAAATATTGAGCTTTGATAAAGATTGGAATAAGAAACATAATAAATGAGACAAGAAATAGGACTTTTGCAACTGAAGTGTAATTAATAAACAAAAAGCCAAACTGAGAAACTGTCCCAAGGACAATATGATCGAGTAAACAATAGAAAATGTAAAGGACAAGTGAAGAGAAATGAAGGATAGAAACAGACATCTGACATCTTAATAATTAGACGTCTAGAAAGTCAGGGAAATAGTGGAGGAAGAGGAAATAACTGAAAACATAATAGATGTTTAGTCTTTATAGAAAGATGAAAT